>NC_000009.12:66018289-66391387 GCF_000001405.40 Homo sapiens | reverse complement strand
ACATTTAACCTAGAAGTAGAAACAAATAAAAGACACAAAATTAGAGTTAATTTTATTGTAACTGGGTTGGCTCCAGAGATTATAGTTAGGAAGTGATTACATTAAGCTCTACATATGCAGCATTCTAGCAAATTTCAATGCAGTAGACAAAATCTATAAATAATGTGAAACACATATTAACATGTTAAGCATAATATGCATTCATTGTCTTCAACAGAATAGTTCTCCATTAATTTTTTAAATGTAATACAATTTTACTTTAAAAACACTGAAAAATCAACATATTTCATTAAGAAAAAATTATAAATGTTGCAAAATGATGATGAAAATACGTATAGTAATAATTCCCAACTATAACAATTTTGTTTTATCTAATACTGGTCAGCTTTCCATGTGTCCAAGCATTACAGGACTTTTCATTAAGCCTAATCCTCACAAGAACATTGCTTTGAGCGATGTTCCAGAGTGGTAGTCCTTTAAGGCATTAGAACGATTTGTGAAATCCCTAAAAATACTAGGGGAAATATTCAAAAAATGACAATAGTGCCATTATTCCTCCTCCTCAAAGAGACTATCAGAACTAAAACTCTTTGCTTCATGTTCCTGTTTACTTCTGTCACTTTCAAGTCACAGAGGTATTATCAGACTGTCATCATTATATGACTCTGCTTTTCCAACAGAATCAATTACCTATCCCTTATCTCACAACTTGATAGTGATAGATATTGAATGCTTATGTTCTGATTAGCAAACTCTTTTTGCATTTTTAATAACAACTTGAACTCCTGATATGTCTGGAAAATATAACCCCTTCAACAGCCCTTTCAATGGGTTGCTACTATTTTGCTCACCCCATCTTCACTTGCCTAATCATGAGGAGGCGGGGTATATACAATTTCAGTTAATTTGTAGTTATCAGTCTATTATAGTTCTTTCCTTCTGAAAACCAACAAGTAAATAAACCAGCAAGCATCACCAATAAACTTTGACAGTTTATGGTTCATAACGTACGTCTACACCAAACTTTCCATTCAAATGCTTTTTCAAACCTTTGTTTGGTTTCTTTCTCTATTAAGACAACTTTTGCTTTTGGCTTTCAAAGACATTCTCTCCATTATAAACTCTGTCGTTATTCTCTATTGTGCTTACCTCAAACTGGTAACTCTTTCAAATCTTACCTGTCAGTTTCTTGACCACCATGCATGTTAATAACATTTCTTCTCTATTTTAGACAGCAAATGTTTCTCAATATTAAAAAAAAAAAAAATCCTACTCTTTGGTCCTCTCTACCTCCCATTTCATCCAATATCGCTTGTTCAAGACCTGAACTCGTACAGGTTTTTAACCTGTTGAAGACTGTCACTCTATGGACTCTACTCTCTTCTCTCTCCTCCATAGCCTTCTCATTGCCTATCTTCCCTACTTGTCCAGGAAATGATGACATGTTTCATCACCATAATTAATCCATTTCAAATGGCCTTTATGCCAAATGATTTTATTATATACTCTTTCTGTGCCATGCCTTGTTTTCCAAATTTACCACAGTACAAATTTTACAATTAGTTTTCCATTACTGAATTAGTACCAATCTCTGTCTTAAAAAATAAATACAGTAAAAAATGATAATGAATTTATTTCTTCTTATAATACTATCACTGGTGCATGGTTAGAATAAATTAATCTTAGGATGATATAAGCATTTCTCCAAATGGTCTTCAAATTCATTGATTTTTTTGTGATTTCAATTTCCATATTTATTGTTCCTGTTGCAATTTTTTCAGATTTTATATGTATTAACTCAGAACACATACCTCTTATCACACATATTTTTTCATGTAATTTATCTAAATCTTATAGAAAAGGGTACATTTGCATTTTCTCTTATTAGACTCCTGATTTCAAATAATATATTACTTATGAGTATTTTTCTGTGCTGTAGTTATTCATTCTCATAGATATGTAACATAATTCCTTTTGCAAAGGTAAAAATTGAGCTATCTCTTGTTGAGGATTTGTTGATCTCTGTCTAAAGTTTCAAAAATAAGAACTTTAAAAGCAAAATGTAAATTCCTTTCAAGTTTTAGTAAAATTACTTCAAACTTAGTAGCTTAAACAATACAGATTTATTATGTTACAGTTCTGTAAGACAGAAATCTGACTTGATCACACCATGGTAAAACCAAGATACTGCCAGGGTTGGTTTTTTCTTGGGGGGGGGTCTGTGGGAAGAGTTTGTTTCCTTTGGTTTTCCACAGCCCAGAGGCTGCTTGCATTCCTTTGATCACTGTCCCTTCCTCCATTTTTAAAATGAGGAATGGAGTCAGGGTGACTATGGTTAGCAATATTGTATTGTATATTTCAAAATAGCTAGAAGAGAGGATTTTTGAATTCTCTCACCGTAAAGATATCAAAGATGTATGAAGTGAAGAATATGTTGAATATCCTGATTCAATATTTAAACTATACATACACGTGTTGAAACATCACACTGTATCCCATCAATATGTACAATAATTATGTGTCATAAAACAAGATTTAAATTCTTTTAAAGGGCCAGCAATGGCAGTTTGTGAGTTCCCATCTCATCACTCTAACTTCTTCTGCCTCCTTCCACTTGTAAATGTCCTTCTGATTATTTTGGTCCCATCAGGATAATCCAGAATAACTTTCCTATCTTAATATCAACTGACGAACAACCTTAGTTTAGTCTACAATTTCAATTTTCCTTTGCCATGCAACTAACATATTCACAAATTCTGGGGACTAGAATGTGGACACCCGTTGTATTAGTTTGTCCTCACACTGCTAATAAAGACACAGCTGAGACTGGGTAATTTATAAAAGAAAGAGGTTTAACTGACTTATAGTTCCACATGGCTGGTGAGCCCTCAAAATCATGGTGGAAAGCGAATGAGAAGCAATGTTGCATCCCACGTGGTGGCAGGCAAGAGAGCTTGTGCAGGAGAACTCCCGTTTATAAACCCAGCAGATCTCGTGAAACTTATTTACTACCACAAGAACAGCATGGGATAAACCTTCCCCATGATTAAATTCTCTCTACCTGATCCCATTCTTCACATGGAATTATTACAATTCAAGGTGAGATTTGGGTGGGGATACAGCCAAATCACATCATTTGTGGAGAGCTGTGATTCTGCCTACCACAAGTAAGATGTACAAAGCATGGAAGGAGCTACAGCCAGAAACAATTATACCATTGGGAATTTCTAGCAGAATAAATAGCAGTTATTAACTGATAAGTTAATAGATTAAGTAAACCTAAATAATTGCCTTCATTAGCAGCGAGGCTTTTGATGGTCCATGTATCACAGATATTTAAACACAAATACATTTTTCTCATTTATTCCAATAACAAAGTGTTTTTTTGGTTTGTTTTGTTTTGTTTTTGAAAGTTTGGTATGAGAGAGAAAGAGATGAGCTGATTTGACTACTCCAGGCTAGAGGATATGTAGCTGAGAGTCTATGGCTGAGTGGAGGAAAAAAAAAAATCACAAGCCCTGTCCAGGATAACAGAGAGAGAAAGCTGTTTCTGTTGAGATTTGATGGCCCCCATCACACCAAATTTGGGCTTCTAGCTAGCCTCAGTTCTTCAGATAACTGACCTTCCTTCTTTCCTCCCTCTTGTAATAGTCTTTGTGTATTAGAAGTACCTTGAAATGCTGGGTCAGAAAATGTGGCACGAAAGAGAAAAGCTGGCTCACTCCACATCTTGACCTGATCATTTCCTGAACATGATTGAGGTAGATGACTCTTTGCTCCTCTTTGGCTGACCTGCAGGAATAACATTGGGAATAAGCAAATCTCCTTTGGACTCCAGAGGGTGGTGGTCAGGAAGTGGGCCATTGAGAACCTAGGTGGAAATGCAGGCCAGATTATTGGAGTAGTTTGCTTTATAATGTTAAAATATTTATACACATGTTATGTGGGCCTCTATTTCCACTCTTATCTTAGAGCCCACACATATTATGGAGGGTCTAGCAGTGTTTGTGGAGTTTTTGGTACTATACCTTTTTCAAGATAAAGTAAAAAACATTTATGGATAATTTAATTGTTCCCTATGTAGATTCCAGTGCCAAATTCCTCTCTTAGACACTGTTTCTAGTATAACATGTTAATATGTGACCCCTGTTTCACTTACAGATTTTTAGAGATCTATCCCAGGTTACTTAATTCAACTCCAAGACATACTTTTCTTTTAAATGCAGGGAATAAAGGGTCAGTTACTTAGTTACTCCGGTTTTATTTAATCCTACTGTCATCTGACAATATGGTACTGATACTATTTCCTACTTCTAGATGGTTGCTAGAAATATACTGTAATATTTATTCTTGATATATGTTTGTTACTTTAACGGGAATACATAGGCTATAAATAGTCCCCTTGCCTCTCACAAGTTAGACAGTCCTGCCCAGAATGCCCTGCTGAAGAGTTGTAGCAGATCACCCTGTTCCTCCTTAACCTCTCTGTTCCTCATATGCTCACCTGTAAAATAGTGATCATAGTAACACCCAACTTGTGATGATGTAGAGAGGTTTAAAGAAGCAAATTAGGGGAGGCCAGGCATGGTGGCTTATGCCTGTAATTCCAGCACTTTGGGAGTCCAATCACTTGAAGTCAGGAGTTCGAGACCAGCCTGGCCAACATGGTGAAACCCACTTCTACTAAAACAAACAAACAAACAAACAAACAAAAAACACAAAAATTAACTGGGCATTGTGGCAGTTGCTTCTAATCCCAGCTACTTGGTTGGCTGAGGCAGAAGAATCCGCTGGACCCAGGAGGCGGAGGTTGCAGTGAGCCGAGGTCACACCACTGCACTCCAGCTTGGGTAACAGAGCAAGGTTTTGTCTCAAAAAAAAAAAAAAAAAGAAAGAAACCAATTAGGGTGGAAACACTTAGAACAGGGTGTTCATAAGTTGTCACCCTCTTGAAGCAATTGTTGGACACTATTTTAAAAATGTTTTACTTCTGAGTGAAATGTTGCATTTTATTTTACTGGAAGATTCTTATGTAGTTTAAGTACATTTTACGGTATTGTCAAAGAGCATGAGCAAAATATTTAGGAAAGATGAGACCATATTTCTTTTATTTATGACATTGCCACAAAAAATCAGGTAGATGAATTTGTATTAAGTTTTTGTACCAATTTCATATCTAAAATTTCAAAGAATTTTATTGCAACAAACTCTTTCTTACCATTAACTCAAAAAAATTCTGTTTTAAATTGACTTCATTCCATAAGTCTCTACACTACTAATTTGGCCAGAAGTTATTTTCAATCCTAATTGGGAACAACAAAGATCCACATGATATCCTTTCAATTTATGATGTTGAAGAAAGTTGAATTGTAATAATTTGAGTGTGCAGTCAAAGCAATTTTCAATACTATGTATCACTGTAGAAACAAGGGAGAATGTCTTGGTTAACTATTTAAGTGGCTTGAGTATGGCAATTAAAATTTCATCTAAGCTCATTTTGATGAATCTTGAAGGTGACATTTATTTCTTATGCTCTGAACATCGTAAGTTCTGTTGATTTTTATGGGAAGTTTTCAAGGTCATTTTCAGAGATCTATGACAAAATGACATTATTTGAGAAAAAAAAGAAGAAATAGCTCGAAGTTTAAAGCATTATGGTATTCCCTAAGCCCAAAATTTTCTCCCTTTACAAAAACAAATGAAAGGCAAAATAGACAAACAAAGAAACCATCAAAAATACCTTGAATCACTGTTGGTGGGAATGAAAATTAGTTCGACCATTGTGGAAGACAGTGTGGAGATTCCTCATGGATCTAGAATCAGAAATCCCATGACCCAGTAGTCACATTACTTGGTATATACCCAAAGGAATATAAATCATTCTATTATGAAGACACATGCACACATATGTTTATTGCAGCAGCTATACTATTTATTATAGCAAAGACATGGAACCAACCCAAATGCCCATCAGTGATAGACTAGATAAAGAAAATGTGGTACATATACACCATGGAATACTATGCAGCCATCTAAAGAACTAGATCATATCCTTTGTAGGAACATGGAAACCACCATCCTCATCAAACTAACACAGGAACAGAAACCCAAACACCTCATGTTCTCACTCATAAGTGAGAGTTGATCAACGAGAACACATTGACACAGGGAGGGGAACAACACACAGTGGGGCCTGTTGGGGCGTGGGGGGAAAGGGGAGGGAGAGCATCAGGACTGATATCTAATGCATGCAGCTTAAAACCTAGATGATGGTTTGATAGGGGCAGCAAACCACCATGGCACATGTATACCTATGTAACAAACCTGCAAATTCTGCATATGTATCCCAGAAATTAAAGTAAAATAAAATAAAATAATAAAAACAACAACAAAATGTACCTTGAATCTCCAAAATAAGTTAAGACAAATAGTTAAAATTGAGCATGCTTTTATTAGAAGAAGAAAATGTCATTGACAATATAACAGATAATTTATAGATGGGAACATACGTAAAAACGTATAAGTACTTAGATCTGCTAGATAAAGTGAGTCCCAAATGATAAGGTTACAAAAATAATGTTTTTTTGTAGAATATGTGTTTTCAATGAGAAAGTGTTGCAAAAGTCAGTCATACAGATTGGTAACTTTTATGTTTATTTTTCAAAAGCAGCTCAAAATAGTTCTTTAGATTCTGTAACACCACGGTGTCCTAATTTTGCTCCTAAAATTTTGTCACAAAATTTTAAATTCACTTGCAAATTGATCTTCATTTAATCTTCCTCTAGGTGTGTAAGCTAAATCAGAGATCTGCATGAACTGCTTATTACTCTTTCATGCTATACATTCTCCCTAGGTAATTTTGATCACTGCAATCTTTTCCATCATCATTTCTACTTGAAGACTAACTAATATAGGTAGAACAAATTTCAACTTCTAGACCTATATGCTTTCCAGATATCTCAAATAAAAGATAAAATTTGGGGAGATATACCATGTTCATGATTTTGAAATAGTCAAGACTGTGTGATATTGTCCTCAAGAAAGACTAAATAGATCAACAGAACAGAATAGAAAATACAAAAACAGATTTATACATATAGTTAAAATCTTTTTTTTTAAATAGCAAGTCAATTCATCAGGGAAAGTATCAGCTTTGAAGAAATGGAAGAGTTTTCAAAGCAAGAAATGTAAAACAGTTGGGTATTTATAAGCAATAGAAAAACAAATTTGATTCATAGCTTGCAAAATATATAAACATTAATAAAAAGCCAACCTGAATGTATTGAAATCTTAGATATAAACATAAGATAAATCTTTGTGACCTTAGTTGAAACAAATAAGTGCTGTATATGACATTAAACATTTAATATGTAAAATAAAATATTAACTTGAACTTCTTCAAAAGTGAAAATTTTTACTCTTTTTTAAAAATTATTATACTTTAAGTTCAGAATGTGCAGAATGTGTAGGTTTGTTACATAGGTATATACATGCCATGGTGGTTTGCTGCACCCTTCAACCCATCATCTATTTTAGGTATTTCTCCTAATGCTATCCCTCCCCAAGCCCCCCACCCCCTGACAGGCCCCAGTGTGTGATGTTCCCTTCCCTGTGTCCATGTGTTCTAATTTTTCAGCTCCCAATTATGAGTGAGAACATGCGGTGTTTGGTTTTCTGTTCCTGTGTTAGTTTGCTGAGAATGATCGTTTCCAGCTTTATCCATGTCCCTGCAAAGGACATGAACTCATCCTTTTTTATGGCTGCATAGTGTTCCATAGTGTATATGTGCCACATTTGCTTTATCCAGTCTATGATTGATGGGCATTTGTGTTGGTTCCAAGTCTTTGCTATTGTGAACAGTGCTGCAATAAACCTACGTGTGCATGTGTCTTTATACTAGAATGATTCATAATCCTTTTTCTATTTAGTAATGGGATTGCTGGGTCAAACGGTATTTCTAGTTCTAGATCCTTGAAGAATCACCACACTGTCTTCCACAATGGTTGAACTAATTTACACTTTCACCAACAGTGTAAAAGTGTTCCTATTTCTCCACATCCTCTCCAGCATCTGTTGTTTTCTGACTTTTTAATGATCACCATTCTAACCAGAGTGAGATGGTATCTCATTGTGGTTTTGATTTGCATTTCCCCAATGACGAATGATGATGAGCTTTTTTTTCACATGTTTTTTGGCCGCATAAATGTCTTCTTTTGAGAAGTGTCTGTTCATATCCTTTGACCACTTTTCGATGGGGTTGTTTGTATTTTTTCTTGCAAATTTGTTTAAGTTCTTTGTAGATTCTGGATATTAGCCCTTTGTCAGATGGATAGATTGCAAAAATTTTCTCCCATTCTGTAGGTTGCCTGTTCACTCTGATGATAGTTTATTTTGCTGTGCAGAAGCTCTTTAGTTTAATTAGATCCCATTCATCAATTTTGGCTTTTGTTGCCAATGCATTTGATGTTGTAGTCATGAAGTTTTTGTCCATGCCTATGTCCTGAATGGTATTGCCTAGGTGTTCTGCTAAGGTTTTTATAGTTTTAGGTCTTATGTTTAAGGCTTCAATCCATCTTGGGTGAATTTTTGTATAAGATGTAAGGAAGGGATCCAGTTTCAGTTTTCCACTACCCAGTTTTCCCAATACCATTTATTAAATAGGGAATCCTTTCCCCATTGCTTGTTTTTGTCAGGTTTGTCAAAGATCAGATGGCTGTAGATGTGTGGCTTTATTTCTTAGGCCTCTGTTCTGTTCTGTTGGTCTACATAACTGTTTTGGTACCAGTACCATGCTGTTTTGGTTACTGTAGCCTTGCAGTATATTTTAAAGTCAGGTCGCATGATACTTCCAGCTTTGTTCTTTTTGCTTAGGATTGTCTTGGCTATACAACCTCTTTTTTGGTTTTGTATGAAATTTAAAGTAGGTTTTTCTAATTCTGTGAAGAAAGTCAATGGTAGCTTGATGGGGATAGCATTGAATTTATAAATTACTTCAGCAGTATGGACATTTTCATATTGATTCTTCCTATCCATGAGCATGGAATAGTTTGCCATTTGTTTGTGTTCTCTCCTATTTCCTTGAACAGTGGTTTGTAGTTCTCCTTGAGGAGATCCTTCACATCCCTTGTAAGTTGTTTTCCTAGGTATTTTATTCTCTTTGTAGCAATTGTGAATGGGAGTTCACTCATGATTTGGCTCTCTGTTTGTCTGTTGTTGTTGTATAGGAATGCTTGTTATTTTTGCACGTTGATTTTGAATCCTGAGATTTTGCTGAAGTTGCTTATCAGCTTAAGGAGATAAGCTGAGACGATGGGGTTTTCTAAATATACAATCTTGTCATCTGCAAACAGAGACAATTTGACTTCCTCTCTTCCTGTTTGAATACGCTTTATTGCTTTCTCTTGCCTGATTGCCTTGGCTAGAACTTTCAATACTATGCTTAATAGGAATGGAAAAGGGCATTTAAAAATAATTTTTTAAAAACTATGAACTGAGAAAACATTTGAATAGCATATATCTTATTGGCCAAGAAAGGTTTATCTCATCAGGACTAATGTTTGTCTTTAGAACTGGCACTTGGCTGGCTTTTGGAAGATAACCTGTGGGCCCTTAATATATTCTGCCTGTTGACAGTGTTTCTATACATCTTTGGCTTTAGAGTACAGTGCACAAGTGGTTTTCAGCGTCTGAGGCCTTGGACCATGCTGTGCTCATTTGAACAGATAAGCTTATCCTAACAATATAATTTAGAGTCAATGGCTATATTTTCTCTGACAGATGCTGTAGTCTGAGTAGCTGAAATCACTCATATAGGCACCACCTTACATGACTGATGCCCAGTAAAAGCCCTGGAGACCAAAACTTAAATGAGCTTCTCTGATTGACAACACTTCAATATGCTGTCAAATATTGTTGCTGGGAGAATTACGTGTGTTCTTATGGGATTCCACTGGGAGAGGACACCTGAAAGCTTGTACCTGATATCTTCTACATTTCTCCCCATGGGCTTTTTTTCTTTGTTGATTTTAATCTGTATCTTTTCATTGTAGTAAACTGTAACTATGAAGGTAACGTGTTTTCTAAGACCTGTGAATCATTATAGTTAATCTTTGAGCCTAAGGGTGGTCATAAGGAGCCCCAACACACTAATAAATTACTTTCATAAAGAATATATAAAAGCTGTCAAAAATCAAAAATAAAACAAATCACCCAATTTTTTAAAAGGCAAAAGATTGAAAAAGACGTCATGATAGAAGACATGGATGACAAATAAGTATATCAAAAAATTTTAACATCTGTAGTCATTAAAGAATTGAAAACCACAAAGAAATACTACTGATAGTTATTACAATGTCCAAAGTGAAAAAAAATATTGACCCTACCAGGTATATGCAACAAAATGGAGGAACTGAAACGTTAATATACTTTTGATTGACAACCACTTTGTAAAATAGATAGATTGACAGCTTCTTAAAAAAGTAAACCTATGCTTACCACTTAATCTAGTCATTTATCTTCTAGATATTTCCCCCTCGAAAAATGAAAAAGAAATTGTTGTATATAAATATTCATAGGCATTTTCTCTTTAATAGCTAAAATGTGGTCATGACCCACATATTCATTAACAAGTAATTGGTGATATATACGTACAGCAAAATTCTGCTCAGCAATAAAAAGGTTCGACTACTGACACATGCAACAACATGAATGAATTTCAAAAGAATTTTGCTGTAAAGCAAAAATGCCAGCCAAAAAAGAGTGCACCTTATATGATTCCATTTATATAAAACTTCTGGATGCACCAATATACAATATACAGTAATATACAATACTGAAAGATGGTCGGCAGTTGTCTAGCTAAGATGCTTATTAGGAGAGACAATAATTGCAAAAGGGGATTATTAAAAGTAGTCATGAGGAAACATTTTGTGGATTTATATGTTCACTATCTTGACAATAATGATGATCTCACGGATGTATAAATATGTCAGAGCATATCTAATAATTTAATCTTACATATTTTTGGCTTTTAATATGTTAATTATAGCTCAATAAATTTCTTAAAAACTCATTGGACTCTATCTGTAATGTGTGTATGTTTAGTTTTAAGTAGAGTGCAGCTAAATTTTTCTCCACCATTACAATTTTCAAACATACTTTCACTTACAGAATAGCATACTGAAAATTAACACATGCTTTTATAATTATAAATAAAATAGTAATATATCATTTCTGCTGAAATAAATGCAAACCAATTACAAGGAATTTATTAGTTTTTATTTTAGTTACTTCATATATATTAGCATCTAAGCCTCAAAGATTCACTATGTAATTGTGTAAATTAGTAGTAGGGTTACCTGAATCTGGCTTAATAGTGAATTAATCAGTATTTATCTTTAAACATTTTTTCCTTTATGAATTGTGTCACACTTTTAAAGAGCCCTTCCTACATTACAAGCATGTATAAAATATATTCTTATACTATTTTAGAATAATTTCAGAAGTTAGATTGTTTTCTAGATTTAGTGTTTTCATTGATACCAAATTTATTTTTATGTACATAAATGTATGATTTTAAGTTAGATTATTTCAAACTGGTATCCCTGCAATTATCTGAACAAAAATTTTTTTTTTTTTTTTTTTTTTTTTTTTTTTTTGAGACGGAGTCTCGCTCTGTCGCCCAGGCCAGACTGCGGACTGCAGTGGCGCAATCTCGGCTCACTGCAAGCTCCGCTTCCCGGGTTCACGCCATTCTCCTGCCTCAGCCTCCCGAGTAGCTGGGACTACAGGCGCCCGCCACCGCGCCCGGCTAATTTTTTGTATATTTAGTAGAGACGGGGTTTCACCTTGTTAGCCAGGATGGTCTCGATCTCCTGACCTCATGATCCACCCGCCTCGGCCTCCCAAAGTGCTGGGATTACAGGCGTGAGCCACCGCGCCCGGCCCAACAAAATTTTTAAGTAGTCACATTGACTTTTTTTTTCAAAAGTTAGTTTTAAGCTATTTGATAACATATGGATCTACTTCACTAAAGTTGTATTTTTGTGTGTAATTCTTTAATCCATCTGGAGATATTTTGGTTGTTTTTCGATCAGATAGCCAGTTAAGCCAGAAAGAAAAATCTTACCAAAAAGTTTCCACTTAGAAAATTTAATAGCCAAAAAAACTAATATATGCAAGAATGAACAAAAACATATTGATAAAAGTTATACATCATATTTTTATTGAAATATTTCATAATGAAATGTTTCACATGGTTAAAGAACTACAAATTCATCCAGTGTAAATAAAAACTTCATGGGAAATGTATAATATATGAGGGATTATTTGATATCTGAAAAAACTAGATAGAAAATAAATGCTTAAAAACTTCTAGAAGGTAATCCAGTAGAATATTTATCAGCTTAGGCTAACAAATGATATAAACATGATTAAAGAAGAGCTAAACTTGAATAAAAATATTAAGTTGATGACAAGTGTAAAACACCATTCTTCAAAATATGCAATTACAAATAGGAAAGTGCTAATAGGAGAAAAAATAAGATGTTTATAATGCAAAAAGTATTAACATTCAAAACTGTTGATAATATAAAGAAAGATATTATAAGGAAAAGTATTCCAGTATTAGAGTAGCCTAAGTATAAGGCAATTTGAAGAAAGAAAAGAGGAATCATGAATAGGTTTATCAATCCTGATTCCATCTCACCAGTGATTAGACTGGTAAATAAGAAAATGTGTGATAATACCAAGGGTAATAAAGATATATTTCATTTACATTTACAGTGCTGGTAAACATACACTGTACAACCACTTTGGAGAAAACTTGGAAGTACCTAAAATGTGAAAATGCACAGTTGCTCTTGATCCAGCAAGGGTACCTCTGAGTATATATTGTGGAAAAATTCTCACACATGCATACACAGTGAAACATGTAAGAGTGCTTATAGCAGCAGTGTTGGGATTTTCTTTAAACCCTAGATTTGACCTATATATCTATCAGTAGAGAATCAAAATATAATTCAAGCTATTGTTATACAGTGGGATATAGTACATCACTGATAATTAATACAAATTAATATTACGAACCACTCAAGTTTGAATCAAATATTAGGTCATGGTATAATGAAATTATAAAACTATTTAGAGTTAAAAACAGGCAAAAATGTCACATTTATTTTAGAATTCATAATTGAATAGTAGAAGAAAGTAAAAATGCATAGGAATCATCAACATGAAACACAGGAAAAATAAATGAAACATAGGCAGGTGATTATCTGCAGAGCAAGAAAGTAGAGTTTATTAAGGAGGGCAGTATGAGAACTATCTAAGATATTTTAGGATAAGAAGCGGTTTTGTGAATTTGAATTCATTAAATAACGCTTTCTATTTTGTTTTGTTATTCATCATTTAACATTTTTTAAAAAAATATAAAGAATTCTCATAAGTATTTTTAAACTAGAAGACAAATAAGTGGAATGAAACATCTAAATGTCAAATTTTGGTGTGTACTTCCTATTAATTTCTAAGCAGGGACTCCTGGCAAGCAGAAATAACTCTGAGGACATGTGGGATTTTGAATTTTTGGACACCTCTGTAAAGTTATTTGGCAAGCAATAATAATAGCTACCACTTATTTATCAAGTGTTTACTAATGTACTAAGCATTGCCATATATGGTTTATTACTTCTATCCTATTTAGTATTCAAATCAATATGATGTCTATTTTTGTTCTGTTTTAAAAATAAAGAAGCTAACATGTCCAAGCCACATATTTAGTAAGTATTGGAACTACATCAAAACAAGAAAGAAACATTTCAATGGTTTATCCTACTGTCTACTTCCTAAAGGAAAATTATAAATTTACAGTAACTGATCCAAATACGTTTCCAGAGTTACTTTAGCTTTCACAGTGTTGGCCAGCACAATGTGTTTTTTGTTTGTTTGTTTGCTTGCTTCCTTGTTTTTTAATTGAGAACATTCCCATAGTTGACTATTTCAATATTTAATTCTCCAATCTTGTATTTTTGGTTTATCTTGATAAACATCAAATAAGGTGGAGGCAGTTTACACTGAATAGACTTAAGAAGCTGATCTTCACAAGAAAGTTCAGATGCTTCATTTTACCACAATTTCTCCACTGCTTAGTTTTATTACACCTAGTCCATATCATGCATTTGGGTTACTTGCCTGGCTCATCTATGACAGAAAAGAAGGAAAGGAGAAAGGAAGCAAAAGAGAATAAAGAACCTAAATAAATGCTATTCATCTATTCAGAGCTGTTTCAAAAAATTAAGTGAATGTTTTCTTCAGTATTCTCAGTCAAATCTTGCTTCATACTTATTATAAATACCCTGAAGGAGTCATACCAATGTGTTCTCTGTAAATGCCATGAACAACACTTTGTTTTTGTATAACGGTTTTCATGACTATTGTATTAATAGCACATTCAATAATATTTCAATAGGTCAAAATTATGTCATATGTTTTCTTACAAATTTTTGTCATTTTTTAGAATTAATGCTACAGCCCAGAAAATAAATATTATTATGAAAGCTTGTTTGTAAAAAATTTCAGTAATTTTATATCTTTTTGGTAAGATTAGTGGCTTCTATTGTATATATTTACAATGGATATCAATGTTGATATTGAGTTATCCAATCTAATATTCTTAATAGCTCCAGCTTGAACTATGAATGGTAGATGACTATGTTCTGTACGTATACCAATATGAGTATTTTTCTATGTTAAAGATTTTACTAGAATCCTTAAATAAACCATAATCATCTAATATGATTTTCTGCTGGAATTTATATAATTTATTATCATAAAAATATATTGAATTGCTCAGATAAAAATTTTAACTTCTATAAATCTTAATATATAAAAATATGGTCTTCTTCAACAAATTGACATTGCAAATTGGTTTAGCATATCCTTAAATAATTATAGTTTTATTTTCAAATAAGCTACTTTTGCAAATTGTTATCATTTTTAACTTAACTTTTGTGTTTTGTTTTTTGTTTGTATTTATGTCTTCCCCAAATGTCCTCTTTTTTTATGCAAATGTAGAGAAGGCAGACACCTAGAATTCCATCCTAGAATTAAGACGTGACAATAAACTTTTATTTTGTGAGTGCATTGTACGCTGACCTAATAGAAGATGAAAAGTGGAAAAATTTGCACAATGAGTTCAAGAACTCTGAGGAAAAGTATTCAAACAGTCTAGTTAAGAAAACCTTATTAAGTGGAAATTTCATACCAAACAAGGCTGCACAGCTTGGAAAAGCCCTGCACTTAAAATTAACTTCAGCCGGTGATGTGCTGAGGCTCTTGACTCAAGTACAGGCACACGGGCTGGCTATGATTTGGAGAAACATGGTAAGTCATATGAATGTTAGTTGATAACTAATTTTATTGTTCATGTGCGGAGGACATAGGGTCAAATGTGCCCCAAGAAGACCTCGAGAAAATATATGTGGCTCTGGATACAGACCTCATGTGACAAAAGGAAGCAATAACCAGGAAAGACTGATTCTCTCTGCTTATCATTTAGAACAATCAAAATAAGTTTGAAATGAAAAAAACTCCAGGGGTTTTGAAATTATTAAACTGGCATGTACATACTAAAAGGGAGCCAATAAGGAATTTACTACTAATAGGGCATGGGGGAAAGCAGATCCAAAGTTCTAATTAATGTTTTAAAATGATGGTATCCATTTGCCAGTTTTAAGATAAGTCCATACTGCTGAAAATTGCTCTATGTTTCTTACCACATTTATCTATGTCAGCATTTATTTTACTTCTAAATTTAATTACAATTTTTAAATTCCATTATACAAGTTATCTCACATTTAACTATTTGTTACCTTTCCTTCTCATCTTACAATATTACTTCTCTACCTGTCAAACTATATACAGTCCAGTTCCTATTCCAATTATGGCTATAATTGCAGTACAATTAATCAATTAATTAACAAAGCATAGCAAAAAATCAAAAGAACTTTAAAAAATTATGTATAATTGTGATCAATATGGATGTTTTTAAATATGTTCAACTATTTATACTATTTTCCTTCTCAAAGAATCATCAGAATGCTGAACACATAAAATAAACATTGGATAAATTAAAAATAATTTTTCATTCTAAACAATCTAAAGTAATTTAAGTATAGTTCCTATTTAGACTTAACCATAACACTTTGAAAAACTTGAAAGAATTCACTGATTTTTTATAAAATTTAAAATTAATACATATTACACAATTTGTAATATAGATTTTTACTTTGAACATGAGGGCATTTTAAATGGAGCTTCTTTGAAATATAATTCACATATAAAAATTTCAGAAAATTTTAAGGACCTTTTTCTTTTTACTAATGCTTTGATTAGGATTTCAGTCTGCATACAAATTTGTCAAGATTTTAGCTGATACTCTTTCAGGAAACTATTTTAATAGATCATTACCTTTCCTTATCTCTCAATGTCATTAGATATGTACATTTTAATCTTAATTTCTAGGACAAATATACATATCTTTTTCTGATTATGTGCCTCTAAGTTTGATAAAAAGTTCTTGATGCAACCAGTGGACTCAACACTTCTCCTTACTTTGCATTTATAATAATAGGCTTATAGCAGTTTTTTTCTCCAAATTAAAGTATAAATATTTAATTTTTACTTTTAATTTTTAAACGTTACTCAATAGTATGTTTATAAAATGACTTCTGGAAAAACATGTCTATTTTCTATCATTTATTATGTCATAATTGAGAGAAGCAAGGACCCAAATTCATTTAATTATAACACATAAAACTGAATAAATATAGATGACAGATATGTGTTCTTTGTTTTTACATATCTGTTGTAAACCATATTACTCAGATTATCTCACTTCTTTCAACTTTTCTAATAAAAGCAATTACCATACCTATGTGGAATGTATTTTAATAGTAATTCGTTTTAATAAAAGTTATATATTTTTAGGAGGTCAAAATAGCAATTTCAATTTATGAAATGTTGACTTTTTAATCTTATTGACATATTTTCTGGAGGCAAATTGTAGAACTATTTGAATAGCAACAGAAATTTCCAGTGGAGAGACAGTCAGATACGAAACTTCCGTGAGAAAACTGTATTTATCAGTGACTGAAAATCCTTGGATTAGGACCTAACTCCCACCTACTTGTTCTTGTAGATACTCTGTCTAAATACAGATATAGATAGATACAGATACAGATACAGATACAGATATAGACATAGATACAAGTGCAGTTACATAGAAAAATAATATTATAAGATATCCTGAAATATATATAATATGTTAGTTTCTAACATTGTTTTAAAAGTTAGTTGTTTAACCAATCAAAGCAGAAACAACTTAAACAGACTTTACAAAAATTCATCAGATTTAATAAAGTTGTCTATTCGAAGATAGGGACTTCTTTCTTTTTTAAAAATTAAATGAGAAAGCAACTATTGGCAAATTCAAATTCCTTTCTTATCAAAACACGTATTTTGAATTTTTATTGTTTAAAACAATATAGAATTTGAATTAATAGCTATCTTAGTAAGGAAATATCTTTCCTCAAGACTGCAATGTGCTATCTTGCATACAAAATTACCAAATAAACACAGTGACTGCTGATAAATTTTTACCTAATTATTTAATATGGTTCCCTTGAAAAATGAATGATTAAATGAATTAAACAACAGTTAAACAATTAGATTCAGTATGAATATTATGTGCATACTGTACATACTTTTGTATTTTCAAGGTCAATCATTGCATAGAAAGAAATTAATTTTTTTAAGAGGTTAAAAATATAGTACTTAATCTAGAATAAATTTGTTAATAACTAGGGCACATTAAAATATGCCTCAAACGTAGTAAAATTACATTTTAACATTTATACAAGAGGTTGTCTAGAATATCACAAAAGAAAAATAACCTAAAAATAAAAACTTTCCCAAAACAAAGACTCAAAAGCAGCCCAAAACTGTTACAACAATAAAAATAATGCCACAATATTTGTTTCTATTTTAATTGAAAAAAGGAAAAGCAGATTTAGTTATTACTCTAAATAGATACTTTATTGTTGATTTTTCTAGATTTAATAGATTCAATAGTTTGAACTTAAAACCGTATTTCTCAATTTTACTCTAATTTTCTAACCTCAAACTTAAAACACATCATTTCCCTCTTTATTTTCCCACCAACCACACACACTAGCCATGTCATTCTATTTGTATTTACCTCATTCTTTTTCACATACTCTTTGTGTGTGATTCTGCTTTACCATCTTTTAGAATATCTTTTCTCAATTTTTCACCTATATCAAATATTGTTTTAATATATAGCATATTAATAGAAAAGCTAAGGTATAGTAAGGCAAACAGATCGGAAGACAATTGCCATTGAAAAGATACTCACAATTTCCAACAGAAGGGAGCATGTCACGCCAGGGGAGACTACAGGGAAGAACTCAGGTCCATCAGGAAACAGAGAGAGGGAGGAATTCACGAGCAAGACCCTAGACTGTGGTGTTTGCAGGAAGAAACCAAGCAGGGTAAACAAGCTTAGGACTGGCTCGTTTGAATAATTTCAGTGGGCTCTGGGGCATAAGAGCTGTCCCTGGTTCTCTGGTTTTTGGCCCTAGCGTGATTAGGACAGAAGCACAGTGGCCTGGAGTGTGACAGCCCTATAGAGTATTTGTTTGGGAATTGGTTAGTTTGTATTTGTAAAGCCCATCTTCATGAGGAGTTCAGGGGAGACTTCGTAGCCAGAAGCTGAGGCAAGGTGACTCCAGCATACTATCCATCTTCAAGAACAAGATGTGTCTGAATTGCTGTATGTTATAAAGTTTCGATGTCTAATAGAGCAAATCTTTCATCCTGTTGGTTCTCTTTGATTTAATTTGCTTTTTTTTCTCTCTAAGTACTGTTCTCGGAATAAGCCAATCTGATATGTGTGTCACTATTCCAATGAATGAGTAGATCACACTTTATTTTTCTGCTTCTTGTGAACATTAATTAGTTCAGTTTTCTGAAATTTTCAATGCTATTGTGATTTTTTAAAATTAACAATGCTACTTTGCTTATTGTGTACTTGTCACCAGAAATGCAAGAGCTAAGATGTCTCTGGAAATGGAATTCCTGGGTCACAGGGTTGGCACATGATCAACATTATTAGATAATGTTAAATTGTTGTACAATGTAATCACATTAATTTGTATGCCAATAGTAGTATATAAAAGTTTGAATTGCCCTACATCCAAACTCACACAAAAATAAATGCAGTCTAAAAAAAAAATTTATAATGTGATGTATATGCAATTATATTTTGGGCTGGGCGCAGTGGTTCGTGCCTGTAATCCCAACACTTTGGGAGGCCAAGGTGGGCGGATCAACAGAGGTGAGGAGTTCAAGACCAGCCTGGCCAACATGGGGAAACCCCGTCTCTACTAAAAATACAAAAATTAGCTGGGCGTGGTGGTGCGTGCCTGTAATCCCAGCTACTTGAGAGGCTGAGGCAGGAGAATAGCTTGAATCCAGGAGGTGGATGTTGCAATGAGCTGAGATCATGCCACTGCACTCCAGCCTGAGTGACAGAGTGAGACTCCCTCTCAAAAAAAAAAAAAAAAAAAGAAATTGTATTTTGTTGTTTTATAGTTTTAATTTGAATTAATAATAAGCTTTGGTACCATTTCATATATTTTAACTTTTTTATTATTTAAAAAGTCTGCTTAGGTATTTTCCTATTTTAATTTTTATGTCTTTTTCTAAATCCTTAACATAAATTAATTGTATCATGAATTTTAATAGATTGTTATGTACTTGCAAATGTTGCCATGCTGTTTATGATGATTTTTCATTTTACCAATGGTGATTTAGAAGGAACAGATACTCTTGATATGAGTGGGACCAAACTTACAAATCATCTTGCTCCAGTCAGTTTTTGTGCTGGTTTGAAAATTTTTTTCATACTCTGAGATTCAGGCTAAATTGCTTTTAAAATTTTAAAGCTTTGTGTTTCAAATTTATATTCTTGATGAGATGTATAGAGTGAGAATGAGATACATTGTCTTTTTATTATAAACAATCTTGCTTTAGTAGCTACTGAAGTTTACTTTTGAAATTGTATTTCTTAAATATTTCCGTTAATTATAGAAAATTGATTTTGTATTCTATTTTATATCCATTAACTTTGCTCATTTAGTAATTCTAATAATCCTAGGCATTCTTCACAATGCATTGTAAGATAATGTATACATTTCATAGGATGACAATTTTTAGATACACTTAATGGTATGGGACTATAGATTATTGGGATTTTCTTTGGTTTAAAATTGGCAAACTATTTTTAAGGGGAAGTTGTTAACAATCACTTTCTACAATATGTGACTCTCTCTTCAAAGAGTAAATCAGAGACAAATCTTTTTTTTCAAATTTCTTTTTTTGAAAATCAATAATAATGACCCTATTTTTTAGTTTGAATGGATTCTCATTAATTTAAAATGCAAATATTTTGGACTAAATGTTTGTGTCCCTCCCACCCCAAATTTAAATTTTGAAGCCCTAATCCCCAGTATTATGGTTTTGGAGATGTGGGCCTTTGGAGGTCAAAAGGTTGAGATGAAACCATGAGGATGGAGTCCTCATGATGGAATTAGTGAATTTATTATAAAAGACACAGAAGAGCACTTTCTTGTACACTTCCTTTGTCTCTGTCTCTCTGTGTGTTTCTCTATCTCTCTTCCCTTTGGGAACACAACAAAAGGTATCTGTGTGACAAGCATGAAGAATACCCTCAGCAGAAACTGACTATGTGTATGCTGATCGTGTACTTCTTAGCCTCCAAACTATGCGGAAAACATTTTGTTGTATAAGACACCAAGTTTATTGCATTTTGTTACGGCAGCCTGAGCAGTCTAACAAGAAAGCAATAAAAAGTATAAGTAATTAAGATGAAACTAAATTTATCATCCAAATTCTCACCATAAAGAAATAACCATTTTCAAAATATGTAGAACAAGATTTTACATATTTTCCTAAAGTTTATAGACAGAGATAATTGATAAAGATTTTATACAAACTGACTATTAAGAAATGATTGTATTTAATTATAACAGAAGATAAAAATAATTTTGTATAGAGAAACTGATTAACGTTTATGCATATTTGTTCCTAAAGTACATTCAAAGTTAAGAGAACAGATTATAAAATCATAAGTTAGAGTTCTTATAGTATAGGTTTCTTACAAGAAGGGAAGAAAGCAAAATAAATTTAACACAACTAAAGCAGATCTTGCAGAATGTGATTCATATATGGACATGAGTCAGCTTCCTAAACTTGAATCTCAGTGTTATATAGATGAACCCACTCAGACAGAAACAACATTGAACTAGAACAGAACTCCTTTGACAGGCAATGCACATGTTTTTAGGAGAGCAGACTGTAAGCTTTCTCTGAGCCTCAGAGAGGCAGAAGGTAAGAATGATTCTGGGTTATGCATCCTCAAGTTTTTGTTTAAACTCTCTGAATAAGTACCTCATACCATTTTGCCGGGGCAAAGTGAGTGGATGGGGAAAGCAGGCCAAGGGCATTATGTGAATGGGTCACTTCAAAGGGAAAAACATATCTGAAACATGGTAGAAGCACCCCATAACTAACTACTTTTTCATGCCTTTGGCCTATTGGACTTAACCATTATAGCAATGATGACTCAAAAACTACATTAAAGCAGTGTTAAGAGGAACATTGACGGTGCTAAATGCATTCATCAGGGGGACAAAAAGGTCTCAAGTTAATGACCTAACATAGCAACTAGGGGAATTAGAAAAAAAGCAACAGAAAAGACCCAACCCCAAAGCTAGTAGAAGAAAAAAAATAACTGAAGTCAGAGAACTGAAAAAAAATTGTTATCTAAAAGTCCACACAAAAGATGAAGCCAAGAGTTTTTTTTAATAAACAATACTGATAGATCATTAGCTAGATTAGCAAAGAAAAAGAGAAGATCCAAATAAGTATAATCAGAAATTATAAAGATTATATCAAAATTGATCCCATGAAAATACAAAAGATATGCAGAGACTATTATGAGCACCTCTCTGCACACAAATCTAGAGGAAATGAATAAATTCCTGGAAACACACAATCTCCCAAGATTGAATCAGGAAGAAAGTGAAAACCTGAACGGACCAATAGGAAGTTTGGAAATGGAATTAGTAATAAAAACCTACGAAAAAAAATAAAATAAAAGCCCCGTAACAGATGGATTCACAGCTGAGTTCTATCAGAGGGGCAAGGGAGAAATGATACCAATCCTACTGAAATGTCTCCAAAAAATCAAGGAGGAGGGGCTTCTATCTAACTCATACTACAAAGCCAGCATTACCCTGTTACCAAATCTGGCATAGACCACGGAAAAAGAAAAGAGAAAACTACAGATCAATATCTCTGATGAAAATACAAGCAAAAATTGTCAAACCAAATCCAGCAGCACATCAAAAAGTTCATTCACTATGACCAAGTAGGGTTTATTCCTGGGATATAAAGTTGATTCAACATATGCAAATTGATAAATGTGATTCACCACATAAACAGAATCAAAAACAAAAAACATAGGATCATCTCAATAGATACAGAACAAGCCATCAATAAAATTCAACATTCCAGCCAGGCGCGGGGGCTCACGCCTGTAATCCCAGCACTTCGGGAGGCCGAGACGGGCGGATCATGAGGTCAGGAGATCGAGACCACGGTGAAACCCCGTCTCTACTAAAAATACAAAAAATTAGCCGGGCATGGTGGCGGGCGCCTGTAGTCCCAGCTACTCGGGAGGCTGAGGCAGGAGAATGGCGTGAACCCGGGAGGTGGAGCTTGCAGTGAGCTGAGATCTCGCCACTGCGCTCCAGCCTGGGCAACAGAGTGAGACTCCATCTCAAAAATAAATAAATAAATAAATAAATGAAATTCAACGTTCCTTTTCTGATAAAAACCCTCAACAGATTAGGCATTGAAGGAACATACCTCAAAATAATAAAACTATCTATGACAAACCCACAGTCGCCATCAAACTGAACAGCAAAAGCTGGAACCACACCCCTGGAGAACTGAGACACGACACGGATGCCCACTTTTACCACTTCTATTCAGCATAGCACTGAAAGTCCTAGTGAGAGCAAACAGGCAAGAGAAAGAAACAAAAGCCATCCAAATGGGAAAAGAAATTAAACAATCTCTCTTTGCCAATGCTGTGATTCTACACATAGAAAACCCTAAAGTTTCCATCAGAAGGCTCTTTGAACTGACAAGTGAATTCAGTAAAGTTTCAAGAAATAAAAACATTGTAGGAAAATAAGTAGCATTTTTATGAACCAAAATCATTGCAGCTAATAACCAAATCAAGAACACAATCCAATTTACAATAGCCACAAAGAAAATGAAATACCTAGGAATTCATCCAACCAAGGGGGTCAAAGACCACTACAAGGAGAAGTACAAGACACTGTTGAAAGAAATCAGAGATGACACATAAATGGAAAAATATCCATGCTCATGGATTGGAAGAATCAATATTGTTAAAATGGATATACTGCCTAAAGCAATTTACAGATTCAATGCTATTCCTATCAAAATACCAATGTCATTTTTTAAGTAATTAGAATGAAACCTATTATAAAATTCATCTGGAACCACAAAAGAGCTTGAATAGCCAAAGCAATCCTAAGCAAAAAGAAAAGCCAGAGGTATCACATTGCCAGACTTCAAACTGTACTATAAGGCTACAGTGATCAAAACAGCGTGGTACTGATACAAAAACAGACACACAGACCAGTGGAAGAGAATACAGCACCCAGAACTAAATTTGCCCACTTACAACTATGTGACCTTTGAAGAAGCTGACAAAAACAAGCAATGGAAAAAAAATCCCTATTCAATAAATTGTGCTGTGGTAACTGGCTAGCCATATACAGAAGATTGAAATTGGACCCCTGCCTCTCAACATAGATGAAAATTAACTCAAGATAGATTAAAGATTTACGAGTAAGACCTAAAACTATAATAATACTAGAAGAAAATCTAAGAAGTACCCTTTTTGATATAGGCTTTGGCAAATGGATGACTGAGTTCCCAAAAGCACTTGCAACAAAAACAAAAATTGACAGGTGGGATCTAATTAAACTAAAGAGCTTCTGCCTACCAAAGGAAACTATCAACAGAGTAAACAGACAACTTAAAGAATGGGAGAAAATATTTGCAAAGTATGCTTCTCATTAAGGTCTAATATCCAGCATCTGTAAGGAATTTAAACAAATCTACAAGCAAAAAATCCAAAAAATCCACCTAAAAAATGGGCAAAGGACATGAACAGACATTTCTCAAAAGGTGTCGTAACAAGCAGACAAGAAACATTAAAAATTGCTAAACTTCACTAATCATCACATAAATTCAAATGCAAAAACCACAATGAAATACCGTCTCACACCAGTCAGAATGGCAATTATTAAAACTTACAAAAAACAACAGATGTTGAGAAGTCTGTGGAGAAATGGGAACGCTTATACATTGTAGGTGGGAATGCAAACTAGTTCAGCCACTGTGGAGAGAAGTTTTGAGATTCTTCAAACAACTTAAAATAGAACTACCATTTGACCCAGCAATCCCACTATTGAGTATATATACCCAAGGGAAAATAATTTATTTTATCTAAGAGACACATGCACCCGTATGTTCATTGCAGCACTATTCACAATACCAAAGCAATAGAATTAACCTAGGTGTCCATCAATAGAGAATTGGGTAAAGAAAATATGGTATGTATACATCACAAAAAACAATGCAGCCATAAAAATGAACAAAGTCATGTTCTTTGTGGCAACATGAATGGAGCTGGAGACCATTATCCTAAGTGACCTAATAGAAGAACAGAAAGCCACATACCACATCTTCTCACTTATAGATGGTAGCTAAACATTGAATACACGTGTTAAGATGGGAACAATAGACATTGGGGACCACTAGATTGGGGAGGAAAGGTAGGGGTTGTGGGCTGAAGAACTACCTGTTGGGTACTGTGTTACTGCCTGGGTGGTAGGATCACTGGGACTCCAAGCCTCAGCATCACACAATTACTCATGTAACAGTCTTTCATTAACCTATAATAAAAGTTGAAATTAATTAAAAAAACAAAACAACTACACTGTTTCATTGCTCTAGATTTCTTTTTGTCTCCATTTAATTATGGAGAGACTTGCAGAGACAGAAATGACTGTCACGTGTTCTTATACACATAAAGCCCTAGAAACAGGAGCCACAGCACATCATGCACTGGGGCCATATGGGGAAGTACCGGAGTCAGTGAAGGCAAAAGGAGCAAGACTAAAGCATGAGCCAGAGCCTTTAATATGGTTTTCCTTGGAAGGAATGAGTGAGACAGTGTAAGCAGCTGAGCAGGTTTAAGACTGGGTAGTGTGAGTACTTTTTGTGTAATTTAGTCCCTAGTGTTCCAGCACCTGATTCTGGGGTGACGAAAGCAGAGGGATAATGTCCCAGACCACAGGAGCCATATAATAAGAGTCAAGTGAGGGTGTGGATTCTGGATTGGTTGGTTTGCATATAAATAACATGATCATAGGCAAGTTGTTTAGTATTTCTAGAAATTAGCTAACCCTAGGAGGAGCACTCTGTCTTGAAACCCATATGGTCTCAAGATGTCAAAGCAAAACAAAAACAATAACCATGATTAATACAGCAAGATGGAATAAGCTATATATTGCCTTAAGGAAGAAGTTACTTGGCTCTCTATGGCTGATCGTCATAACCTGAAAGATTTGTTCTCTTGACTCGAGCTGGACAGCTGGGGTTTTATTTCTGAAGCATTTTATAGGAACTACTCATTGTTCTTGTTTTTGTCATAGTAGTCATGATGCTGGCCAATTGCATTCAACTCAGTCTTAACTTCCTTTTTATAGCAGCCCTCTCACCAGAAGATCGCCCTTACTACAAAACTGCAAAAAGTTCAAGAACATCTCATAATATGGTTGACAATAGAGACAACTAAACAGTCTCTAAGTCGTGAAGATTTGAATCTCTAAACTTCCCTGAATTGGCTTGGTCAATGCCTCACAAGCTAGTTAATGACAAAATGGGAGGAGGGGTAGCCAGACCATATATAAGAATAGAGTTCTGACCCACATCTTTGTAGCAACCAGCCTGGGAAGCCAAACCACAGCCTCTGCATCAACCAGCCCCAAATGAATAGGATTTAGTTAATGATTGCCAGGTTCCCTATTTTTGCCCCCGCTGCCAACTCAGGACCCATCAGAGAAAGTCAAGTATGCTTTCTGACTGATCACATAAGATGCTCCATTTCCCCTTATTTATTTAGTCCATCTTCAGCTTCCCCATACAACCTTAAGGCAGAGCATATCCAAAAGCTTTCCTTTTCCAGGTACAAAACTTTCCTATTCCTCAGCCTTTCTTTGAGTCTCTGCAAAACATATATGATGACAGCTGACTTTCTTGTTATAAAAAGTCTGAATAAATATAGATTCTCTCTGTTATTATTAGGTGTTATTTATTTCCACAATCTACAAAAAATCTTCAGGCAG
Source organism: Homo sapiens (assembly GCF_000001405.40). Lineage (NCBI taxonomy): Eukaryota > Metazoa > Chordata > Mammalia > Primates > Hominidae > Homo > Homo sapiens. The sequence continues at coordinate 66,364,775 of NC_000009.12, read as the reverse complement.
GGTACTATTTAAAGGTGCAATATTGAAAAATTCCACATAAAATCAGGAAAAAAGAAATAATGTTCATCTCACTACTGTTCTTCTACACATTACTGTAAGCACTAACCATTATAAAAAGAAGAAAAATAAAGGGCATAATGATCGAATAGGAAAAACAAAATTGTCTTTACTTGAAAATGAGATGATTATGGAAAAAAACCTAAGGAATACATTTCAAAAGCTACTAGAACTAAATAATATATATATATATATATATATATATATGAAATTTATAGCAAACAAGGTTAATATATGAAAGTGCATGTTGAGTGTTCCTTATCCAGATATCTGAAATCTGAAATGCTCTAAAAGCTGAAACTTTTTGAGAGCTGACGTGATGCTCAAGGAAATGTTCACTTAAGAATTACAGATTTTGGATTTCTGGATTAGCACTACTGAATTTGTAAGTATAATGTAAATATTCTGAAATCTGAAAATAATTTGAAATCTGAAATACCTCTGGTCCCAAGCATTTTTTAACTCACTATATGTGCTCATTTTTTTTTAACAAATACCTATTAAGCAGACACTATGAACAAAAACTGTGCAAACATTGGAAATACATAAGTAAGCAAGGCAGAAGGGCCTCTTGTATTAAAAATAAACGAAGGAGGACACTAGTTAAAGTGGTAAGGACAGATTTTAATCAGTAATAATGATTGCAACAGGGAAAAGAGTGCAGCATGAGTTGAATTCAACTTCAATTTGTATATTGGCAACTGATTGTTTTATTTTATTTTAGATTCTAGGGGTACATCTGAACGTTTGTCACATGGGTATACTGTGTGATGCTGAATATTGGACTTCTAATGATCTCATCACCTATGTAGTGAACATAAGACCCAATAGATAGTTTTTCAACAGTTGGCCAGCTCCCTCTCTCTTCCCTTTTGGAATGTCCAGTGTTTATGGTTCCCATCTTTGTGTTTTTGGGTACCAAATGTTTACCTCCTACTTATAAGTGAAAACGTGGTATTTAGTTTGCTGTTTTTGCATTAATTCGACAAGCATTTTGGATAAGCAGTTCTTAACCGGTAAAATGTGTTGTTGCATACTAATAATGAATCATTAAAACATAATAATAAATTCTATTCACAATAGAATAATCACAAGCATATAATTCTTAGGAATAAAGGCAACAAAATATGCATAGGTCTTTTATCTAGAAGCTAAAAAATATTATTGAGAAATTTTAAGAAAAAATAGAAAACGTAGATCTATACATGTTCTTATTGATATGTTATTTATATTAAGATATCCATCCACCTTATATTGATCTACAAATGTATTTCAACTCTGATGAAAATCACATCAGATTTTACTGCAAAATAAAAATAAACAATGTGATGTCAAGATGTATATAAATATGCAGAAATACAAAGGAACATAGGTAACTTAACCAATCTTGGAAAAGAATATAATCAAAGAAGTAACATTAAATTATTTTAAGATTTTTAAAGCTGCATGTTAAAAAATGGAGCATCCATAAATATGTTTATGTTTAACATAGATGATGAACTGATTTTCTATGAAGACAAAGGACAATAGAAAACACATATTTTTACAACATATCTGAAACAACTAGATAAATTTATGAAAATCAAATTAATTTTTTTATTTCTAACTTTTTCTGTTGCCCAGGCTGGAGTGGTGCAATCATAGCTCACTGCAGCCTCGAACTCCTGGGCTCAAGAAATCCTCCTTCTTCAGTCTCCTAATGCACTGGGGTTACAAATGTGAGTCATCATGCTTAGCCTAACGTCAATGTTTATCCCATATCATTTACAAATTTGCGATGAATCCAATTTGAGATGCTCATAAACATAAATATGAAACATAAATATAAAAACTAATACTATGAAGCATATAAGAGAACAATCTTGCATCTTAGGGGGCAAAATATTACATCTTTAGGGAGGCAAAAATATTTCAGACAAAACAAACAGAAAATGTAGCCATAAAGGAAAAAATTATATAAATAGGGCTTCCTCAAAATAAGATTTTCTACTCATCAAGAGAAAGCATTGAAAAAAATTAAAAGGCAGGACACAGAATCAGAGGAATTATTTTTAATACATACAAATGACTTAGAAGATCTTAATAAGTAGTACTATTCAGTAATAAAATGTCTAACAGCCTCTCCCCAAATAGGCATGGGTCTTGAATATCTTACAAAGGAAGATATGCAATGTCACATGAACAGGCACTGGACATCATTATTCATTAGGAATATGCAAATATACATGACAATGACAGCCATTGCACATTCACTAGAAATTATTTAAAGAAATTTTAAAATACTGACAATACCAAAAATTATAGATATGTAGCAACTGGAAGTCTTTTTGTTTCTTAAGAGTGTAAAATGGGGCAAACACTCCAGAGAACAGTTAATTATTTTCTTATAAAGTTTAAAATATATTTTTCTTTGACCCAGTAAGTTTTTTCTCTGTTACGTATACAAAAGAAATAATAACTGATGCCACGATAAAGATTTATTCAAAACTTATTAGAACAGTTTTATTCTTAAAACTAAACCTTGAAACAACCCAAACAACCTTCAATAAAGGAATGGATACACGAATTGTATATATTCATACAGTGGACACTACAGTACTCAGAATTAACAACAACAACAACAAATCAGATATTGACGTGTAACAAAATGTCTGGGCCTCTATAAAATATTATATTGAATGAAATAAAAAAAGTTGAATATCTATTCTTACTATGTTGAACAAATTAAAAAAAATTACATGGCATAAAGTTCCATTTATATGACATTCCAGAAGAGGCAAAACTAATCCATGGTTATGAAAATAAGAATGGATTAAAGATTTGATGTGTGAGTGAGATTTAAGTGGAAAGGCATGAAGGAATTTTTGAGGTGAGGAAAATGCCTGTAGCTTGAATCGGTATTGATTATATGGGTCTTTGTATTTGTCCAAAGTTATTGAATTGTAAACTTTAGATCTGTGCATTTCACAGTTTAAAAAAATTTACCTCACCAGTGAAACTCTGTCTACCTAAAGTCTGCAGAAAGCATAACTCAAGAATTTAACATAAGGTCCCCTAATCACATGAAGGTAAGAAACAGCCATCTTTTAAACATTTAAAAAGTCAGGGGAATAAAAAATCCAGGAGTTTTTTTTTTTTTGAATAACTATTAAACTTATGCCAGTGAAAGAAAATAAAATTAATTTTCACAAAAGTTGACACACATGACTGAGGATTAAATCTATATTGATATTGTTGAGATTAAAATACAACGCAATTTTAATAAACATTTAAAACACGGACATGGTGTCCCTAACAATTTGTTGATAGGGGAGAGGATAATATAAAAATTAATTTTATGAATCCCACATAAGTACTTGTTAAAAACATATGTCTCTGTTCTTTTTATTTAGGAATCACTCACAGAAAGCACACATTCTTTGCTTCTGCACTAACTCTGGAATTCAATATTAGAAGGCTCAACTGCCATGAATATAAATCAAATTCATCTGCATCCCCTATATCAGACTAAATGTGTTTGTTTCTCAGTATTCTGCTATATTCCTTGTATTAATTTTAATAGAATCAAAACTGAGATATGGAAGAGGATGTTATATATTGAACACCTTTTCTTCCATCTAGCATACCCAATATTTGCTGCATGGGCCAGAAATATGAGAATTAGAAATGCGTCTTTATTTGGGGTCCTTACTTCATTCACAATTCTAGATAGTCTTCTAGTTATGACAAAGTCTAAGAATTTTATTTTTAAATAAATTATTATCATATTTTTCTGTTACCATTTTTTGGTTGGTTTTCCATGCAGTTTGTGCCTACTTCCAGGAGGAAGACACCTACACACATTTACTCTTCTCTGCTTTCTTTACAAATTTGAATATGAAAAAGAGAGCCAGGAACTGCCAAAAGCTGGTTACTCCAAGACCCTAGGCATTCTGTCAAAATCTAACTTGGATGATCATGTAAAATACTTATCATTTTATTAATATCAGTATGTTCATTCAAATGGTAACAAGATTTTCACTTGATTTCTAAATCACTGATCTTAAGTGAAAAATATCAAAATAGAGGACTTCACAAATATTATCATTTAGAACATCCTCACTTTAAACAACCTAAAGTTATTTTTAATGTTGAATCAATCATACTCTGACCTTCTCCATAGGAAAGGAAAATGTAAATATCCCAGAGAGCAGAGAGCAAACTGTCATAAAAATAAAACTGTACTTTCAAATAGCTGTAGTCCACAGCACAGCTCTAACCCAAATTGTCATTTCAACTGCTTCACATTATTAGAAAATACTTACCTTCTAGCTTTGAACATGAAAGAAAAGTACTCTTAGTCTATCAGTTTCCCTAACTAGGAGATTCATGTATTTGTTGGGGTCATATAAAGAAACTGATAGTGCAATTTAATAAGCATAATGCAGAGAGGATTTGGAGACTCTTTGCAAAGCTGTTGAAGGGATGAGAAAGAACACAAGAGACTGCAGTAACCTTTGGTTAGAGTGATTTTTATCACCCCTAGTTTGAAAGGGCCAGTGGCAAAGCAAGTTTACTAACTTTAGGATAAAGTAGACTCATCAGGAAAAGAGCAACCACCTAAGCTTAAGGGACAAAGCCAATCACCCCTGGGAAGCCAGTGTTAAAAATATTTGATCTTGCTCTCTGCTTTCCTGAGAATACAAATCATTCACTTTAACTCATTGAATTCACTCAGCAGTCAGAAGAAAAGGAAGCCTCTTGCTGGAATTCATACTAAGAAGATCAGAAAGTGTAGTGGAAAAGAGAGGACTAGAACTGCAGGTGCAAGTAGAAGTCAGTGTCCAAAAAGATGTGTATTTGTATTATTCATTTGACCTCATTTATTTTAGTATGCAAGCGTATGCTTAAAAATATTTCAGCCTTCTTTTTACTATATATGCAATTCGTCATTATTTATTGAGAGATTATATATTCATCATTACTTCAATGATCTCATTTTTAGCTTTCCTCTTCTTTATTAATGGATGCAGTAACTTCTGGCATTCCCCTGAGAATATTAATTCTACTTATTTGGAAGTACTCTTTTTATTGCTCTCTGCTGTCTTTCTTTTGTATTTTATACATCTTTCATTTGCTTTATGTTATTTTAATCTTACCCTATGCACTTACAATGATGGCACTTCTCCGAATGACTGTTGATTTTCTTCCTTTCTTTCTTTTTTTCATGTTGTCTACGTTTTTTTTTCAAGGTGAGTTTCTGCTAGACTGTTATTACTGAGCAATCCTTTGGTGGAGAAGGAGGTTCATGCTGCTACAGGCCACAATTTGCCTCATTTGCAGTCAGATCAGGCTTTTTGTCAGAGAGAGGACATGCCCATTAGGCAAGATGTATTCAGATATTTCCAACTGATCGCTGTCTTTTCTTTCTGATTCAAATTCCCATTCTCAATATATTTACCTAATGTATGCCTCCATTTTGCCTTTTTAAGCAAGACTAAAAAATCAATACCCTTGAAAAAAATTGATTAATTTGGCTAACTTAAATTTAAAGTCTTCACTTCTAGCAAAATAGTTTTACTACATATTTTTTACTATGAGAAAATATGTAAACTATGTATACGAAAGCAAATCTATAAATAATTTAGAAAAATAAAAATATTTCCATAGAAAAGTGGGAAAATGTAAAAATAGGTACTTACTGGAAGAATCAAGAGATTAGTTCTAAAGACCTTAATTATTTATTTAAACTAATTTAATTAAAATTTTAAAAATAATTAAATTTTTCAATAATCAAGTAAAACAAATTAAACTTAAACAATAGAACCTTTTATTTTGAGATGCAAAAGCATGAATCAAAGACATCTGTAAAGCTTAAATGTATTCAGATTGTAAAGCTAACCCATGTAAACCAAACTAGGCCAGGAATTAGACTATATTAGCGCCCCAGACTCCCCCAAGTGTCCCTTCCTAAAAGAAGCTCCTCTCACCCTAAGTTTTATGTATAATTTTTTTGCTGTGCTTCAAAAAGGTATAGCATGTATGCATCTCTGAACAACATACCTTAGTGTTTTTTGGCCTGCTTTGATAATTACTATGAAATCCTCTTTCTGTATTATTTTGTGCCACACTCCTTTTGTTCAACATATGTTTATGAGTGACAGCCCTGTTGTTGCAAGCAGTTGTAATTTATTTTTTTTCACTGCTCTATAACATTTGATTGTTTATATAGATGAGAATTTTCTATTTTATTCCTTATATACATTTGTGTTATTTTAAAGTTTGGTTGCTTAGGAGCAAAGTCAATATGAAAATACTTGGACATATGCTCTCAGAATTATATGCATAAGTTTATCTACAACATATAACTATCCAAGGAATTTTAGGAGCAAACATATGTGGTTACTTATTTAATCACAGACTAACTTTTTTTCAAATCAGTTGTATCAATTTATACTTCTTCCTGTGGTACCTAAGATTTCATAAAATTATACTTTCAATCCATGGGTTTAGCAAAATAATTCAAAGTTTAATAATATCAAATTGACATCTGTAATTTAAGACCACTTTAGATGAAAATTTTTGATATCTATTAAATTTTACAATGTGAATAACTTATAAGCACAATTTTCCTTAACTCATCATCTGTCTTATGAAATACTAACATATGTGCAATAAAATGCAATAGGATGTCAATTACAGCTTTTTAAAAATAGTCAAAAGCCCATTAAATAGATTAAATGTCCACCAATAGAGAAATGGCTAAGTAAATATGACATATCTAAGAGTTAAAGAAATGATAAAGATTAACGTGTGTTGAATCACTAAGATTTCCAATACATATTAAATTGAAAAATAAAAACACATTATTGTGGTTAAAAATACACAAAGTATTAGATTATCAAATCAGACTCACATGAATCGGAGATCTTATGCAAACTTAACTAATAATTTTATGGATAAAAATTATTGTGAGGTACAGGTGGAGCAAGGTAAGGTCAGATAGCACTGTGAGAATCCCTGGGTCCTTTCCTCCCACATCAGATATGCTTTGAACAAGGATAATAGATGATGATTCTGAGTAAGATGTGCGGTCATCTCACTTACACAGAGGAGATATTTAGATCACAAAATATCTCATTTTGTCTTTAGATGGTCCAGGAAACTACGCCCCATGAGTCAAAGAGATTTAGGTTTTATTATAAACAACCCTAGAAAAGAAATCACAGCACATACATTCTTCTAAAAGCATTCTGTAGGTAAGATATTCCTTCCTGGAAACTTCTTAGTTTGTTTGCCAAGAGGTTAGCCAGTTATATGGTTACCAAAAAACCTGCCTTCTTTGTCTCCAGCATGTTTCTTATTAAAGAGAATGAATGAATTGCAGAACTATTGTTTGCACATTTACTTTTAAATGGTTTATCAGTAAAATATGTGAGAATACATTTTTAAAATAAACTTATGTGATTGCTTTGGAAAATGTCTGGAAATACGCAAACCACACTGATAATAATGGCCTTCTGGGGATGAACCAACACACAATAGATTTACTGGTAATCGTTTGATTTTTTTCAAAAGTACTACATTCTTGTATAATTTGCATGATTAAAATGTATTTAATATAATTTCCACCTGTGATAATTTTCTTGTGTATAAATAGGACATTGCTCTTGCTATTAGCAGCTATATATTAGCAGTAATATTTATAGTTGAACCACAGGGTTTAGCAGACGTCAGCCCATACACTGAACCTGTCCTATTGCCTGTTTTTGAACAACCTGCAGCTAAGAATGTTTTTATATTTTTTGAATAATACAAAAATATCAACAGAATAATAGTTCGTAAAACAAAATTAACAAAATTTAACATTTGTGTCTATGAATAAAGTTGATAATATTGTAACCACAGCCATTTGTTTGCATATTGTCTACTTTCTTGTTACAACAGGGTTTAGCAGTTGTGACAGAGACTTCTACAATGTTCCCAAAGCCTAAAATATTTACTGTCTTACCCTTTATAGAAATAAATACTTTGCTGACACTGTGACTCATAATAATGTTTGCAACTACTTTTTGAATAAGCTCAAAAGTTTACAGACACACACTCCTAAAATATTTGTTATATTGCTCTTTATAGAAATAATTTGCTTATCCCTGTGAATTATAGTGATGTATACAACTGATTTTTGAATAAGTTAAAAAATTTAGCTGGGGCGGTGGCTCACACCTGTAATCCCAGCACTTTGGGAGGCTGAGGCGGGCAGATCACCTGAGGTCGGGAGTTCAAGACCAGCCTGACCAATGTGGAGAAACCCAGTCTCTACTAAAATTACAAAATTAGCTGGGTGTGGTGGCGCATGCCTGTAATCTCAGCTACTCGGGAGGCTGAGGCAGGAGAATCACTTGAACCTGGGAGGCAGAGGTTACAGTGAGCCGAGATTGCACCATTGCACTCCAGCCTGGGCAACAAGAGCGAAACTCAGTCTCAAAAAAAAAAAAACTTTACACACACACACACAAACATGGATTATGGATTGAGTTGCATGTATTTGAATATTAGTTTTGTTATTCTTGCAACTTATTAGGGGGTTTGACACTTTTTCTAAATTACAATTGGGTGAAATTTTTGCAATTGATAAATTGCTAGATAACATAATCTAGCTCATATTATATGATAACTTTAGATGTTAAATCATCAATAAACCTTATGAAGATCTATGTTTCTAGGAAATAATTACTTCAACAAGAAGGGAAAGTAAAGACAGAAGGTAAAACAAAATATAAGACGAAATAAAATAAAGATGGGAATTGAATGCCATAGAAGTGTGGAAGTTGGAGGGAAAGTTTCTAAAATTATTTGGATAAAAAGGAAGCCATATATTTTACTGAATCTTCTAGATGGGTTTTAATTCTGTATCCTTTCATACTCACGTACTATGCCATTTTTTTAAACTTTTCATTCCACTTGCACTTCCTAACTTATGATGAATTTACCTATATAGAGTCCTTTTATCATTTAGACTAAAATTGTATTTATTTGAAGGTAAGAACGGTCATATACTTCTTAGTTGTTTTCAGAATTGAAAACATGGTTGAGGCCAGGCACGGTGTCTCTCATCTGTAATCCTAGCACTTTGAGAGGCCGAGGCGGGGGGACTACGAGATCAGGAGTTCAATACCAGCCTGACCAACATGGAGAAACGCGGTCTCTACTAAAATTACAAAATTAGCTGGGCATGGTAGTGCACACCTGTAATCCCAGCTATTTGGGAGGCTGAGTAAGGAGAATCGCTTGAACCCTGGAGGCAGAGGTTGCAGTGAGCCGAGATCACGCCATTGCACTCCAGCCTAGGCAACAAGAGCAAAACTCATCTCAAAAGAAAAAAAAAAAAGAAAAAAGAAAACATGGTTGAAAGTCAATATCCATGTGATAAATTGAGTTAGAAAGCCAATGAGAGCTTAGCTAATATAAAGGTGATGGAATTCACTGTCAAAACTTTTCAGAGACTTAGAAAAAATATGGAATATTAGTGAAAATGTAAGAGAATGAGGCTCGAAATCAAGATAATTAAACTGCAAACTTTAAGAAGGCAGGAAAGATATCCTTTACTTAGTTTGTCTTGTCCAACTAATGGTTAGTTGAATGCCATGCACATAACACATCCCTCTGAGTACTTATTGAATAAATGTAGAATGTCATTCTGGAATAAATTGAGGCAAGAAACTAGAGGGATAGCAGTGTGAAAAGTGAGATTAATTTATTTGGTATAGAGTCAGTAAATTTAAGTGGGCCATTTGAAACAACAAGCTTAAAAGAAAACCAAATAAGCATTTTCAATGCATAGAAATGCAACCATTTTTCTCCTTCTGTACTTTATCCATTCAAACATTGCTTGAAAAAAAATATAACTTTCAGTCTTGCTTTTTTATCTCCACCAAACTCAGATAATTTTGGTCGTTGATGACCTTTCTAAGCTAATTCCTATTTTAGAATGCTATGGACGAATGAATCTCAAAACTTCTTTTAACCAATTTATTTTATTCCATTTCCTAAGGAATAGAAACTTTTTACCTCCAACCCAGGGGAGCTATGAAATAAACTCCCCATTTATTTCCAATCCAAACACATTTGATAAAACAGGCAGAGGAATTTTTTATCAGATCTGTATTTTAAATTTTCATGACTGTTGTCCAAGAGTTTCCATTCTTGCTCATAAATATGTAGAGGCTTAAAATTCTTTTCTGAAAAATAAACTGCTACTTTAAATGATTTTAACTCATTTTTATAATACTTTTTTTATTCTCTGATGATCTCTTGCTGTTTTTCTTTCTCTAGAAATGTTCTAAGAATAAATTAGCTGATATACTAAGAAAGGTTCACAAAATGAGTCCTTCACCTATACAGCACCTCTTCTAAATAACAGAGAGATTACAAATCCAATGTATTTAAACTCTGAGTTGTCTATATGTGTAGTGTTATAAAATGTAGCTGTCAGTTTTAACAGCTTTTCCCCCTGAGATTTCAGTGGCTAGCTAATGATCTTTTTTAAGAATTAGGACATTTTCTAGATAGCGAAATGGCAGGAAAACATATCAAATACATATTTTTCCATTATAGTATTCTGAGGACTGTAAAGTCTTACTCAATGTATATCACTTTTAATTTTTAGGATACATAGAAATATTTGCTAGTAGAAATAAATGGCAAGTGTTTACTTGAAGATGGTTTAGAAAGATGCTTTTCTCTTTTAATTTGAATTGCTACTGTAAATGTCATCACATGTTTTTCAGTATTGTCTATGCCAACTTTGTACCTGAAAAACAGTATTATGAATTGGGCATTATATTCCATCTTCATAAATTAAAAAAGAAACATAATAACTAGCGAAGTGGAATGAGGAAGGTGTGGGGAGACACAGAAATTTTCAAAAGTAGTAACAAATTCAAGCATGTATTAGCTTAATATATCATAACTTAAATGATTTAAATTAGGTATATGTTTATACCAATAAGTTTTAAATTCTTAATTCTTACCTCATCAAGTACCAACAAAGAATGCCCTTCCATATTAATACACTTTGGGAATTAAGATAAAGTATATGTAATTAAATCATCAAACTCCTTTTGTTGTTTAGCAGGTAGTTTGATATAATAAGAGAAATTGTGTTCTCATTATATATTTGTCACAATGAATGAATGTAAAACCTTAATCAGGCTATCTGACTTCTTTTAGTGACATTACCCTTTTTGCAACCAACACATCAAATTAGTAATATTTATCCTACAAAAATAATGTGAAGATAAATGAGATAAGATATATAATAGTCACAAATACTTATTGAATAAAGCTGTTTTTATTTATATATTTCTATGTACTTACTAGATATGTTCTTATTAAATATTTTATTATGGTATATGTCAAGTCTTTTACTTCTTTTTTTATACTTAGTGTATTATAGAACTCACCATCCAATAAAATTGTAATACAATTTTCTTGATTTACTAATCCTAGGTGAAAAAAAAAAATATATATATATATATGTTGTTTTCTGTTTGAATTATGCTTAGTTGATGGCATTTTCAATAATCTCTCTGATTCTTCCTTTTCCTGTTTAAACTACTCTCATTCTCATTGTGGCCTAGAGTTCTTTTTCCCTAATATTGCCTTCAGAAGGCTAAGTTTCTAATATAATAACAATTTGAGTCTTTACCACTTCTCTCTAGAATCGTGATTTAGACTAGGTTATTAGAGTAAACAATATGATTCCAAATTTTTTCCTTTTTTTAATGGGCTAGCATCCAAAAAGCATAAGAATTCTGGGGGGAAATGACATAATTAAGCTAGATTATTTTAATTTAAATTCAGAATTAAAAATGATTTTCAATAGCTTCTTTGTCTTAATTTAATAAGCTTTTGTTGAACATTGATTATATTTTGAATTCTATTTTTTCTTTTGTTTTTAGTTGGCACATAATTATACGTATTTATGGGATACAGAGTGATATTTTGATACATGTATACAATATGAAATATTCTAATTAGAGTAATTAGCATACTATCACCTTGTACATTTGTCATTTCCTTGTGATGTGAATATTCAGAATTCTATCTGGTAGGTTTTTAAAAAAATTCACTAAATTATTGTTAACTTAATTCACCCTACAGTACTACAGAACGCTAGAGCTATTCCTCCCTTCTAGCTACAACTTTGTTACAAAGTTAACTTTGCTTACCAACCTCTTTCCATCCTCTTCTTATTCCCATCCTTTCCAGCCTCTGATAACTACAATTCTACTTGTTACTTTTATAAGCTCATTTTTAGCTCCCACATATAAGTGAGAACATGTGGTTTTTCTCTCTCTGTGCCTGTCTTATTTCACTTAACATAATGTCCTCCAGGCTCATCTACGTTGTAACTAATAACATGATTTCAATTCACTACAAAACTTAAAAGGATACTCAACAGTGCCAAACATTCTATTTTAGTTTCCCAATGCATTCACTCCCACAGCATTCATAACAATAACCTTCTACAAAGTTACCACATGTCTTATGCTAAATTGATGAGATCTCCCAATATTAAGTAAATTCTGTCCCTTAGCTCTCCCTCTCATTTTAGTACTATCATTCTCATTAATGAATAATTCCCTTTTTGTTAAAAGTTTACATTGACCTACCGTTGTCCTTCAGTTATCAACTTACTTTGTATTCTTTCTTTGAAAGAAATCAATCAAACAATAGACAGTCTCCTTCAATATTTCCTGTACTGTCTTCAATCCACTTAGCTGAGTACTTTCTTTTTTCTCTACTTACTCACTTTTTCCCCTGAGTGTTCTCAAGCATTTTCATGAGTTTAAAGGCCAGTTACATGATAGCATCTCAGAATATTTCCAATTTTGGTATCTTCTCTGAGTTAGAGCTTTGCATAGTCATCTACTTACTTAATATCAAATGTGGATTGTTTTATAGACAACTGAAATTCATAATGTTTTAAGTAGAGTTTTGTTATTTTCTCTGCTTCCCAGTTTGTGTGTGTATGCTTGTTTGTTTACTTCAGCTGGTGTTCCCATTGATTTTATCTTATCTAATACACCAAAACCCTATCAGTGGCTCTTTTCTTCAAACTTGCACATATCTTAAATATGTATTTCATTATTTTGAACAAGGTCTCCACCTTCTTGTCCTTTCACTTTAATAGTTTTCTAATTCATTTCCTTGTGTTTATTCTTGTCCCTGTAAAAATTATTCTTGGTTTAAGAGGCAGAGATATATATGTATTATAAACACAGGGAAACAAATTAGATATAAACCAATTACTATAAACCAATGTAATAATAATAATATATATTACTTTTTTTCTATTTTTTTATTTCTTCTTTTTCTTTTTTATTTTTTGTAATGTAAGCAAGATTCTTTCCCTCCTCTGCCTTAAATCCTTTAGTTACTTGTGGAGTACAATTACAAATCTCCAGGATGCTAAAGCTCTGCTCTGCTGTCTACAACCACAGGCACCATTCAAGACCCTCACTCCTAATGAGACAGGGCTCTTTCCACTCTTGAAACACAGTTTTTCCCCATGTCAGGGTTTTGCACAAGGTAACATCTTGTCTTTGAAGCTTCATAGTTTGGCTTTTTAATCAAATGGTTCCTTTTCCATATTTAAGTCATCACTTTACATTTCATTTTCTTGGAGAGGTCTTCACATGACTCCAAGCTATCACCAGTTATGTGCTATCGTAGAACATGGTTTATCCAGAAATAGTGATAACTTTAATCACTATTGATCATTCTTTGGTTTTCTTTACATTTATTTTATATCTTAAACACTGTAATATAAAAGACCTCAGGGATGGACCATGAATTTCATATTTAGCACAATACTTCAGAAGATCCATCCTATCCTTTTTCTTTTTTATTCATTTTATTTTAAAATTTTCATTTTGAACTACTTTAAAGCTTACAAAAATATATTTAAAAAAATCAAGAATTCCTATATATTCTTCACCCAGCTTCTTGACTGCTAACACCATATCTAAGAGTACAGTTACTCACATTAGGAAATTGATACGGAATTAGTTACTTACCTACAGACCTTATTTACATATTTTGTTCATGGTTCCACTAATGTTTTTTAACTAGGATCAAAATCAGGGTCACATATTGCATTTATCTGCTACATTTCTTTAGTTTTCTTTATTCGGGTGCGGAGGCTCATGCCTGTAATCCCAGCACTTTGGGAGGCCGAGGCGGGCGGATCATGAGGACAGGAGATGGAGACCATCCTAGCTAAAACGGTGAAACCCCGTCTCTACTAAAAATACAAAAAATTAGCTGGCGTGGTGGCGGGCACCTGTAGTCCCAGCTACTTGGGAGGCTGAGGCAGGAAAATGGCATGAACCCAGGAGGCGGAGCTTTCAGTGAGCAGAGATCACGCCTCTGCACTCCAGCCTTGGCAACAGTGCAAGACTCCATCTCAAAAAAAAAAAAAGTTAAAAAAGAAAATTCAGCTTTTCTTTTTGTCTTTCATGCCCTTGATACTTGTTTTTTGTAGATTATTTTGAAGTTTGATTTTTTTCTAATATTTCTTCATGGTTAAATTCACATAATATATTTTGGCAAGAATGCCACAATGCCGAGGTTGTCCTTCTCAGTGCATCATATCAGGAGGCACATGATATTATCGTGTCCTAATATTGTTGACGTTAACTCTGATCACTTGAATAAGACATTGTCTGCCACATTTCTCCACTTCAAAGTTACCATTTTTAAAATCAGTATTTTGTTGAGAGATACTTGGAGATTATGTAAATATCTTGTTTCTCATAATTGTATCCACTAATTTTAGCAGACTTGTCTGCAACAATTATGTGGTATTTGCCAAGAAATGAGAATCTATTTCCACTATTCTTTCTATATTTATTGATTAGAATTCTACTGTATGGAAAAGCTTTCCTTTGTCCCACTTTTCTTATTTATCCAATTATTTATTTATATTAGTGTGGATTCATGTGTATTTGGTTTAATTAATCTGAATAATCTATTGCCATCATTATTTATTCCCTTGTTCAATTTATCTCAGTTTGGGTCACTGAGAGCCACTTCTAGTTAGCTCCTATGTTCTTTGGCATGTCTCAATCATTAGTTGAGACTTCCTTATTTTCTTAACAACAACAGATGTCTCAGACCCATTTTGTTCTTTCTGCCACATGCACCTAGAATCAGGCATTGATCCAAGGAGCTCTGTATCCTTTTAAAGAAGAAAAAAGTGAATCCAAGATTTGAATGCTAGATGTGCTGATTGCTATTAAAATGTTATTGCTTCTAGTCTTAGTGGTTAAAATTAAGAAATATACACACATTCGGCCGGGCGCTATGGCTCACACCTGTAATCCCAGCACTTTGGAAGGCTGAGATGGGCGGATTATGAGGTCAGAAGATCAAGACCATCCTGGCTAACACGGTGAAACCCCGTCTCTATTAAAAATACAAAAAAATTAGCTGGGCGTGGTGGCAGGTGCCTGTAGTCCCAGCTACTTGGGAGACTGAGGCAGGAGAATGGCATGAATCCAGGAGGCAGAGCTTGCAGTGAGCCGACATCGGGCCACTGCACTCCAAGCTGGGCGACAGAGAAAGACTTCATCTCAAAAATAAAAATATATATATATATACACATTCACACACAAACATGTGCGTCTAGGTCTATTTATATATCTACACATTCTTTTCAATTTCTATCTAACATAGAAAAAAAGTAAACTTAAGTATATATTGATAGTTTTGATTCTGATTGAACACCATAAGTGTTATTCTAGTCTCCACTCCCCCTCATTTCTAAATTCTTTTTCTAAAACGGAATCAGTTTTGTTTTAGTTAATATACTTAATATAATTATTTGCTTTTTATTTTTTTTTTAAATTTCAACTTTTAGATTTGAGGATATATGTGAGTGTTTGTTACAGAGTATACTGCATGATGCTGAGGTTTGGGTATGACTGAACCCATCATCCAGGTAGTGAGCATAGAACCCAAGAGGTATTTTCTATGGCACTTTACACATTCTAGAAAACTGGTTGTTAATTAGCACAAGCACCTATAATAGTGCCTGATATATTTAGTACTCAAAATATATGTTAAATTAAAAACAAATGTATAAATTAATGGTTGAATATCATAATAATTACTCAAAATGTAACATAATTCCAACGGAGAAAACTTTTTTCTAAAAAGGCTCTCTCAATTGCTCTTTCTGATTTACTATTTTCCCCAATCTGTAGTTGCTTCATTATTGTTTGGAATTTTGCATTAGTTGTCAATAAACAAAAAATATGGATCATATCACAGCTCTTTCATTGCTTTCATTTCTTGAGATATATGAATGTATGTGATATCTTTGATGTCCTGTATTTTATCTTTATTGCTTTTTGTTACTTAAGAACATCTAGAAAAGAAGATAAATATTAATCATGTCAGAAATTATCAAAGGTTGATTACAATAAAAATTTCTCTAATGTGATAACCACTCAAAAACTTCCTTCTTCATCAAAACACAGTATTTTTTAAAAAATGGAGTGCTGAATTTTTATTTCACAGAAAATAATCAAATGATAGCCAGAATATTTTGAACTAGAGTCACATAGGATATTCTAATAATACTGCTTGTGAAAGAAGTATTGAGGAGGTCTTAGGACCAAAGAATATTTGTTTAATAGTGTCAGAATTCATTTTAACACCATAAAAAGGATATGTATTTGTTCAATTTTCACTCACTGCACAAAGAATTAGATAAAAGAAGATTTTCAGTAATAGCATTCATTTTGAGTCTTACCAATCCTTTCAGTTTTGGTATAACAAAAATGCTATTAGCTTTTACTCTGTTGTGTTGAATTTTGATGATTTCTGACAGTCTTCACTGAGATGCTCAAAGAGATGAGACTTGCCAGTCGAAAAACTTAAGATCTCATTAAATTTACCAGCAACATAAAAGCTATTTCTGCCTCTTAACTTTTTGATGTGTTGCCTTTTTCTAATCCTCTTCTCAGGACCTATTTAAAAGACAATAAAAATTTTGTTTTTGTGTGTTGAAAGATTTCTCCATTATCAAGAGAGTAGTCCTTAACTTTAGAATGACTGCATATATAGATATGAAAAATAAGGAAACAATTATTAAGAAAACTAATCGAATTTTTTACTAATATTTAGTAATTTTAACAAAATTATTGTGCATTGTATTTTGTAGCATTTATGCAGAGGATATACTAACCTGTTTAAATTTTTAGACAAAAATAGTAGAAAATAGAACATCGTCATTTTCAGGAGCAAGGAAGTAACCTGTGAAAAAGTGAATGCCTTTCTTCAAATAATATGCTAATGAAAGGCTGAGATATTAATGTCTAAATATTATAAAACTTTCATTTTAATATAATGTTTTACTTTATATTTATATTATATTGTATAACAAAGAAATGTGAGTCTTGTTACACCTGAGAACTTGAACTGGCAATCTACATATTGTTGTTGAAACAATTTTAAGTTAAACATACAATGAGAGGGAAAAATGATTCTGTTGCCTCAATTTTAAAAGGAATATTTTGAAGAACTAATTTTCCATATAATAGCTTGTTATGATCTTGCCTTTTAGCCTCCCTGGATAAAGAAATGCATACTTATAATAATTGAAGGAAGACAATTTTCCTTGTTTTCTGCAAATTAGAAATATATTAGGCTTTTAAATACATAATTCAAAATATACAGAATAAAGGTATTATAGAACCTAAGAATTATATAAAGAATTATATACATAAAGTAATGAATACATATACAAATAGTATAAAAATACTAAAAATAGTATTTGCTTATTGATTAATTACTATGGGTATTATATAACTCTTAGTTTCTACATTGCTTTTCTATTCTTAGTTATTATAATAGGTATATTATAATTACTAATATGTATAAACTACTTATAGTTTATATGAATGTGTTATATGTACATGTATATTATAATAACTAATACCTATAAACTATTTACAATTATATGTATTATAATAACTAATAAATATAAACTACTTATTGTCAAAACTGTTTTTAACTATTAAAAGATAAAGCACACAGATATGTTTTCTTTACTAGGTATTCCCAGAAGCACTCATAAAACTCGGGGTTTTCATACAGCAGTGATTACAGACTTGCTATTTTTATTATTCCCATTTTATAGATTAAGAGCACAAGACCCATATTAGTGTTATTTAGCCATGTCATAGAGCCAATTCCCAGATATTTTTTCCACTTGTTTTGTCATGAAGAATGAGAAGTAGAATCAGCATCAAGTTTGTGCTAAACAAGTACAATAATAAGAAGCACAGCAAATGCTGACTAGACTGTAAGAATATTTTTGCTTTTAGGCCACCCGAAAAAGATAAGATATATGAGGTGATCAAAGTGAATAATTATATAAACAAGAGGAATTAGAATATGAATAAGCCAGGAAAAATAGGAATAGGCCAAGAAAACACACACACCCATTTCTTATTTAAACCTAAAGGGAGACAAATTCATTCAATCTATACATATTTATTTTGCTACCTCAATAGAGATAAATATCTTCTCTAAGAAAAATCCCACTTTACTTAATATGTATCACATTTACCTAATAAATAACATATTACTAAAACAGAGAGCAACCAGTGTTTTACTCTTTTTTTTTCAGAGATGTTTTGCTCTTGTTGCCCAAGTTGGAGTGCAATGGCATGATCCCAACTCACTGCAACCTCCACCTCCCAGGTTCAAGCAATTCTCCTGCCTCAGCCTGCCAAGCAGCTGGGCTTACAGGCATGCACCAACATGCCTGGCTAATTTTTGTGGTTTTTTTTAGTAGACACGGGATTTCACCATGTCGGTCAGGCTAGTCTCGAACACCTGACCTCAATGATCCACCCGCCTCGGCCTCCCAAAGTGCTGGGATTATAGGCATGAGCCTTTGCGCCTGACCTCATTTATTTTCATATAAAATATAGGGTCAAGTATGTTGAGATATTAGTTACGTTATATTTTGCTCAGCATTGCCTGAGAGTTGGATTATTTTATCATTGTAGAGAATAGCTTCTAGATTATGAGAATATTAAATAAAATAAACTGGAGAGACTCTCAGCAGCAAACTATGGTATGTAAGTACATATGTAAATATGTATCTATCTATCTATCTAATCTATCCTATCTATCTATCTATCATCTATCTATCCATCTATCTATCTATCTCCTTTTCTTTCATTTATGTCTGGATCTGTACCAAACACCAGGCAGAGGAGTTAGGAGAAGTAACTGAAAAACCCATGGGTGACATCACCAACTAAAACAGGTGACAAATAATCAGCATGAAACCCAGAATACAAGAGTAATTGTCCTAATCACTGGCAGCATAGGGCCAGTACCAGCTGGAGTTAATGGCAAAGATAAAATGAAGATAAAAGGAAGTATTGTAAGATCTTAATATCAATAAACTACAACAAGAAATCATCAATAATGCTCACTCGCAAAAGAAAAATACTTACCCTGAAGAAAAATAATTGGAACAAAATCAAAATTAATCAGAGAATCAGATAATCTGAGACAAGTAAGATAATTTTTAGAAAATAATTTTTAGAAAAAAATAATTTGAAGGTACATAAAATCAAATAGAAGTGGTACAAACTATAGTAAGAGATATAGAGTATAAAAATAAGAGTAAAAAACAGAAATTGAGAGATTAAAAACATCTAAAAATTTTCTAAACATAAAACTTAGGCAAAGAATAGTAATACCCATGTAATGGTTATTTCTAAGAACAAAAATTAAAATAAAAAATAATATTAATTATTTGAGCATGAAGGTAAAAGGATAAGAAGTTTATATTGATAATAGACTTCTTGATAGCAACATTTTATACAGGATGATAATCAAGAAATGGTTTAATGATTATGAAACAGATAACACAGTAGCGAGATGAGATTTTATTCATCCAAACTATGAATCATGTCTAAGGAATGTAGAACATCATGAATATTTATGATTTTAAAAAACATTGTTCCTGTGATGGCTTTTTTAGAAATGTCCTACCTACTGACAAGAAGACAAACATCATGTGAAGCTTCTGGATAAGGACTAAATATGTTTAATTTTATAATTAAGAGCAAGTAATGGGGATTAAAGTGACAAAACATGATGCTATTAAGTGTGTTAAACATGAAGAAATAATGCAACTCAACAACAAACAGAAAAAAGGAGAAGAAAAAGAAAGTAGACGAATCTTAATGACTATCTCGGGAGTATCTAACTGCCATTAAAAAATATGGAATTAAAGTAAATAAATGTTAAGCCAAAAGAGAGAAGAAAGGAAAGAGAGTTTACTAGAGAACAGTATTACTACTCATTGAAGAAAACAATAGATAGTATTCAAACACACTAGAGGACTAGTATATTTTATTATAATATTATTATAAGATAATAATAAGAATAAACATAGAAACATTTATAAATACCAGATGAGTATATCCTGCACCTCAAATTAAAGTGTAAATACAGGGCAAGATTTTATATAAATTATTTATATAGCAAAAACTTATATAACAGAACTTAACACCAGCATAACAGGTATATCAAAGACACAAATGGGCTTAACTCACCATTAAATGGTGTACTTTTAGATTGGCTAATGGAGCAGAATCCAATCTATTCTGTGTGCAAGAAACATATTGAACAAGGCAATTCAGAATGGTTTAATGTAAAAGGAAGAGCAAAGATAGATCTTGTATGATAGCAAGATCCTGAAATAGTTGTCAGAATTTTGCTATGAGACAAGATAGAATTTAAGACAAAATAAATTTAACAGGATAAGGAAGGGAAATTTATTCTACAGAAGGATTCATGCTTCATTCTACATTAAAAATAAAATATATATTAATAACATACACAAAATTACAATTTTCATAAAGCAGAAATAACAGAAGTTGAAAGAAGAAATAGACATTAAAACTGGAGATTTTAACATAGCTTATTAATTGGTAAGTCCTTGAAGAATGCAAATAAGCCTCACTTTTAGTAATTAAAAAAAATTAACACAAATACTGACAAAGACTCTCTCCTTCATCAAACTTTAGTCAGATTTTTGAGCTCTCCTCTCAACTAGATCTTCACCTAGGCCCCTTGCCTAGTCTCCATAGCTCACTTTTAACAAGAATCCTTAAGTCCATATAGAGAGAATCTTGATATCTGATCACCCTGAGCTGCCTTCAGCAAGAATCCTGTTAATTTGGTTTAGCAAGAGTTCCCCTACTTTTGACGTCTCCTCTTAATAATTTTCCATCCACTGACCCCTTCACACTGCTCTTTTGCTACAAATTTCCATGTGTGCTTGTATTTGGAATTGAGCTCATTTCTCTACTAAAGTCTCTTTTCCTGTGTTGCAATAATTTCTGAATAAAATCTTTCTTTACTGCTTTAATTACCCTCTGGCTCTGGTTCTCCTTGACATTACTCTTTGAAGAATCACTTTAGGGGAAAAGAATAAATGCAAGAAGACAAAGTCAGAGACTATTATCCGAATATAGAATGGAGATAATGATATCATACTGAATGGGCAAAAACTGGAAGCATTCCCTTTGAAAACAGGCACAAGACAGGGATGCCCTCTCTCACCACTCATATTCAACATAGCGTTGGAAGTTCTGGCCAGGGTAATTAGGCAGGGGAAGGAAATAAAGGGTATTCAATTAGGAAAAGAGGAAGTCAAATTGTCCCTGTTTGCAGACGACATGATTGTATATCTAGAAAACCCCATTGTCTCAGCCCAAAATCTCCTTAAGCTGATAAGCAACTTCAGCAAAGTCTCAGGATACAAAATCAATGTACAAAAATCACAAGCATTCTTATACACCAATAACAGACAGACAGAGAGCCAAATCATGAGTGAACTCCCGTTCACAATTGCTTCAAAGAGAATAAAATACCCAGGAATCCAACTTACAAGGGATGTGAAGGACCTCTTCAAGGAGAACTACAAACCACTGCTCAATGAAATAAAAGAGGATACAAACAAATGGAAGAACATTCCATGCTCATGGGTAGGAAGAATCAATATCGTGAAAATGGCCATACTGCCCAAGGTAATTTACAGATTCAATGCCATCCCCATCAAGCTACCAATGACTTTCTTCACAGAATTGGAAAAAACTACCTTAAAGTTCATATGAAACCAAAAAAGAGCCCGCATCGCCAAGTCAATCCTAAGCCAAAAGAACAAAGCTGGAGGCATCACACTACCTGACTTCAAACTATACTACAAGGCTACAGTAACCAAAACAGCATGGTACTGGTACCAAAACAGACATATAGATCAATGGAACAGAACAGAGACTTCAGAAATAACACCACATATCTACAACTATCTGATCTTTGACAAACCTGAGAAAAACAAGCATTGGGGAAAGGATTCCCTATTTAATAAATGGTACTGGGAAAACTGGCTAGCCATATGTAGAGAGCTGAAACTGGATCTCTTCCTTACACCTTATACAAAAATTAAATCAAGATGGATTAAAGACTTAAACGTTAGACCTAAAACCATAAAAACCGTAGAAGAAAACCTAGGCATTACCATTCAGGACATAGGCATGGGCAAGGACTTCATGTGTAAAACACCAAAAGCAATGGCAACAAAATCCAAAATTGACAAATGGGATCTAATTAAACTAAGGAGCTTCTGCACAGCAAAAGAAACTACCATCAGAGTGAACAGGCAACCTACAGAATGGGAGAAAATTTTCGCAACCTACTCATCTGTCAAAGGGCCAATATCCAGAATCTACAGTGAACTCAAACAAATTTACAAGAAAAAAACAAACAACCCCATCAAAAAGTGGGCAAAGGATATGAACAGACACTTCTCAAAAGAAGACATTTATGCAGCCAAAAAACACATGAAAAAATGCTCACCATCACTGGCCATCAGAGAAATGCAAATCAAAACCACAATGAGATACCATCTCACACCAGTTAGAATGGCAATCATTAAAAAGTCAGGAAACAACAGGTGCTGGAGAGGATGTGGAGAAATAGGGACACTTTTACACTGCTGGTGGGACTGTCAACTAGTTCAACCATTGTGGAAGTCAGTGTGGCGATTCCTCAGGGATCTAGAACTAGAAATACCATTTGACCCAGCCATCCCATTACTGGGTATATACCCAAAGAACTATAAATCATGCTGCTATGAAGACACATGCACACGTATGTTTATTGCGGCACTATTCACAATAGCAAAGACTTGGAACCAACCCAAATGTCCAACAATGATAGACTGGATTAAGAAAATGTGGCACATATACACCATGGAATACTATGCAGCCATAAAAAATGATGAGTTCATGTCCTTTGTAGGGACATGGATGAAATTGGAAATCATCATTCTCAGTAAACTATCGCAAGAACAAAAAACCAAACACCGCATATTCTCACTTATAGGTGGGAATTGAACAATGAGAACACATGGACACAGGAAGGGGAACATCACACTCTGGGGACTGTTGTGGGGTGGGGGGAGGGGGGAGGGATAGCTTTAGGAGATACACCTAATGCTAATTGATGAGTTAATGGGTGCAGCACACCAGCATGGCACATGTATACATATGTAACTAACCTGTACATTGTGCACATGTACCCTAAAACTTAAAGTATAATAAT
Source organism: Homo sapiens (assembly GCF_000001405.40). Classification (NCBI taxonomy): domain Eukaryota; kingdom Metazoa; phylum Chordata; class Mammalia; order Primates; family Hominidae; genus Homo; species Homo sapiens. The sequence goes on along the minus strand of NC_000009.12, from coordinate 66,341,027 downwards.
AATAAAAAAAAAGGAATGGAGATAATGATGACGGTGATGTCTTGGATAGTGATTGCAATGGACTGCATGGCTGTTGCCACCCTGTCTCTGAAACTTATAGGTGGAAATCCTAACCCTTAATATGATGGTATTAGGAGGTGGGACTTTCAGGAGGTGGTTACATCATGAGGTTGGAGCCCTTCTAAATGGAACTAGTTCCCCTATATAATAGACCCAAGAGAGTTCTCTCACTCTCTGACATGTGAGGATACAAGAAGAAAATGGTAGTCTGCAACTTAGAAGAGAGATATCACTGAAACCTGGTCACTCTGGTACCATGGTCTCAGACTTCTAGCCTTTAGAACTGTGAAAAAATTGATTTTTGTTATTTCTAAGCCACCTAGTCTATAGGTCTTTGTGATAGCAGTCAGAATTGACTAAAACAGTAATAGTAGCAATGGCAATGGAAAGAGTGAATGCATTTGATATATACTTTGAAGAAAGAAATAACAGGACTATCAGTCATGTGGACGTTTGGCATGAGAGAAATGCAAGATGGTAGTTAAACAAATTTGTGTCTAAGTCTGAAGGTTGAAGAATAGTCAAAGGTAAAAGTAAAGCTATGGGAGTTACTGACACTTATGAGCCTTTTAAAGGAATTATTTATTTTTATTGTTAAATCACCAAGGAAGGGTTGAAACAGACAATAGAAATTAATGCCAAATGAGCTGAAAAAAAAATGTATTGCAATTGAGTTGGGAATAAAAAGCTGAGGTGGCAAGAAGAAAAGCAAGGTTGGCATATTTTTAAAGAACTCTATAATGAATAATGTTTTGAAGAGGAAGAAATTTTCAACAATTTGAAATGCTGCTGAGACTTTGGGAAATGTGAATGGTGCCCATGTAGAAGTTATTGACAGTCATTGAAACAACACTCCCTTTAGCATTATGTATAAGAAACTAGATTAGAATGAAACAAATGGATTCTTAATTCCAGAATTGTGGAGAAATAGAAAATCTAAAAACGTATTGGAAACACAAGAAATGCAACATGAACTATAATAACCATCCATTTCAATAAAATTAGAGGATTTCAGGTTCAGGCCATGATAAAGTAGCACAAACTCACACCCTGAAGTTGGCTAGAAAAGCTGGGCAAAATATGTTAAACAACTGTTGGAAGACACCGGAGAACAATCAATGTATACAGAGCTTGAGTGGGATCATTATTAAAAAGAAATAATTATAGACTATAAATTACATTCACTCAGATGTTTTTCCTCTAATAACATTTCCCAAATACTGATGTGAAGAAAGAAAGCATACACGGAAAGTGAAATTTTACTGTGTTGAGGTGACAGAGATTAGAGTTCAGAGTATCTAGTGTGTATGGGGCTCACGAGACAAATTTCCAAGAAGGAGGTAACCACAGAGAGAGAGCCTGAATATCTGCATACAAATGCCCCTTAAGTGTGGCCAGTATCAAAGATATGTATGCACAAGGTGAGACGTCAAGAAGCCTAGCAGAAATCAATAAATGGGAGGTTGGAGTGCTGAGTTTAGATTTCAGCTAGTGGTTTAGAGAAGAAAGAGGCTGTGGTTCAAACACTGGTAATTATAGAGGATGAGATGGGAGTGAGAAACTATATGGCTAAATGTGGTCATTCTTCAGGTTTTAGCTTTTATGCAGGGTGCTATATGCTGGTTGCTTCTAACACTGTAAAAGTTATTATTTAATTACCTACATATAAAAGATGACCATGAATAGGCATAAGATGAAAGTATGTCATTAATCAAAATGATGATTAATTCAATTCTCTATAATTGTGATTCAATTAAAAAGAATATTATTCATCACATTCACAGAGTAAATGAGAAAAATCACATAATTTCAGTAGATGCAGATACATAAGATCTGTATCCTAACAGATATTGATACAAAGAAGTATTTGATAAAATTTATCATTAATTTACTGTATATCTATATGCTCTTATTAAACTAGGATTTAAAAGGCACTTCATTAAGTTGATAAAGTGTATCTTTTGAAATCCTATAAACAATATCTTATGACATAATAATGTGGGAATGTTAGAAGGCTTGCTTTTAAACCTGGGAACAAGAAGAGATTCTCTATTATTTTCCTATGCTGCTGTAACAAATTGCCACAAAATGGGTAGCTTAAAGCAACACAGACTTTTTCTGTTACAGTTCTGAAGGTCAAAAATTCATAAACAGTATCAGTGGTCTAAAACCAAGGTGTGATCAGCACCCTATTTTTTCCAGAGAACTCAGGGGAGAGTAATTCTAGAAATTATTCCAGAAACGCAGCTTCTAGAACTACATTTCTTGTCTCAAAGGCCCCTTCTTCTATCTTCAAAGATAGCAGCGTATAATTTTCAAATATTTCTCCACTTCCATGATCACATAACCTAGATTCTATGTCAAATCTCCCTCTCCATCACTCTTATAAGGACACTTAAGATTGCATTTAGAGCCCACCAAGATAATTCATGATAATCTTCCATCACAAAATTCTTCACTTATTCACATCTGCAAGTCTCTTTGCCATAAAGGTTACATTTACAGGTACTAAGGATTAAGACCTGACATCTCTTGAGGCCATTATTCAGCCTAACACAGATGTCCTCTCTTGCTGCTTGTTTTACACATTGTACTTTTCTTAATACTTTTGAGAAAGTTTGCTCTAAAGAAGAAAAAAAAGTAGTTCTATATTTGTGAGACGTAGACTGAGGAGAATGACTATTTTTCTAATGTGATACATAAAAGCACATTTATGTGACAATAGCAATAATAGAGAAGATAAATGAAAGTTATGCAGAAGGGAGAAGATTTGACAATAGCAAGCATGAAAGTCCTGCAGGAGAAAAGTTTGGATGGGATACTGAATAAAATTGTAATATTACTTTTTGATGCATACGTTCACACCATTTTTTCACAATGCTTCCTAGATTTCTCTGTATTTCTTTCCCATCTATATATATATATATACATATACGCATATATATATACACATATATATACACATATACATACACACACATATATATACACACATATATACACACATATATACACATATATACACACACATATATATACACACATATATATATACACACACATATATACACACACACATATATATACACACATATATATATACACACACACTATATATATACACACATATATATATATATATATACACACACATTTTGACTGAAAATGATTGACTGGGATGAAAGAAAATGAGAAAGAAAAACGGAACAAGGAATTCTCAATTATATAAATAGAATATTATAATTAGTAAACCATGAATAAAAGAAGGCATATGGGCTGGGCGCGGTGGCTCACGCCTCTAATTCCAGCACTTTGGGAGGCCGAGGTGGGCGGTTATGAAGTCAGGAGATCGAGACCATTCTGGCTAACAGGGTGAAACCCCGTCTCTACTAAAAATAGGAAAAATTAGTCAGGCGTGGTGATGGGCACCTGTAGTGCCAGCTAGTCTGGAGGAGGCTGAGGCAGGAGAATGGCGTGAACCCAGGAGGCAGAGCTTGCAGTGAGCCGAGATCGCGCCACTGCACTCCAGCCTGGGCGACAGAGTGAGATTCCATCTCAGAAAAAAGAAAAAAAAAAAAAGGAATACTTGATAAAAAAGGTATCCATATATCAGATATGAAGATGTAAAATTTATGTGCTATCTACTTCTGGAATTTCCACCATAAGGGAATAATAATGATGTAGGGGTTCACTTGAAGGACAGAACTTGTACTTGGTTACTTATGTACACAATCTCTGCCTTACTCGCTTTTGGTAGATCGTATTGTGTCATTTCAATGTGGCCATTATTGTCTTTTATGAACATATACAACAAAGTAATATACCTTTACATAATGTCTACATCTCTACTGTAATTTAAACTTTAATGGCTCAAAAATGCTAAATTACAAAATAGAGGAAGATGTGTGTTAAATGCAGATTAATATAATTTAAATAATATTATATATGATAAGGGTTTGTAAAACTTAACATTAAGATGGATAGATGAGAAAGATAGAAACCTAGAATACAATACTAGAAAATCTAGAAACATAGTAGAGATGAGTTCAATAATTCGATTCTATATAAGAGGTCATCAAACTACAAAGCACAGAGCTAATCAGGCCACTGATACATTTTGGTAAACAAAGTTTTATTAGAATAAAGTGACATCCTTTTATTTTACATATTGTTTACGGCTACTTATGCACTACGATGGCAAATATTGGTACTCGTGACAGAGATCACATGGCACGTACATTCTAAAATACTTAATAGTTGGCCCTTCACGAAAGGTTTTGAGAGCTACTGCTCTAGGAAATCTCAGGTTCAATGTCAGTTATGAATCAGCGTTGCTTAGCATAGCCATGTTTGAAATCCTTTCCAATGACAATAATTGTTACTGCCTCTAGACAGAAGAGTCCAATTATTTTAAGGTTTCATTATTAGGAATGGTTCATTTAATTAAGCCATAGTTGTTACTTCAAGTATAATTAATTAGTGAAGCTATATTGCTTTTATGGGATATAATTAATAGGAAAATAGGTTACTGCTCTGTGGCATAGTTATAATTTAAATGCTGTGGCTTTATAGAATTTAAAGGTAGGGTCTGTTTATTATGAATTATGCCTCCCATCATCTAGCTCATGTGAGGTAGTTCTGGAATAGCACATTATTTATGTTTGCTGATAATTTATTTTAGATATAATGGTTGGTTAGGAAGGAGTTCATGGTGAAGAAGGTAGATGTCACAAAAACATGCCTGAAATGGTGATGGAGAAGACGAATCCGTGTATTTATTCATTTAATAAATTATGTTGTCATTCAAGCAAATACAAATAGTCTTTACTCTGAACATTCATATAAAATATCTGTTGTATAATTAATCGTGTGCTTCTGAATAAAATGGATGAAAGCATAGTTTGCATTATAAGCATTAATTCATTAAAATTTACCCTGAACATTGTTATTTGGTTTTATTAGCAAGAAATATAGCACTTGGAATGGTTTACTAAATACATGTGAAGAACTCTAGATCATAAAGAACCTAAAATACAGAATTTTCAGCATTATTATAATCTATTTAATTACACATTCAGGTTTATTTGTTACTGAAACTTAGTAACTTGATTTTGGGAGTTTTATATCGCTTCTGTGTCTTGTTTGTTTGCACAAGTTTGTTTATGGTGAAGTGCAAAGTATTTTAGTAAAAGGGATTTGAGCCACAGATGACAAATAATTACAGGAACATATAACATAAACTACACTTGGACTGTAAAGCAGGTTTAGATTATATTACTTTGGTTATTATTCTTTGTTTTCAAAAGGGAATGATGGGTTATAGCTATATGCCTAAATATTTAGGCAAAACACGACAAAAGAAGGGTGAAGAGACCTTTTATCTAATGGCCAAAGTAGAAGGTAGCACTCATAAAATATACTGTTTTGTGTAATAAGTGAATGGAATCTTTACACAATTTTTTGCTAGGGTTAATTGTTTAGGAAACTTTTCTAATTGGCAACTACTTCATAGAAAAACTTGATCCAGACCTATATGTGGAACTTCCCTTTATATTAACTTGCTGAAATTATTAAAGTTAAAAGCTTGTTTTTCCAGGTTGATACTCTCAAGACCTACAAAGACCAGCACATTGAAGCAATCAGTTGATTACCGTCGTGATGCCTGCGTATGTTTATTTCATGTCAGACACACCTGAGGTCTGTAACTGAATACATAAAGAGTGCAACCATGGAAGAAACAAGGTTGGCTTGTGGTGTTCCTATGGCAGCATCGACACAGCTTCAAGTGCACCATGAGCATGAGCACTGCCAAGAAAATATATTGGCTCTCAACTCTCAGAATACTGCCGCGTCTAGAACTTTTGGCCTTGCCAACCACTGGGCAGTAAGAGACAGTAACAAATCACAGCAGATACTGTTTCCTTAGAGCAATTAAATTACATCAGAAAAACTAAGCTGAGTGATAACAAAACAATTTCTAAATGTCAGGAGCCTGTATCAATTCATTCATAAGTTGCTCATTTCACATGTCCTTGGTGTTGCTTATGATTCTACTCATGGGTCATTGTCACCTTTATACCAGGATCTAGAGGACAAAGCAGCCACTCCAGAACATTGAAAGTTACTGTAGTCAAGGAAAAAAAGAATGTTGTGAGGCACGCTCTGAATTTTTGCCTCTAGAAGGAAACAGACACTTTAGTCTACTAACATTTCAATAAGCAAAAGGAAATCACATTCCATAACTGAATTAAACAGGGCAGTGAGCTATATCCTACCATGTGTATGAAGAAGCCAAAAAATATGTAAGCAATCCTAATGTTTATCACCTTAAATTTATCCATGCATGCCACTGTGGTCACTTTCACTGTAAAAGCAGTCATTGCAGAATCATCACTAGTATCTCAGTGTATTAGTCAGGGCAATTAATATTAGTTTCTGAACCAAACTGCAAATATCTGTGACTTAACACAATTTTTTTTCTTCTCATTCATATAATAATTCAGTAGAGGATTAACTTTCTGAAATTCCTTAAAGGTTTTCACTGAATCCCCTGCATTTAATATAAAGAGGAGTATGAGAAGCATTGCGTGAGGTATCTTATAGCTCAGTCTAAAAGTGGGAAATATAACTTTTACCTACATTTCATTCACCAGTGAAATGGTCTCATCCTACCTGCAATTGAGGCTGAAAAATACAGCATTTCCTTGTGGTCCAAAGAAGGAAATAATGTTATCTCACCAATCTCTGTCAAGGTCAGTCCTTCTGATGCCAAAATACCTGCTTTAATCTTCCTCCCATTATAAAACACACCGACTTCTCTCAAAATGAAAAATGCAGAGTTCTTTCAAGGTCTGGCATCCAGCTCAAAATGTAGTATCTCTGGCCACTCATAATTCTCCCAGTGAAGTCCAGATAAGGTCCTCATTTCTCAGTAAAATCTAAACTTAAAAGAATAAATATGTGTCCTGTGTACAAATATGCAACGGTGAAGTGGGAACAAGGTGGCAGCAATAAATACATCTCTATCACCACAGTCATTTGTTCTTGACTATTTGCAAATCATTTCAGGAAGACATGGTGAAACATCCTACACTGTGAGTGGCAGAACCCCATGTGCACTGCAATCTCATTTCCTACCCTCCGGAGGAGTATATAAACTTTTCCTACGTAAATAATGGCCACATTTTTGTATCGATACATTGTAAGTTCTAAGATGTGTGTGTTTTTTTAAGAGGAATTAAAATAGAAAAGCATATACCTGAAAGATGTTCCTCGGGATATATCTGCATATATTCTCTACTCTTGTCATTTTAAATAAAAATACAGTGGTCCCTTGATATCCTCAAAAGATTGGGTCCAGGACCCCAGAGGATACCAAAATCAGCACATATTCAAGTAATCCTGTGGAACCAGAGTACACAAAAAGTCAGTCCTCCATATCTGCGGGTTTTTCATCCTGTGGCTACTGTATTTTGATCCACATTTCAATGCAGATGCTGATTTTTTTAATTAAAAGAATCTCTATATAAGGGGATGCACACAGCTCAAGCTCATGTTGTTCGTCAACCGTACTTTTTTATTTCTGTCCAATATAATTTAAATAACATAATTCTGTGAACTGCATGTCATTAATTACATATACTAAGAGGTGGCATACCAATGTGTTTAAATTCCAAGAAATGGTGGCTAGCAAATTTAATTCTCATCTCTGCTCTGCCACAGACAAGTTCTGAAGTCTTGAGCAAATCATGAGTATCTGTCTCTAGCTTACTCACCTTAAGAAGGAGCCAGTAAGTAGCAATTATCTTTCAGTGTTCTTATGAGGAGTAAATAACCTGTACACATCAATGCTTAGAACAGAGATTGCCATGTGGTATTATGTCCAGAGTTGGTTCCTGCCGGTGGGTTTGGTGGGTTCGTGGTCTTGCTGACTTCAAGAATGGAGTCACGGACCTTTGCCGTGTTACAGATCTTAAAGATAGCATGGACCCAACGAGTGAGCGGTAGCAAGGTTTATTGTGAAGAGCAAAAGGACAAAGCTTCCACAGCATAGAAGGGGACACCAGCAGGTTGCTGCTGCTGGCTGGGGTGGCCAGCTTTTATTCACGTATTGGCCCCTCCCATGTTCCATTTTTGTCCTATCAGAGTGCCCTTTTTTTCAATCCTCCCTGCAATTGGCTACTTTTAGGATCCTGCTGATTGGTGCTTTTTACAGAGCGCTGATTGGTGCATTTTACAGAGCGCTGATTGGTGCATTTTACAAACCTCTTGCTAGACAAAAAGGTTCTCCAAGTCTCCACTCCACCTAGGAAGTCCAGCTGGCTTCACCTCTCAGTATGTTCTGAATAAACTGGGCTATTAAATATGTGATATAAATTAATCAAGCAGAGAAAAAGTTACTAGTGACAGGGAAAAGGAGAAAATATGTATTCAATATTATTTTGTAAACAATTTATAAATATGCTTCACCTATGAGTTTCTTCTCAGTACCTTAGAAACTATAACACCATGGAAAATTTTGGATAGTTTAGGGAAGTGCATTATTTGGTAATGTGAAAAATAAGATGGTCATGATAAAGCAACTTGGGAAAAAAGAAAGGGCATGAATCTTGAGAACACGTACTTTCTGAGAATTTTCATGTTTAGAAAAGAGCAAGCTAAAAATCTGGAAGCGTGTTTTTTCACAGGCAATTTTCAATTGGCCTCATGCATTTCTGTGCATCTTGCAAATAGAAAGGCACTAGCTTCACATTTATTACAGGTTTTCCTTTTTAAAGATCTTTATATAGTGGATAGCCCTGGAAGATCAAGATATTGTTTATTTATGGATGAGAGAACAGATTTGTTTATTTTCAAGTAAAATGAAGATAGTGTTTCCTCCACAGAAAACATCAGACAAGTGTGCTTACTGCTCATTTATTAAAGATTTAAGTTTCCTTTACTTGGAGTTCTTCATCTGTGACACAAACTGTGTGTAGCATCAACTTGAACTCCTTGTCATCATCTCCAGTAAACTTGAGGGAAAACAGGAACCAGAGCAAAGATGAAGCTCGTGCAACTCTGTGCTGTGCTGCAAATAATGGAAGTCTTTCTGTCTCTGACCAAAGAGTTATGTGTCTTCTGCCAGCATCCATAAAACTGAAGCAGGCTAACTTGTAAGCTCAGATCCTTCACAGTTCTTGACAATAGTCCCTTAAAACTGTCTGCAGATGCACATCCCTTGGAAAAATTTTGCATCCTTTTAAGAATAATTAATATCCTAGTTAATGACAACTATATGACAGGATAGATCACTTTAAGCTTCTACCCAGATTACTATAACTTTTAGGTAAATAATGTATATGCCACTTTTTCTAAGGTTATCTAGCCATTTTCGATGTAGAAAACAATATTGTGTAAGATAAGCTGAGCGTATTTTTCACTTCGTTTTTGTTTTGCAAAACAATTTTATTGGTTTTGTTAATGCCCCAATCATCAGTACTGCTTGGTATAAGAGCCGAGTTTGAAGAATTATCATGTTGCAAATGTATTTTGCTCATTTATTTCAAATTAGTAGACAGAATTGAGAGGTGGAAAATTTTAGAAAAATCTTGGTTAATCATACTTGGAATTTGGTTATGTAATATCTCTTTCTCTTTTGGGGAATACAAAGGTTCATAAACTAGTGATAATCTTCACTCTTGGAACCATTAGATGCTATCATGAGGTTAGCACAGAAGATAAATTTATAATGTTGCAGTGAGGTAAGGAAATAAAACATGTAAGTCTTTGAAAACAACACTATGAGAGACCTTGCAGGCTAAAAATTAGACACCAAAGCATTTTTTGTTACTTTTGGAGAATAAAAGAAGTGTGCCCCTCAATGTCTTGTGGGAGAAAATATATAGTTTGATACACTTGTCAATATCTCTAACTCAAAAACGATGAGTATAACGAGTGACCCTTATTGTAGTCTTATATTTCTCTCCAACAATTAAGAGAGTTGGTGGGGATGTTTTTTCCATGAGTTCATCCTGGGCCCCAGGAGATTTTCATCTTGTATTCTCTTTATAATCCTATCTTAGTGTTTCATCCTCATGGCTAAGTTCAGCAATACTTCACAGTAAAATGTGTAAGAAGAGATGTAAAAACAATCGGCTTTGTCTTTATGGAGATTAACTTAAATTTATGCTCATAATATAATTCATACTATACTTGATCAAAATTAATCACTGATAAGAGACTATAGAAGGTAATCTCCTGCTTGTGGTCATATGTACTTAGGATTCTATTACTAAACAAAATGAAAGAATGCATTATATGGACAATTAGTGGTCTCTAGTACAAAGAAATTACCAGGTCATTTCCAATTCTCAATATTAAAAAAAAGTTTATTTCTTACTGCACTATCAAATTGGAAAGGTCAGTACAGGGGCATTCAATAACAGTAAAAATATGAATAACAATCATATGTATAACAACAGAATCATTTAAAAAGATGTATATTTAAAATGTGATTATTGCATTTTATTTCCCCTGGCAGAAAATAATAAACTGGAGAAAAATCACATTTGATTGATGTCTGTTACATGGATTTTTAAAATTTGTATCAGTGAATGCTTTTTAAAGGTAAACTAATTGAGGCCTACCGAAGATAAATAAATCTTAATTATTTTGGTAAATATATTTTACAGTTTCATTCTTTTTCAACTTAAGTTAGATAATATGTACTATATTCTCTCCTAATATAAATGTTTATGAGCATTGAAACTCCATCTGGAGAAAATAGAAACACTTTTAATTTAAATGACGTTTGAAGAAGGAAATGTATAAATGTATTCAAAACTGTAAGTGAAAATGGGAAGGTCCTATTAAAAAAAAAAAGAAAGGATAAACAGTTTCCAATGACTTTTCTATAATATTAGCAAATTTATTATGATCTGTTATGAAAGACTGTTTTGCCTTCCTTGTTTCTACTGTCTCAACTCCCTAAGTACTAATTCAATTGAAAAGTTACTTCAGGTATGGGTCCATTTTAATGCCCCTCTACAAGATCTGCAGTGCCATTAATTATAATCATATAATCTTAGAGCCAAAAGGGCCCTTAGAGATTATCTAATCCTATTCTATTAATGCATGATGAAATGGGCTTAGCAATCTGTCTAAGGTTACACAAATTCAAAAACACATAGAAAGTTTTCATAATCAAATTAAATTAAAAGTACAAAACAATGTCACTAATTTATGTATAAGACAATATTAAATATCATTTTATATGAAGTGATTCTGATAATTTTAATGAGTTCATAACAATGCTTCTAAATATTTCAAAATTTTAGTTTATCATCCAAATATAATAATATACACTTTTATAAGTGAGTCTTCTACAGTGAAAATTACTAATTATAGGAAAGAGAAAATCATAGATAAATAGGGTTGTATCAAACTCTTAAAATGTACATGTGGAAATTTAAAAATATCCTCTTGACAAGGGGATGTTGATGTCATTCCATAACAGGATTGACATGTGTAATTAAAACAAACAACAAAAATTAAGAATATATAAATAATATTTAAATGCTTGAATTTGTTATTTATAATGAATATTGAAATTTATTTAGTGAGATAAAAGGTTAACAAATTCTTGAATATAATTATACTACTTTTATAATAAAATGCATCCAAGCTGAAATCTCACTTCTGTTGTCAACTGCTTTGATGGTTCTAGACTCATTTCCCTATTTTTGGTGAGTCATAAGATGGATGACACACATGCTCAATAGCAGGTTATTTTCATGGCTAAGGTTTATCATAGCAAAAACTACAGAGCAAAACCAGTTCTACTCATATTTTTAATGAATAATAAGCTAATGATATCTTGTTATTCCTATGCTTTGTCTATCATACCTACACATAAATATAAGCACTGGTAAGTTCTGGTTCCAAACATAGCTTATATATGAATGCCATAATCATTCAACATGCATACATTAGCCTTGAATTTTGAAGATTAAAAAGTGTTTGTAAAACTACCTAGAAAAAATTTATTATGATTACAGCCACTATTAGATTTCAAAAGGGTTCATCAGAAATCTCTGAGGTATATGATGGGGAAAGAATATTTTGACTACCACTTTAACAGGTCTGCTATTTAATAATTAGTTTCTTTTTAATTGATGTTTCATGGACATCCAGAATACTAGCTATAAAATCATATATGCTGCATAATGCAAGCAAAACAAAAGCACCTGTAAATATTACAGAAGACTATACATGTATGTATATCATTGCCATAAAATACCTATATACATATACGTATATACACACATAATTGTTTTCACAACCATGATAGTATTACTTACAAAAGCATGCAAATTTAGGGAGATGGCTAAATAAGTTATGGCTTTTTCATAAATTGTAAGCCTATTCATTATAAAATATTATTGAGGATCAACTTTCATTTGTTCCCCAACAAATTATTGAGCATCTACTATGCATATTCTAGGCCCATTTGTAGGGACTGGGGAAAAAATAGTGAAAATAACATTCAGAATGTCTTGGCTTCACAGAGCTGTTGTTCCAGTGTTGGGAGAAAAACAGTAATTAATACCACAAAGTATCATGTGTTGTATGCCAGATGGTTTAAGTTCTATTCTAAAAAATGTGGCAAAGAAGGGGAATAGAGAGTTCTGGGCACAAGAGGTGCTGGATACTGAACAAGATGGTTGCCGAAAGCCTCACTGGGTGGTATCATCTGAATACAATGAATGGTTATGAGAGAATGAGCCAAGAGCATAATTGAGAGAACATATTTTCAGGGAGCAGAAATAGCAAATGAGGCCTTGGTGTATGAACGCACCCGTGAGGTTCCACTAAGGATGCCAATGTGATACAGCAGAGGAGATGAGATCACACTCCATGGGGAGATGGTCACATAAAGCTTCTTAGAAAATGGTAAGAACTTTTGTTTATTTAATTGGCAGCCATGAAGGATTTTAAACAGAAAAGCAATCGCCTCTTTAAAGAATTAGCAGTAACAGTTTGACTGATCTGTGAAAATAGACCATAGCATAGCAAAAGAGAAAACAGGGAAATTAGTGAGGAAACTATCGTGTAAACTATTCCTGAAGCTGTTGTAAACTATAAACTATGTAAATTATAAATTGAAATTGTTCTATGCAAACAAGATATATTTGAACCCTGTATATTAGAGGCAAAAGTCCATAATATTGGCAATGTTTTGGCCTGAACTATGGGAGGAACAGAGTTGGAATTACTCACCTGGGTTTAAATTTGGGAGGAGCAAATTTGGGATTAGAGGATAGGAAAGATCAATAGTTTTATTTTTAACAGGCTTAATTTTAAATAGACACTTAATCATATAATATATTTTAAATAAATTATTAATCATAAAATAATGTCAGGCTAATTCTAATACTCACCTATCAATTATAAATAAATAAAATGATAAGAAAATACATAAAAACCGCAATAGTTGTTGTAATTAGACAGTGGAGTTACTTGTGATTTTAATGATGTAGGAATTATTCTGTTTTTTAAATAATAAATCTTATTAATTTTATAATTATCAAAGATGCTATAAAAAGAAATATTTTTTATTACTATGCTACTGATGTATTTCCATTGCATTGACTAACAAAATTAATACTAGAATTTTCAAAAGTATCCTCAGTGGTTACTTTATTTGCACTGTTAATTCAGCTCTTTGTAAGTATGCCTTCTAGTTCCCTAATTGATATAATTCAGAGACTACACTTGGACACAATTTAATGAATAAGCAAATTAGGTCCAGTTATTCCAATATGAAATTCCTTTTAATTATGGGCTACTTTTGGAGATGTAGAATAATTTGAATGTTTAATTTGGTGACTCAGTATGACCTACTTCACATTGTTTTATGAGTGGGTGAAAAATATAAGTGCTAGGAAATGTGTACCAGAAATAATTTGTCATCTAATTACATTTTGGAACATTATACCTCCTCAAAACTTTGTTTCAGCATATATCTCATTTTAAAAATCTATGTTGTATATATGTTTACTTCTTTAAAATTTTAAAAATGTTTGTGGCATTCACATAAAATACAGAAGAGAATAGCAATAAGTGACATACATATACTTCAGGACCTGAACATTTATATGACTACATTTTTTTCTTTCCTTAAAAAGAATACATTCAAATACATCATGAGAAAAATGTACAGCTTTATAGTTAGGATAAACCTTTAATTCAAGTGCTGTTACTTGAATTAAGGATGCACAAGCCCCGGACTCTACTCCACAAACCCCACCTGCTATTCTCACCACATAAATACCTAGGGAGAGGGATCTGTCTGAAGGAACCTTTCCCACAACAGCCTTTATTCAAAATGACACACCTGCCACTTTCCTGATGCCTACTCTTGTACTCCAACTGCAGAGTGATTTATTACACACAGTTTGCTTGTATGTTATATAACAGTGATTACATCAAGGATTTGGGTACTAGCTAACTGAATTGATATATTTGAAAGTACTTTATAAAACAGAAAGTGCTGAACAACCATTAAGTATACAGAATGATTTGGCAACAATCATATGTAGTACCATATTTTCTGAAATATCTATTTCTTAAAAAACAAGTTTCATTAAGTGTATTATTTGCTGAATAATCTCTCAAAGGTCATGTTTTCATATAGCTACTATTATTGCATTTTGAAATCAAACATTATTTTCTTTGCCATTTCAGAGAAGCCCTTGGTAATCCAGCCCGCAAATGCAATTCATGCGCATGGCTCTAAAGAGAAATGGGCAAACAAAAAGAAGATTAACTACACATTCAATAATCATTTATTTATTTTCTTAGAGATATCTACAGTAGCTCTCTCTTATCCTTATTTTAATAAATGCTGACGTATAGAATTAGTGAGATTTTTGGTAATAATATTTTTTTTTGAGGCAGAGTCTTGCTCTGCCAACCAGGTTGAAGTGCAGTGGTACAATCTCCACTCCCTGCAACCTCCACCTCCTGGGTTTAAGCGATTCTCCTGCTTCAGCCTCCTGAGTAGCTGACAGGTGCGCACCACCACGACCTGGCTAATTTTTTGCATTTTTAGTAGAGATGGAGTTTCACCATGTTGGCCAGGCTGGTCTCACTCCTGACCTCAAGTGATCTGCCTGCCTCGGCCTCCCAGAGTGCTGGGATTACAGGCATGAGCCACCGCGCCCACCCGGGTTATAAATTTGTTATTCCTCTTGTGGTTGTTTGGATGTCTATTTGTGTGTGTGTGCACATATACATATTATTGAATTTACGATGTTACTCCAAAGGCTTTTCTTTGACTATTTTGCTTGATGTATATTCAACAATGATAGTCTCAAACAAACAAACAAAAAACAGACCACACATCTGATTTTTCACCAATACTGTTTATAGAATGAACCTGTATAGAGTCTGAGGCTATTCTGATGATAAATTGACTATAGGACTAGAAAAAACTATTTTGCCATTTTACAAACGCTCATTATGCACCTTATATAATAGTGCCAAGTTAATAAATTTGCTTCTATGTTTATAGTCTGCAACGGAAAAAACTTACGAGGTACTATTTTCCAGATGAAAGTGAAAGTGATGACAGATTTTATTTCTTCACTTAAATTATTAAGATATACCTTTATTATGTGAGCATAATCGATTTTATTGCAGGGAAGTCCCTTAATTCAGTAAAAAAGACAGGATTGCTTCTTGAATATTAAAACATTTTCATCTTTTCAGTTTTGCTTTTCTTGATTATCTATTTTTCTTTTTACTGAGTAATGTATATCATTTTTTAATTAAATATAATTTAAATAATATTTTACAATAATCTAAAATGCTTCTGAATACTTCGTCAATAACTTTTGGATGTTCAATAACATTAAGAACGATTACATTTTTCAAATATTATTTTTGCATTATTTATATGTTTGCATTTTTACAAGTGTTCTAATCGCATATTGCAAGGCCAAATCAGAATTTTTAAAGACTTTATTTTATTAACATTTAATTATAGCAACAATTAATAAATAAAACAAAATGACATAAAATTTTAAATCATATGAATAAATTAAACCTATATATTTAAATTACTTTACAATTTTAGCATTTTTCATAAATGTACAGAAATTTCATTTTGTGTCTGTTGTTATTACAATATTAAAATTATGTAATGGAAAAATAAATTAAGCATCAATTAAGACAGCATACATCTGTTGACAAAAGAAAGAGAAGGTATATTTGATTTCCTTGATTTTTTCCTCTCAAAATTGAGAAATAGTTTAATTTTATAAATCTATATCCATTTAAATTACTTAAGTCACCATTTTAGCCTAATTTTTTCATTTTCTAGATAGATTACTCTTCTTTTTTTTTTTTTTAAAAAAGGTATCATTTATTCTGGTTACGGGTAAAAGACAACTTTAGATGTGCAAATATTTAGATATATAATCACAATTAGTATTTTTACTTCATGAAATCTTTAGGCGCAAACTTTGCTGTTCTAAACTAAAATTTGGATTCCAATTCAAAAGCTAAAGACTATCATAGTGTGATTATCCCAAATGAACTCTTTTACCTAACACTTACTGAAATTTCAAGATAAGTAGTATTGAGATTCTACAAGTCAGTAAGAGGTCTTCTCCCTGTGAACTTTTAGGTTTTAAGGGCACAAGGAATTTAATGGCTACTGGGCTAAAGAATGTAATAACCACTATTGTGCATATGATTTTAGT
This sequence comes from Homo sapiens, assembly GCF_000001405.40. Classification (NCBI taxonomy): domain Eukaryota; kingdom Metazoa; phylum Chordata; class Mammalia; order Primates; family Hominidae; genus Homo; species Homo sapiens. The sequence goes on along the minus strand of NC_000009.12, from coordinate 66,324,219 downwards.
CATATAGGCAAAAAGCCTAGGAGTTACATTGTTTGGTCAGATGGCATAAGTACAATTAATTGCAATATAAATTGTCAGATTGTTTCAAAAAGCTCTACAATAAATTATTCTTCACCAGAAATATATGAGAGAACACTAGAAACAATAAGTCCTATAGATATCTTTAAATGCTACCTATTTGATGGTTTTTCTGGTGACATTCCTGTGTTATTTTAATTTGTATTTTCTTTACCACCCATGAATCTTAACAGATTTTTCTATGAAAGTTCAGCACTTTGATTCATTCTTCTGTGGACTGACTGCCTGTGCCTATCCACTTCCCTGGCTCTCTTGCTTGGTGTGTGCATGTGGCTTAGTTTTAGCAAATAGAATATTTGCTGTCCCTGAGCCTTAGTCTTAAATCCTTATACAAGCACTTTTTCTTGTTATCTTACCTGTTTGTCTGACTTGGGTGATGATTCTTAGAGTAATTTTGGTTGCCAAATGTTAAAGTTAGTAGAACTACTATAAGCCTCTGAGTGGCTAAATGGTAGTTATTTCTGTGGCCTGAATACTCTTATGAGATATTCAGAGAGATTGAGAGGGAAGAATTATTTTTGAAGACATGGAATTTTTATTTTCTATTCCTTAGAACAGTTTAGTTTACCCTAAATAGTAACTACCTATTATTTTCCTCTGCTAATTTTTCTTGAGGCTCCTAACTTTATCAGGTGAATTTTAAGACATCTGTGAGGCTGGGCACGGTGGCTCACACCTGTAATCCCAGCACTTTGGGAGGCTGAGGCAGGCGGATCACGAGGCCAGGAGTTCAAGACCAGCCTGGCCAACATGGTGAAACCTCGTCTCTACTAAAAAGAAAAAAAAATAGCTAAGTGTGGTGGCGGTCGCCTGCAGTTCCAACTACTCGGGAGGTTGAGGCAGGAGAATTGTCTGAACCCGGGAGGCGGAGGTTGCAGTGAGCCGAGATCGTGCCACTGCATACCAGCCTGGGTGACAGGCAAGACTATATCTCAAAATAAATACATACATACATACATACATACATACAAACACATATATGTAATGTATAAATATTACCTTTTTGTCATCTATTTAACAAAATATTTGCTCAAATATATCCTTCCATCTGACAACTATTTAACATTACTTTTCTAATATTTTTACCTTATTGCTGCTGACTTGATACATTTTTATTCATTCCACTACATCCTTGTTATTTTGGAAGATCTATCCTTTATTTCTTTATTAAGGGGTATCTTCAATTTTTTGACCTCACAATTAGATGCATAATTTTCAAGTACTATTTGAAATAAAGATGCCTTCTATTGTCTTAGCAAATTAGTCAATTTCTCTACTTACCCCTCCTCAATAAGTTGACAAATTCAAAAAACATAAATTTCCCCATTTCTTTTTCACCACTCCCCTCCAAGAAACCTTGGAACCAGTTTGTTCCAAGGTTTGTTCCCACCAAAGTCTAGATTATACAAAAATATTTTAGAATGTTAACGATATATTGTTAGTAAAATTCTTCTATTGAATAGTTTATGATAATTTGTCAACATGAAATGTTAGGCAGACATTGAATACCAACTAGAGCTATTCATATTCTCTTAACGGGATTTCCATTGAGTTATTGATGAAAGATAAAGTGATATAAAGAAAATGTGTATACACCGAGTGCAAAATATTTTATACCCTTTATGTGGCCATGAATATTAAATCACAGTTATGGGAGGAAATTGCCAAATACATATATTAGGCTGTTAAAAACTGTTTTTCTGAGCTCTGGAAACTGATGGATAGGCATAGCAGAAGAGAGCAGAAGCAAGCCAAGAAATCAAGGAAAGGATACAGCTATATAACAAGAAATAAAATAAAAGTACGTAATGTAATTCCCTTAGAAAATGAAGTAGGGTGACTGAGAAGATGTGGAGAACCTTTATACCAATTTCCTTTTTCTAATCAGATTTGATTATAAAACATCGACATAAAATCAATATATGTGTATTATATTCATTTCAATTTTAATTTCAAGACCTAATTTTGCTGTCTTAAAGATCATGGATAACTCCATCTTATCTCAGTGTTCAATCTATAATTCATTAAAACAGTTTTCAAAAGAATTTTCAAAATACTTTATTATGATTACAACCATACTTAATCTTCAATTAGGACATACTATGTGATAAATACTATGGTGAAGTACTTCTCAATAATCCATATTCTTAAACACAACAAGTTCTAGGATCAAACTGCTTAAATTTATATATTTGCTCAATCATTTGCAACATAAATATTTTACAGATGAAGAAACTAAAACACTTTTTTTTTCTCCGAAACTGTTTCAGGGCTAACTAACTTACTCATGAGCTTGGTAAAAATAAAAATTATTAGATACCTTGTGGATCCGTTGCATATATTTCAAATTTAAGTTTTTGAAGCACTTTTTGAAAAGACTTCTTTATGTGACATTTGTTCATTAAAAACACAGTGATTCTTTTTTGAAATACGATCCAGTTGTAAAATATCCTGTGTCTAGAAATGAATTTATTTTCCTAACAAAAATGAATTAAATTAATTAATTAATTAAATTCTCAGAACCATTATTTAAACCAAGTGTGTTGATCCTACAACCAGTGAAAATAATCCCTACAATGCTAAAAATGTGTGTGCTATTATCCATCTATTTCCTAGTTCATTAAAGCCAAGTTATCATAATCTGGACTTTTTACCAAAGATTTTCAGGGATGTCAAAGGTTTTTACTCCTAAATTTAATACGCTGAAATATTACTTTATGTTTTATTTATTTTTATTCATTTAAAATAACATTTTTCTCTATGTTGCGATTGCAAAAATTAACTTATTTACATATATACATGATGTCATGATATACTCTAGGCACAATTTTGGATATTTCCTTTTCCCAATCTGTTTAACTTACACAGGTAATCAATATATGTAATCACCAAGCAAAAGACCTTCATTGGTTTCTATTTTGTTATTTTTTCCTCTGGAAAAGAGTTTAAGATAGTTTTAACATGAAGAATAGCAACCATATTTTTTGCATACTGTTATTTCTTCAAAGACGCTTAATCTATATAAACAAATTTTAAAAACCCTGGTATCAGTTAGGTAAAATCTCTGAGATTTAAAATATTTACTAAGCTACTAAATGTTAAGCAACACGGGATTTTGAGAGATTGGCCAATGGCAAGGATTGTAAGGGAACAAAAACTTGGAAACAATGCTGTTTGTCGACATCTTGAATAATTTGCTGTGCCTCTATTTTATGTCACAGTATTTCCACTTCCAGGCCTATACAAATAAATAAAATCAGTGTTATACACAGAATAGGTACACACACACACACAAGCGTTCAGATATAAAGATTTCAACTGTAGCATCATTTGTAATAAACAATATTGGAAACAATGTTGGTATATATTGCTAAGAAAATGTGTTGAGATCAATTTAGTATAATTATGTAATGAGATATATGATTATTTCATTTCTTTATGGAATGAGTGTAATGGGAAAATCCAGTGGAAAGCTTACGTTAAAGCTAAGAAAGTTAAATCTTTAAGACCTTTCATGTGTATGGGTCTTTCTCGGGGTCATATGAGTTTTGCAAAATTTGCTATGTAAGATGCTTAATTAAAAATAAGAAAAGCCACACCTGTTTTGACTCCCATTTGCCTTTAGTCATTTATCTCCCTGTCAGGTAGTGCGGGTCCAGCCTACAGCACTTTTAGTATTCAGCTAAGGGGAAGTTGAAGAGAGACATATTTAATTTCAGTTCATTGAGGTTAATGTGCTTGATTTAAAGCCACTTCCATGTAAAATGAATTTGTTTCTGGCAGTTCAGAGACTTTCTATTGCTCACTCCATAGATTCATCCAGTGTCGTAGCACAGAGGTGCAGAGGCAGGAATGTTGTGAGACACATGTCATGCAGTACTTGGTACCAGAGGCTGCAGAGAAGGAAAGAAACAGCTGCCCTTAACCTAGCTCTCCTTTCCACTAATTCTTACCGTGGTGGTGATGTGGTGAGAACCAGATGTCCTACATGTAAGGGGATCTGCTGTAGGCAAAGAACTCTGGAAAAAAGAACCTGAGCATTTTTGTGGAAGAGTGACCCAGTTGCTCTGACCCCCTTCTGAGTGTGTCTCCATAGTCACAAAATGGAAAAAAATCTGAGTTCTTACTCTAACCATTTGGATAAAAATAAATCTCTCTATGGGAAAGATAACACTAGAGTCTCCAGCTTTGTAACTTCTGGGATGCATCTACTGGGTCTCATCTTCTCTTGAAATGTAAATATATATCCCTAGTGAGGTAAATCCCTCAGGATGGCCCCTAACCATGTTCTTTCTGTGAATTAATTTCCAGAGCTAGTTCTTAGCGTAGAGCAGAAGTCTGAGTAAAATTTGTTGAGAAAGTTCTTACTATGCATAAATAACTTTATTTACAGCCTAACACTATCCATTAAAATCAATAAGAGAAAGACAAACTAATCCAAAATGACCCTGCAATCGGGGCTCTAAAACAATGCAGGTTGACTGTAATTGTTAAAATGAATTTGGAAAGTATTTGACCTTATCTGTTAAAATTAAGTATATGCATACCCTGTGACCAATAATTCTGCTACTATCATCCAACAGGAACACATAAACATATTCAGCAAATGTACAAAATTTTTTATTAAAGAATTATTCACAACAGCTTAAATTGGAAGTTTTGCAGTTATCCATCAAGAGTAAAATAAACACATCATAGCATATATATACATACATGGAGTATTATCAAGCAAGAAGGATAAATGGTATACCCAAGAGAGCTTTGATGACTCTCCTAAATATATTTCTGAGTAACAGAAGCCATCCAGAAAAGAATATATATTGTTTAATTCTATTATAAAAGTTCAAAAATAGGTTAAAAAAGTCTATGTTATTAGCAATCAGAATAATAATTACTTGCAGATAGAGCAGATGGTAATTTAAGGGAATTTTATTGTGAAATATGTACAATCACTTTGTTAAAATTAATTAACTATATACTATTTGTGTATTTCAATAAAAATGTTTAATAAACTATCTCATCGTTGTTATTTACATTTATTAAATAGCATTTAGGCATGGGTGAAAAGGTTTAACTTGACTGGCCTGAATTGCTCAAATACTATACATTCCAAAGAGGGGTCCCTCTGCAGGACTAGACCTTAGACTAGGAGTTCATCTCTGAGCCCTTGGAGTATTTTGCTTGATAAAAGTGTTCTTGTTTTCCTGAAGTCTTGGGCCATACTCTCCCAGTTCGACCAGAAAAGGTTATGTTATCAACGTGACTTATGTGAACATCTGTTTTTACTCTGGGTGTAGGAAGAAAGTTGTGCTTAAATGTCATGGAGCTGAGGTCAATCATATGGGCATTACATGACTATGCGACTGATCCCAGTAAACACCTTCGACAACTAGACTCCAGCGAGTGTTCCTGGTTGGCAATGCTTTGTACTTTACATATTGTTGCTGGGATAATTAAACATGTCCCCATGCAACTGCTCTGGGAGGGGACACCTGAGAGCTTGGACTTGGTTTCTCCTGGAGTTCACTTCATTTGTCTTTTCTCTTAGCTGACTTCTATCTGTACTGTTTTTACTGTAATATACTGTAACAATGAGTACTACAGCTTCTGATTCCCTTAGAGACTTCCAATAAATTACCAGGTCTCAAGTGGTCTTGGGAACCCCTGGCATATTACTGAACTTAAAGTTTTCAGAATATCTGTATTTGGTATATTCCATGGCAAGCACTATATCCATCACACTTTTTCATTTATTGACATAAATCCAAATATTTCCACATATCTAAAATTCAGGAAAGTAACCCTATCCTTACCTCTGAGGATAAAGCTTGTTAAGCATAGGTAAACCATGATAATTTAAATTCACCTGTTTGTGACTGACTTTTTTTAATGACTGTTTTTAGTCAAGAAAATGTGAAGGTAGGTCTGCCAAGAGCTACTGAAAAGAGTTACATTTTCTAAAAAAAAAAAAAATCCTCGTCTTTTCTCTTTGAGAATAATTTGTGGTGTTTCTGAAATCATTGTCTGCCCATAAAGAGAGATTACTTAAACAAAAAGTCTGTATAAAATATGACTACAGAGAAAGATGAGAAAAAAATCATATTCTTGATTAATTTATTGATCTATTAAATTAATAGTCTTGGAAGTAGATCCCTCTTTGGACTTCCAGTTAGAGACAGGGCCTTACTCTATGGCCCAGGCTGGAGTGTAGTAGTGCCACCATAGCTCATTGTGTAGCTCACCGCAACCTCAAACTCCTGGACTCAAGCAAACCTCCTGCCTCAGCCTCCCAAGTGGCTGGAATACAGACAGGTGCCACCATGAACACACCTGGCTATTTTTTTTTCAGTTGTAGAGCTGAGGTCTCCCTATGTTGCTCAGGCTGGTTTTGAACTCCTGGCCTCCAGTGAGCCTCCCACCTCAGCCTCCCAAAATGCTGGGATTCCAGGCATAAGCCACCAGACCTGGCCTATTTATAGTTTAAATTTTCTCATCGTCTAAATAAAAGATCTAGGCCGGGCGCGGTGGCTCACGCTTGTAATCCCAGCACTTTGGGAGGCCAAGGCGGGTGGATCATGAGGTCAGGAGATCGAGACCATCCTGGCTAACAAGGTGAAACCCCGTCTCTACTAAATATACAAAAAATTAGCCGGGCGCGGTGGCGGGCGCCTGTAGTCCCAGCTACTGGGGAGGCTGAGGCAGGAGAATGGCGTGAACCCGGGAAGCGGAGCTTGCAGTGAGCCGAGATTGCGCCACTGCAGTCCGCAGTCCGGCCTGGGCGACAGAGCGAGACTCCGTCTCAAAAAAAAAAAAAAAAAAAAAAAAAAAAAAAATCTAAAACTAATTGTCTAAGTTGGTGGAGCAGTCAGAACACACACATTTATTGATTAAATTCATTGTCTTATATGGATGTGGTTCATGGTGCCCAAAACAATTACAATAGTAACACCAAAGGTCACTGGTTACAGATTATCATATCAAATATAATTATAGTTAAAAAGTTTGAAATATTGTGAGATTTACCTAGATATGGCACAGAGATACAAATGAACACATGCTATTACAAAGTGGTGCCAATAAAGTTGCTTGATGCAGGGTGGTCATAAACCTTCAATTTGTGTAAAACACATTATCTGTGAAGCCAAGTGAAGCAAAGCACAATCAATTGAAGTATGTCTATATTCCACTGCCTTTTTAGAGTGTATATAGTTGTATTACATAACATACATAATATATATACAAATATATATAATATATATACAAATATATATAATATATATACAAATATATATAATATATATATTTGGGTATATGTAATATATATTATATATATTTGTATATATATTATACATACATATTATATACATATATAGTATACATATATATTATACATATATATTATATATATATATATTTGATATGGACTGTGTCTTGTTTCCCCAAAATTAATATATTGAAGCCTTAACTCTCAATGTGTTAGCATTTGGAGGTGGGACCTTTGGAAGTAATTAGGTTTAGATGAGCCCATAAGGATGGGGTCTTCATGATGGGATTAGTGCTCTTACAGGAAGAGACCAGAGAGCTAACGCTTTCTATTCACTATGTACGTACATAGGAAAAAGGCAGCCCTTTGAAAGCCCAGAAGATGACCCTCCTCAGACTTGCCAGGTTCAAGAACTATAAGAAATAAATGTCTATTGTTCAGACCAGCGCCTATCTTATTTTTATATAGCAGCCTGAGCTTACTAAAACAATTATTAAGAAAAAACAGCAAAGCAAACAAACAAAAGCAACTATGTTTAAAACTCCTGGAAAAATAATTTATCTTCTGTGCAGCTGTTTTTTTAAGATTTTCCTTTAATGTATTTCCTCTCATTTTTCTTGCGTCTTATTTGGAGTCTGTAGTAGCATAGTTCTTAATTTGCTTATCAAGTAATTTACATCATATTAAACATGAATTTCAACCAGCAAAGAATATTATTAAAACTTCTGGACTAATGTTATTCACTTGTATTCTTTCCTACTACCCGGAAATGCTTTTGCTGGCAATGATTTCTCCTTTGATGTTGTGAAGTTTCGGGCCATTGTTAGAGAAACAGGTCCACTTGCTGATTAGCAGGCAGTAGGCTTTGTGACCTAAGTTCAGTAACAGAAGATCATTACTTTCTCTGGCAATTTGATACAACATGCTTCATATATTCCAAAATTCATCAATTTTCTGCTCCGTTGATGTCCTCCTTTATTATGTTAAAGAGTTGCCACAGTATAGTTTATTCATAATGCTATTTTCAGTTGAATTACTAGAGCTCCACTTTAGCATTTTAAAATCATATTATCGCATGTTTATTTCCAAATTAAAATCCTCTCTTAAAAATCAGGGATATCAGTATTCATCTCTTTTTATGTAAAAATATTAAAAAATTAGAAGTGAAATATCACAGAAGATATTTTAAATATGAAGACAAATAATGAAATAAGGAGAATTTTAAAAGCCAAATATTTTGGATCAGAGTAAGAAGTTAGTGGTAAAAGATAAAGGTTATCCAACAACCTTTTGCAAATGAAGCCAAAAAAGTAGGTTTGTGCAACAGTGAATAACTAAAATTACAACTCTTTTATATTTCATTAAAAAACATGCCCTTTTTCAAAATGTCAGATCGGTTTAATCACACCATAAAATTATTTACCCAAAGTTAAGGAAAAATAGCATACTGTCATATAAGTAGAAAATTTAAATACACAATTGATATTTAACGTTCTCTAAGCAATGTAAAGATTTCTTTTAAGGCATCTAACAGAGTTGTATTTATTATTAGGGATCAAAAAGTGTGTAAATTAGCACAATATATTTTATATAAAATGAATCTGATTGTGTTTTCTCTTATAAGAGTATACAATTATAATTCTGAATTTTGAATTTATTCTTAAACAAATAAAAACAACTGCTATATCTGAATTCTTGTTTTATGTCACTCTTGTGCATATTTTTTACTATCTATATTTTAGGCATTTTCTAGGTTAAGTATGCACAGTTGGAGCTTACTCAATATAGCCTAGCAATGCTCCCTGTTTCTTTTTTTTAACCTTTAATTTCAGGGGTACATGTGCAGGTTTGTTATATAAATACATTTGCATCATGGGGGTTTGTTTTACAGATTAATTCATTACCCAGGCATTAAGCCTATGATTCATTAGTTATTTTTCCAGATGGTCTCCCTCCCCCGACCTTCTGCCCTCTTGCAGGCCCCGGTGTCTGTTGTTCCCTTCTTTGTGTGCATGTGTTCTCATCATTTAGCTTGCACTTACAAGTGAGAGAATGTGGCATTTGTTTTTTCGTTCCTACATTCATTTGCTAAGGATAATGGCCTTCAATGCCATCCATATTCCTTCAGAACACATGATCTCATTCCTTTTTATGGCTACATCTTATTCCCTGGTGTATATGTTCAACATTTTACTTATCCAGTCTTTACTATTGATGGCCATTTAGGTCTATTCCATGTCTTTGTTAATGTGAATAGTGCTGCAGTGAACATATGTGTGCGTGTGTCTTTATAATAGAACAATGTATATTCCTTTGGATATATACCCAGTAATGGGATTGCTGGGTCTAATGGTAGTTCTGTTTTTAGGTCTTTGAGGAATCACCACACTGTTTTCCACAATGGCTGAATTAATTTACATTCCCTTTAACAGTGTATAGTGTTCCTTTTTCTCTGCAACCTTACCAGCACCTGCTGTTTTTTGACTTTTTAATAATAGCCATTCTGACTGGTGTGCTTACTGGTTCTTAATCTCACCCACATCTTAGAATAATGTGGAACATTTCAAACTACCCACACCTCTTTCTAAAAACTGAAGTTCTGTTTTAATTGGACTTTAGTAGAGCCAAGAAATGAGTATTACTTAAAATCTTGCCATGTGATTCTACTAGGAAGCCAGGGTTCAGAGCCATGGATTACATTTTTAATATAAATACACATTATTAGTTGAAGCAGTTTTAAGTTAGGATAGCTGTAACGTTGATTGAAAGGGGAATACTTAAAACAGAACCCTGCCTTAGGTCGTCAAGACTTAAAAAATTCTTCTGTTTTTATTCTGTTAAATATAATCATGCATTCATTTACTTTAGCATTTATAATTCTAAAACACATTGCAAATTTCACAAAACTACCATTTTCTAAATGTCAACACTCTAAATACACCATTTATTTTTCAAAGTAGTATATTCACTTCAAATTCCATTGCTGTGTCAAGAGTTAGTTGAACTTAAAATATAATTAATAGTTACTCAGCAAAAATAGAAAGATGTTAGCTGACTGTGTCAAAAGAAATATTTTAACACTGATTTCATTTTTACTAAATGACTGAATTTTTCTTTATATTTTATGCTTAAGCTTCTCTGCTTTCTTTCTATTTTTTGTGGTTTAAATAAAGAACCATGATTATCTGTATAACTGATTGCTCAAAGTAATTAATCATTTTTCTTATGAAATTACCAGGGTAAATTAAGAATCATAATTACAGAGTTTTCTCTTGTCTAGAGGAAACATACTGAGAAACTGTGTTAGGAAATTATTATTTCAAAACCCAGTCTAAGTTCTTAGCCACTGGACTTTAAAAAATACATATTACATATACTTTTTCTAACATGATTGAGAATATAGTTTGTTTCAGATTTCCACATTTCTTAAATGAAAACAATAAAGAATTCAAAAGGCAAAAGGTACTGTAAAAAAAAAAGGTATTCGATCTCATGTAAATGAGAAACCTACACTCTCACTGAATTTTACTAGAGGGGAACTTATTGTCACATCAGATTGTTTGTTCAAGATACTATTTCTGATGTATTTTATTAAAGAATTCAAAAGGCAAAGGTATTGTAAAAAAAAGTTATTTGATCACATGTAAATGAAAATTCTACCTTCTTATTGAATTTTACTAATTAGAGGGATAATTATTCTCGCATCAGGTTATTTGCACAAGATACTATTTCTGATCTATTTTATTAAAAGTCACCATTTATCGTTGGTTTTCATCTCATGTTATATATGCAAATGAAACTCCTTTGAGTATGCAACGGTTATTTACTGCAGTGAATATCGTATAATCATATTTATCAAAATGTTCTTCTTTGAAATATTTTTCTAGTGCTTATTAGCAAACAGTTTTTATATTTGAGAAAGTGAAACGTGGACTTTAGAATCAGATTTAGGCCATATGGTAAGCCAGTTGCCTGAAAAATCTTCATAACAAATGCTAATATTGATGAATTTTGGAGCTGTCATTATATATGTATACCTAAAACTACAGGAAAACAAAGAAAATTACCAATGCCAGAAACACAGGCAACACTTAAAACCAGCAAGACCAGTTGCTCTGACTTTTCTGGATGGCAAGAGAGATGGACCCAGCAATTTATAAATTTGGATTTTCTTTTTTTTTTTTTTTTTTTTTTTGAGACGGCGTCTCGCTCTGTGGCCCAGGCGGGAGTGCAGTGGCGCAATCTCGGCTCACTGCAAGCTCCGCCTCCCGGGTTCACGCCATTCTCCTGCCTCAGCCTCCCGAGTAGCTGGGACTACAGGCGCCCGCCATCACGCCCGGCTAATTTTTTTTTGTATTTTTAGTAGAGACGGGGTTTCACCGTGTTAGCCAGGATGGTCTCGATCTCCTGACCTCGTGATCCACCCGCCTCGGCCTCCCAAAGTGCTGGGATTACAAGCGTGAGCCACCGCGCCCGGCCAAATTTGGATTTTCTAAATGCTCATCAGCGAAGGGGTGATGCATAGCTGGACCTAGATTGAAAGAGTAAAGAAAAATACTTATTAACCAACCCAGTATAATTAAGAAGTTTGTCTGTAAATACTAGAACAATTGGTAGAAGAAACAAATACATATTCTCCCCTGAGAATCTGTAACATCAGGATTATCCATCATGTGTTGTTTGACTTCAAATTTTTAAATTGTACAGCCTTGAACCATGAACCATCAAATTAACAAATTAACATATAGATTATTTTCTGGCCATTGATACACTGGAAGTTGGGTGGAAGAGATGCAAAATCATTCCAGAGCAAAAGCTGAAAATTTTTTTCTGCAAAGGGCAAGATAATAAACATCTTAGGCATTATTGACCATTTTAAAGAGCAGCTTATAGTCACCAAAAGGAATATCAACAAACTAGAAAGTGAAGATGAAGAATTATCCAGAATGCAGAATATGAACCAAAAGATAGAACATAAGATAAGCTGAAAGCCATGGAGGATTGAATAAAACTATCCAAGGAATATCTAAAAGAAATTCTGAAAAGAGAATAGTAGGAATAAAAATAATGGGATTATAATAGTTTGCTTCTACTTCTGGGATGAATGTAGTAGTTGTATAAGACACATACTCTTATTAAAATGACAAGAAAAAGCTGGATAAATTATAAAAGCCATATATTTTTTAAAGCATGAGGGAACTGTAGAAACAATGATGAATAGATGAACTAAGAGTACAGACATACCTGAGTGTTCGAAATGGGCCAAAGAGCATGATGCATTCATAGCGTCTACTAGTCAATTCTGGCACAAATTAGGAAGTAGAAGGCATGTTCAATGGAGGCAAAACAGTAATATATATATAAACATGTGGGTAAGTCTAAAGAAGCATTTGCTATATTGAATCAAACAAATACAATAAAGTAAAACAAATACTAGAGAACATCGTTAAGCTGAGTTAAGTTTGGCTCAAAGTGCCCATTGTACTTGCCTAATTAAGTTTGGCCCAAAGCGGCATCCATACATAGTGACTGTACTCTAACTTAATGTGTAGATAAGTTGTAAGCTAATGTAGATATATGGACTTGTAACCAAGCAACTGAGACTCAACCAATCATAGGAGCCAAACCCTTAGTCAATCCTAGGCTGAATGCTGCCAAATTATGCCCAAATAAGGCAAATATTGAACTGCACCAATCAGGGAAACTCTGAATATAATTTTATATGTTCTGGTTATAAATACATCTCACCACTCTGGATGTGGAGTCACTCTGAACGATCTTTGTTCTGGGATGGTGCCTACTTCTCAAACCTTTTTCTTGGTCAAATAAACTTAGTGAAATTTAACATGTCTTAGTTGCATTTTTTTTAAACAACATTCAAAGACCTACAAAATAGGACAGGGAACTTGTATTTAGACTATACTGTCTAAATGCAACGTATTTATGCTAGTTATTTGTGTGTTATAGAGAATATAGTGATATTGATATACTTTAAGTCATTTATGTACATCGGGAAGAGGAAAAAAAAAGTTACCCAATTCAATGGAAGTCAAACGAAGAAGCAGAACAGAGCTACCAGAAAAACATGATAAGAGTTAAAGAAGATGGGAGCTCAAAGAGGAAAACTGTCACTGAATTTGGGGAACTTTTCCTTGCAAGCCAAGTTAACTTTTATTCAGATAGAATTCTCAGATGAAAAAGAAATTATAGTCTATGGCTGACAAAATATAGAGAGTCTGCCCAGAGACTTTTGCTATTCTAAGCTAGAATCATAAGGTTAATACACTCCAATGAAGGAGAAAACAAGAACCAGCTCTTGAGCATACTTGAAGTCTGGGACCAAATCTGAGTTGTTCAGATACTCATATTTTCACCCTGATTTAAGATGATCTGATATGGGTAATGCTTGCATAAGCAAAACTTCTGGAGGAACTTACCTCCATAGTAGACAACAAGGTAATCTTAAACTATCCTGACACTAATTGGGTGTATAAACTTGGCCAAGTCATTTTTCCCTTTGAGTCTCAGTTTCCTCAACTGTAACGTGAATATGAAAGTAACTAACTTGTAGGTCTGTATTAAAAATAAAGTCAATTATTTTGGTAAATCATTTGTATGCAATATAGCATACATGAGAGAGAGAGAGAGAGTTTGTGTGCATGTGTTTAGAGAGACATGGAGAGAGAGACACACATACACAGAGAAGAATCAGTATATTGTTAAGGATAACAACATCCAGAAACAAATCGACAGACAAGAAAAACAATTTAAATAATAGAATTATCAGACAGAAGTTAAAGAACAAAACATAGGCTTAAAGATGCACATAGGAAAATACAAATATGATCATGGTAGATTTAGAAAGGAAATACCTTCTAGAAGTAACAGAGAACTACTAGAAAATTAACGAAGTGCAGTAGGAAGAAAGAAAATAAATTATTGAAGAAAAGTTTCAAGATACAAAGGATAGAGTTAAACGTTAATATGTGTCTAAACTTTACCAGGAAAAGAGAGACAAAGGCAATAACTAAGGAAATAATAGAGAATGTTTTTAGTACTGATTGAAGACAGATATAAGCAGATTTAAGAAGGTCAACAAATTCTGAGTGGAGTAAGAAAAGTACAATGAAGAAAACAAAAGACAAAGCCAAAATTCTGTAAAGCAGCCTGAAAATAAGGCTTATTACCATTAAATAACAACATTTCAGTCTATAGAAACTTACATCCTAGGAGAGGGAATACTTTAAATAAAAAAGTAATGGATGAAAAGAGAAAAATTCCATCAAGTGGGATAACTGTTATCCATAAAGAAGTAGCAGGTGAGATGGGGAGTAAAAAAACAAACATATATAAATCCTCTTATTTTATATATTATAGCTCAATTTTATTCCCATCTTTGATAATCCAAAAATTATACACTGATCAATATATCTGTTCTAAATGTTAAGATTCCAACAGGTAGATCATGTCTCTCAAAATGTGTTGCACATTGCCTCAACTGGAGGTTCATGATGCATATTAAAATAAGAAAGGCTTAGAGAATTCTTACAGCAAGGAAAACAATGTAAGTTTATTTAATTTAGTGTTTTAGCTATATATTTAATAATTATTTTAGGTAGGCAGTTGTTTAAAGACAATAGAAATTACTTGGAATTTAAAGCAAGCAAAAATGAATGCGTTGGAAAAGCACAACGCAGCTCTTAGAATTGAAAAAAAAAGTAGGTGAACCAGCCTCAGGCAGGAATCAGAGAGCAAGTCAGAACCAATATCAGAAAAAGGAAGTTCTGCTTTTCATGTGGCTATTGTCCTGTCAGTCATGACCGCTGGCCACTGCCAGCAAAGCATGCACAGGCATTTTCTGGAATGCTGCTGGGCTCTGCTTTAGCTTGTCACTTCCCACTTTACCATTGGATTCAAAAAATCTATCCATCTGACAGGAATAATTTCAGACTCTCTGCCTACTTCTTACCTTGCAAGGTTAAAAATGCAAGGAATGAGTGGCTATTCTTGGGTCTCTGGTTTACATTTTAGCCTCCAGTTGGTGGGAAGAGAAAAATCTACTCACAAACAGCTTCAAAACGGAAAGGTCCTATATTGGCATTCCTACATAAAAGAAAGTACTGGGGGGCTTGACAAATGGACATTTGTCTTCAAAGAACACATATTCTCCTTTAGACAAAGTTTGCACTTATATAGCACAATTAACCTACTTCTTATCAATCAATAAAACGAAGAGACAATTACAGAACAGGATAAGGTGTTTGCAAACTATGTATTCAACAAGGTTTGATATCCAGAATATATAAGGAACTCAAAAAACTCAATAGCAAAAGAAAAAGTTGATTAAAAAATGGACAAAAGAAGACATACAAATGGCCAAACAATATATAAAGAAATGCTCAACATCATTAAGCCTCAGAAAAATGCAAAACAAAACCGCAATGAGCTATTACCTTATCCCAGTTTAAATGATGGATATTATCAAGAAGACAAAATATAACAAATGGAAACGATAATGTGGAGAAAGAGGAATGTTATACACTGTTGGTGGGAATTTAAAATAGTATAGCTGTTATGAAAAGCAGTATGGAGTTTCCACAAAAAATAAAAAAGAGAACTATTATATTACCCAGCAATCCCACTACTGGGTACGTAATCAAAAAAAATGAAATTAGTATGTCAAAGAGACATCTGCACCCAGGGATATTGAAGCATCATTCAAAATAGCTGTGATATGGAATCTGCCTAAATGCTCATCTAACAACAAATGGATAAAGAAAATGTGGTGTATAAATGTATATCTATTTATCTATCTATCTATCTATCTATCTATCTATCTATCTATCTATCATCTATCTATTTATCATCTATCTATCCACCCCTCCAGAACAATATTCAGCCATAAAATGCTGTGATTTTTAGCAATGTGGATGAAGTTGGAGGACACTTTGTTAAGTGAAATAAGCCAGGCACAGAAAGACAAGCACTGCATGATCAAATTCTTATCTGGAGTTTTAAGGATATGGAGAAAGATGTTAGGTTTTTTCCTTGTGTGAACAATATTTAAAATTATTATATTTGGAGAGATAACTAGAATACTTCTGCCAACTTAACTATGACCCATTGAATTGCTCTGAATTATAAATCAGATACTCTGAATTAGCACTTCACTACCATTTTTAAATCTACAGCATTTATATAAATTAATAACTGCTGTAGAGCATACTACTCATGGCTGAAAAAAGTGACCTGATGATTCGAGCTATCTAAGACCCACCTGATGTCTGACAGCACTAAGGATCAAGCTATCACCTCTCCCTTAACACATCTTTCACACCAGTGTGCTAGAGCAGATAGCTGAAAAGTTTTCCCTAAGCCAGAGATCATTCTGACAAGGCATGTGGAACAATGGAGATGTCAACATGCTTTCAAGACAAGTAACAGTAATCCTGGCTCTTAACTTGCTTTAATAATAATGAATTCTTTTATCAAGTCCTGAGGAATGAGGGCTTCCAGGTGCCGTATTTCCAGGTGCTTATCAGAATTTTTCTTCGCTGATAAGAACAATTGTTGCAGCATGCTTTACTAATCATATACAGAAAGACAAGAAATTTATATTCTAATAATAGAACACAAGTCCATCTCTTGCATCTGATTTAGCCAGATTAAGTCACCTTTCCACCAATATCAATCTGGAAGTGATATCATGAACTAAATGGTGTCAACCTGGGGTTTGTATTATATCTCGACAAAGGAAAAGAAGTTGCCATCATTGGCAAGGTACATACAGGATACATCTCTGTTTCGGCAGATGGGATGAGATTTCCCTGATTCTCCTACACTGCAGAGGGTAGAGGGAGGTATTTATATAATACACAGAATTTTAATTGAAGAAGCAAAGAGGAATGGATTAATGGGATTAATAGTGTTTATCCAATACAAGATGAAAAACAACATATTATTGTTTGTATCATGATGGTTCTAGAATAAAACACATCATTTCTCTAATTTTAGTTAGATCTTTGCTGAAAGAAAAAGATGAATAAAATACCCTACAGTTTATCCATATCCATGTTCCTCTACACTAAATATTCATCTTTGATTAGTTATTTTTAACTATATTTGATTTCTTTATAAATTACCTTTTGAAACTTTAAACACATAAAGACATTGTTTCCCCTTAAAAGATTTTTCTTTTCCTTTCTTTTGTTTTTTTAATCTAAAACTTACTTTCAAAAACAATGACTTTCATAAACTTGCAACTTGTTAAATATAGTATTTTTATTAACATTCTAGTTTGTAACACAAGGCAAAACCTAAACACTTACCATTTATAAATAATGGGTAATACTGTTTCAACTTAACCTTGAGAATGTAGAAAAAAAATTGAGTCCAGTCTGATAGCAACCAAAAGATCTCAGAAACAGTAATCTTAGTGCTCGCCTGGCAGACACAATCTGCACAGAACTTAATCAAAATAAGATTAAAAGTCCATAGCAATTTCCTTGAGTGGCCAGTCAGATATCCCCCATTACAGTCACCAACCAGCCTGCCCCTGGGGCCTATTTCAGAAATAAATTGGTTTGTAGATGAGCTGATGCAGAAGAAGGAAAAAAAAATGTTTTCTTGAGACTGTACCTAAATCTTATCAAGTAATACAGGGAAGCTTCAAAGTCTTTTTATTCTGAAATGTTATTTTATTCTGCTTTATATCATCTTAAATTTATTAGTATTATATTAAATATTAGTTTATGTAAGCTTATTATTTGACTCTGTATAGGATATAATAGATGGCATTGAATATTTAATAAGATAGCAACAGCAATAACACCTGGGAAATTGTTCAGGGAAGGATTCTATTCAGTTATTAAAAGATTTGCATACTTATTTCACTAATATTACTAGCAATCACAAGCATTGGGTAATGCTAGACAAATCTGCAAGAGGTACTGTTATTCCAGCACCTTAAAAACATTTTTCAATCTGAAAGATACTTCTAGATGTTTTTTTCCATAACAGAGCAGATGATTTCTAAGTGTTTATATCACTGAAACTTCACAGTATTAGTGGAATATGTTATCCTTTATACCAAAAGTAATCAGATTATTTTATAAAGCAATTATCAATTAAAAGTAGATTACTAAGAACATACTGTATAAAATGCCTTATGGGCTATTAATTCTGCATGCATTGCCACATTTGATTGTCTCAAAAAACCTCCTGAAATATGTATTCTTAACACACTTTTACTGAGAACATTATGAGTAATAAAAGTTGAAAGATTTTCCCAAAGATGTACAAGTAAAACAGGTCCTCAAATAAAGTTGTTTTATTCAACGTTGTTTTGCTATAATGTAGATGAGAATAAATATTGATTCCTGGACAGGGCTACCATCTGTGTAGGGTCTGCATGTTCTCCCCATGCCTGCATGGGTTTTCTCCAGGAAGTCCTGCTTCCTCTCACATCCCCAAGATGTGCATGTCTGGTTAATTGGCATTTCCCCACTGTGTGTCCCAATGTGAGTGAATGTGGTTGTGCCCTGCCATGGAATAGCATCCTGTGCAGGGTTTATTCCTGCATTGCATGCTGAGTAAGAATAGGTTCTTGCCACCCGAGACTCTGAACTGGAATAATTGGGTAAATAATCATCTTACTTGTTTTTATTAATCTTTTTAAAAATGTATGTATACCTCACACTTATTTCAGTGTTGAATGTTATAAGTGTTTTAGTCTCCATTTAGAAGTACAGTGATAATATTGTGACCAGAAATATGCAGTAGGAACTTATATCTTGTTGTATCAATTGGCCTATGGTAAAATTTGTTTCATTGTTCACCATTTTGCTGATAGTTGCAGTTTCCAATAATCTACTGATATTAAATGTGGACTTACTATGTAAACAATAGCAAGGATCCTAAATCCTAGGTCATATCTAAGTTTAAATGGCTTGACACCAAGTCAGAATTGCCTTATGACCATGCTCTTATAAGTGTTTCATTTTTTAAAACAGTGCAAACTGAATTTTGCATGAGAATTATCATTAAAAAAATTTTTGTTACAGATAGGATCTTGCTATGTTGCCCAGGTTGACCTTCAAGTTCTGGGTTCAAATGATCCTTTTGCCTCAGCATCCAGTGTACCTGGGACTACAACTGTGTGCCACCATACCCAGGGCTGCAGGAAAAGTTGTGATTTCATAAAGCAGTGATTTATGAAAATAAGACTTTATTTGGGCAACATAGAAAATGTAAACAAAAAGAGTTGCTCAACATAAAACTTACTCAAGTCACAATTTACCTCTGACATGACATATTTCCATCCACTTCAGAAAAAAAAGTGTATACCTTTTTATTTCTTTTTTTTTTTCCTTTTTTTTTTTTTTAGACGGGCTGGAGTGCAGTCACAGCTCACTGCACCTTTGAGCTCCTGGGCTAAAGTAATCTTCCTTTCTCAGCCTCCTGAGTAGTTAGAACTAAGACATGCACCACCATGTCTGGCTAATTTTTAACACTTTTTTGTGGAGATGGAGTCTCGCTATGTTGCCCAGGCTGGTCTTGAACTTCTGGCCACATGCTATCCTCTCACCTCGACCCCCTAAAGTACTTGGATTATCGGCTCAAGTACTTAGATGTATTAACCAGGATCACAGAGAGCTTGATTTTGTAAGTTTGAGTTAGCATGTAATAACTGCAGTTGATTTTGATGCATGTATTTAATGAGAATCATTGCTTTAGACTATATGATATTTGAAACAAAAGAGCAATAGGACTGCATGGCACAATATAAAGTCTGTTATGACATAGTGACTTTAATATATTTTAATTAAAATTATAATAGTAAAAGCTAAAAATGACAAGACAATTGTTAGAAATCATATCACGACAGCATAATCATGTATCCACAAGTGATTGATACAATAACATGAACTGACATTTTGCTGCAATATTAATCAGTTAATACAGGTTTTTAGGTTTCAGTTAACTGGTTAATCATAAAATATTATATAAAATATTATCAAATTGTGTAAGTCATCTCACTGTATTCTAAAATTTATGTTATTTTATATTTCTAATCTATGTTTTGCAGAGATCATGAAAATTTTACTGGGTAACTGAAGAAGAATTGTCCCAAGGACTTGGATAAATGTTAATGTTCATAACAGTATGTTCTAAAAAGAAATTTAAGTAAAAAAGGAAAAAACATATTTCATTTTAAAAATATCTACCCATGCACATCATTCATCTAAAAAACCCATTTAATATAATCATCTAGTTATGTAAAGATATACCCAATAGCTACTTAAAATAGAAATATTCTATTTCATTATTAGAAATTATTATTTTAAAAGGTTGTTAAAACATCAAAAATATGCTTATTTCTAGTAACCAGAGAACACAGCAGGGTTATGAAACTTTGGATTCCTGTTTGATTTGGCAGGTAACTAGATTAACAAAAATACAAGGTTTTGAGTTTCAAAACAGAACAGCATATTTAAAAAATACTTGGTGGGTGTCTGGCAATTGAGAGACCTTAGTAGCACAATCATTGGTCTTCACAATCACTGCCAGGTACTCTTTCAAACTAGCTTGAATAACTGCAAAACACATTATCAACCCAGCTTCTTTTTGCTGGACCTGGGCATATATAAACTGATTAGATTTAAAAATAAAAAAAATAGAGTTTTTTCAGTTGTGTTTGAAGAGGTGAATCCTTGGACTCAAAATCTCTCAAAAGTCCTGTCTTTCACTTCAGAATCTGCATTAATTTGCACAGGAATATACTTCTGTGTTTTAATAAACACATGCAATTTTTCTGTTTTCATCTTGCAAGTAATGACAGCTTTGTTCTCAAACCAATTTTGTTTTTTGTAGATTTTACCCTGATATATAATGAAGAGACAATTGCATGATCTGTGTAGAAATTCTTCCTCTAAACTAAATTATACTACCTTAGAAATCTGACATGAAAGTACCAAAACTATGTAAATTGACCTCACCAAGAAAATTATTACATAAAACAGTGATTCATGGAAATAAGACTTGATTTGGGCAACATAGAAAGTATTAAAACTAAAAAGGAGTTGCTTGAGATAAAATTTACCCAAGTGACAATTTTACCTGTGACAAACATATTTCCATCCACTGCAGAAACAAATGTGTTTAGTTTATTAAAGTATATGTTTAACAGCAAAAAATAAATAGAATAAATTTATTATCCCTATCCAGTGATAAACACAATTTTAAAATAAAAATAAAAACATCCTGCTTATATTTGCTATACTATTTCATGCATTAGGCTAAGATATATGGTTATTTCCATGCTTTCAGGATGTGTTTAACAAATCTCTTATACATTTTCCTATTGTTGTCATTTTAATATCTTGAATATAATATTAAATAAACATTTCTACAAATAATTTGAAACTCAAAGTTTCATAAACATCTATCCTTCAATATTTAGGCCTAAAAAGTAATCTCCATTATCTATCAAATTCTAAATTTGAACTTACTATGGTTTACTCCTACTTTTTAATTATTACTTTGGTTAAAGATACTTCATGATATTATTAAGTTCCTTACTAATAATGTATATGGTTGTATTACATTCATTTATCCATCAAGACTAACTTTGAGCTACTATGAAATATAATTCAAATCATTCACATAATATCTAATGAATGATTACTATAATACAAAGCACTATACTAGGTTTCATAAGTGATACAAAAACAAGTGCAACCGCCTCAGTAACCAACACATTTGCAGTCTAATAGAGGAAAACAAGCCCTGTTATAAGAATAATTATAGTAAAAGGCTATATAAAATACAATCCATTTTGAGACACACCTTCAACTCTATTTGCTAATTCTCATTTTCACTCTTTAGTTTATTTTTAGATTAAATAGTTATTTTCACAAATCAGTCTCAGGACAGAGTTTTTTGTTTTGTTTTGTTTTGTTTTGTTTTGTTTTTGTGAATCATCAGCACTATGCAATTGCATATACCTGTTGTGTTTAGTCTACAAAGGCTGAACATCATGTAATAGTTTTTATGCATTTTGTTCATAGGTTACTGGGTGCTTTAAGGCAAAACTGAATGAGTTTCCAATAGTCAGTACAAAACTACAAGAAATACAGGCACAAAGTGCCTGGGGTTATCCTCAGATGAAGTTAGATTTGAATTGCATTCAATAACCTTTTTTACAATGTGTAGATGCTCAAAGCAAATACAATAGTTTCTCTTTGCCTCTGTGACTTGAGTTCATAGTGTTGTGTTTAAATATAACTTTTGTAATGTCTACTTCACTGAAGAAACTTTTAAAAAATTTGACTTATAATGGTTTTCTGTAATAACCTATGGTGCTTGGTTTGTAAAGTAAAACAGGAACTCAATTTAGTACCTACTGAATAATAACATTTTTTAACTGAGATTCCACTCATAAGGCACCTAAATTTTTAAAGTTAAAACATATTATATTGACATTAAATTTAAAAAGAATAAACAAGTTAGAGAAGAAATAAAAAAAAATCTTCAGAGAATAAACTGCTTCCAAGTATACAAGTACTAAAGAGGCTACACACTGGTATGCTCATTATAAATAAAAACATTCATTCATGTAATTTTATCTCATTACTACATATTTAAAATAATCTCTTATCATTATAGTAGGCCATCATTTTCCAAATAGCATCAAGAATCCTTATTTTGAAATAGTAATCAGATCATGTAGTTCTCCTGATCAGATCTCTTCACACTCTAGAATAAGATGCATACCTTCATTTTAGCTTTTAGACTTTTTTCTGATCTAGCTCTAGATTATTGTTTGATCTCATTTTTACTATTCTTCTCATTGCTCATTCAATTCAATTTCAAGCATAATGATTTTTTGCTCTTTTTGGAATACACTAGCTTTTTGATTTCATTAGAGCCTGTACACTTCCCTCTTGCTGAAATGTTCTTCCCCAAATTTATGTATAGCTTATTTTCTCTCTTTGTTCAGGGCTCAGTGTAATTGTAGATTGTTCTCTACCTTGAATATGTCTTACCCCTCATTTGACTGGTTTTCCTTCATACCAATTATTTGTATTCTAAAATATTTTATATTTTTCTGTTGACTTGTTCACTGAGTTCCTTCCTCTAAAATGTAGCTTCATGAGGTCGATATTTTGTTAAAATTGTATGCTACTGTATCACTAGAACTGAGAACAATGCCTGAACAGAGTAGCTACTCATGACTCATTGGCTAAAACAAGTTAATGAATGAGAACAGGCAGGTAGAAAGCCAGGAAGGAAAAGAGGATATTATATTAAGTTGAATGAGGGATTAAATGAATATAAATAAGCTGAAAGTAGCATAGGTTATGCAATATGCTTAACAAAGTATGTTTGTCTATTTTCGTTATGTAATCCAAAACCTGGCCGACCACAAAACTTGCTTTTTATTCACTTTCTCTTTCTTCCCTGTTTAGTGCAGCATAAAATTAGTTATCGATTTTATCTCTTAACGCTCCACCTCTATTAGTGAAAGGATCTTCTCTTATCATATTTCCAGTCCAAAGTTCAGTGGAAACTTTTTACACTCTTACAGTCTATTTGAAATCCTTATATCATAAACATACCAGCACTTATCCCAGCACTATTCACAGTAGCAAAGATACTGAATCAACCTAAGTGTCCACCAATAGATGATTTGATAAAGAAAATGTGAGATGGTACCATCTCACTCCAGTTAGAATGGAGATCACTAAAAAGTCAGAAAACAACAGATACTGGAGAGAATGTGGAGCAATAGGAATGCTTTTACACTGTTGGTGGGAGTGTAAATTAGTTTAACCATTGTGGAAGACAGTGTGGAAATTTTTCAGGGATCTAGAACTAGAAAGACCTTTTGACCCAGCAATCCCATTACTGGGTATATACCCAAAGGATTATAAATCATCCTACTCTGAAGACACATGCACACATATGTTTACTGCAGCACTGTTCACAATAGCAAAGACTTGGAACCAACCCAAATGCCCACCAACGATAGACTGGATAAAGAAAATGTGGCACATATGCATCATGGAATACTATGCAGCCATAAAAAATGATGAGTTCATGTCCTTTGCAGGGACATGAATGAAATTGGCAAACATCATTCTCAGCAAGCTAACACAAGAACAGAAAACCAAACACTGCATGCTCTCACTCATAAGTGGGAGCTGAACAATGAGAATACATGGACACAAGGAGGGGAACATCACACTCCACAGCCTGTCAGAGGGTAAGGGGCTAGGGGAGGGATAGCATTTAGAGAAAGACCTAATGTAGATGACAGGTTGATGAGTGCAGCAAACCACTATGGCACGTGTATACCTACATAACAAACCTGCAAGTTCTGCACATGTACCCCAGAACTTAAAGTATAATAAAAAAGATTTCCACCTAAAGATAAGAAGATATGATGATATACACAGTGGAATACAATTCAGCCTTTAAAAATAATATACTCATGAAACATGTATTTTGGAGCAGTTTGGATGGAACTGGAGGACATTATCTTAGATGAAAGTCAGACACAGAAAGACAGATACTGCATGTTCTCATTTATCAATGGGAGGTAATTAATGCATTCACATGGACATAGAGTGTGCAATGATAGAGACTTGGACATGAAGACTTGGAAGAGTTGGGGGAGAGTGAGAGGGGAGTAAATGATAAGAAATTACTTAATAAGTACAAGGTATGCTTTTTAGGTGATGAATATGCTGAACATCCTGACTTCACTATGCAACCTATGGATGTAACAAAATTACAGTTGCACTCCATAAATTTATAGAAATAAAATAAAATAAATTACATTTTAATAGAGACACTATCAGAGAAATACACCAAAATGACTGGACTGAATTGGAAATGGAAAATGTAGAAATCTCATTTTCTCTTCAGAGACTATTGCAAATTTGTATGTATGTAATACACTAATCACATAAGATGCCAGTTTTAAGTACATATTTTCCTCCACTGTGTAGATTTGTTTCAATACGGAAAAATTTCAGAACATACGTAATCAATACAAAGCCATTCTCAGTAATTTATTTTCATTCCATGCCATGTTACTTAGGTTTACATTTACTACCTTAGAAAACATTATGTACAAAAGCTTTTCTTTCTTATAGTGAATTAAATCTCCAACTGCTTTTGTTTCTATTTTAAGAAAGTAAATATTATGACATAAATGTTTGCAATGTTTTTGTTTAAATAAAGTATTTCTAGATTTCTCTTAATTCATAGTTACGTTTGTTTCTTTATTGATGTTCAAACACAGACTTTTAAAAATTCATATTTTTTTCAAAATGTGTAACTATTTACTTCCTAGTTCAATTTAAAAAGCATTTACCATAAAAATGGCAGTATCTTTTTGTACAGATGCTACCTCTGAATCAAAGCCTCTCAGCAACTGGCAAACAGGAAGCTCTAATGCACTTTAACCCTAATAGTTATAAAATATGCAATCATCTGAAATCACATACTGATTTCCACTTCTTTTCTAACTACGGTTATATGTAAATATTTCACTTTCAATAATAGATCTTTGCCTGTTTATTTAGTTTTTTTTTTTCCCTTGGCTTAGAAATAGTTTTTATGAAATATTCAAATACAAACATAGTCTCTAAAAGCAAAGTATGGTTCTTTGACAGCCAAAACACTTTCCCCTAAGCATTTCATTAGTTATATAAGTGATAAATGTTTTTCTGAATGGGAATTTACCTAAAGTGTTTCAAAATTAGGTGACCATTTGTGCTTTCCAAACCATACAGAACTTTATATTTATTCCTGGGTAAATCACCCATTTCCTTGTTCATCAAGATCAGGTGAAATGATATCCATGTGAGATAATTAATTCCTCTGCTATCTATTTTATTATACTTAGTTATTCATCTAAAATAAATATCTACTATAACAAGTAAAATATATAATAGTGTAGAAGACAACAAGAGTATGTGTTTGCAGTATGTGTAATAGAGTTAAATATATCTAAATATAGTATATCTGTACTAAGGCAATGAACATCAATTTTAGCTAATCACCCTCATTAAAGCAAAGGGCACTACCATATGTGACATAGTTGTCATTGACAGTCTGTTAAATCTTGTAGCTGAGGTAACGGACAGGGAAGAGTTTGTGATAGTGAAATTTGTAGAACTAAGATCAAATTACCAAACACGTAGGCATTATTAAACAAATTCTCACCAATTACTTCAAAAATATTGTAACTTCTATTTAATATTTCTTGTTTTTAATCTTAAAAACTCTAAATTGAGTAGAATTTGAAATAGCAGTAAATTTCAGGTTAATGGAAATACAATCACACTTGTTATTATTGTTCAATTTTTTTTATTAAGTCTGAAGAAATATTTACTTGAATATGACATCTAAGAATGATGGACAAAAGTTTTTTAAATTTTCTTTCCACTCCTTTTTCTGAAAGCTTTGATACAAAAATCATTTGACACAAATGATTTTTTTTTTTGTGTGACAGGATCTTACTATGTTGCCCAGGCTGAAGTGCAGTGTGCTCATGCAATCCTCCCATCTCAGCCTCCTGAGTAACTGGGACTACAGGCACATGCCGCCATGCCCAGCTAATTTTTGTATCTTTAGTAGAAACAAGGTTTTGCCACATTGCCCAGGCTGGTCTCCAACTCGTGGGCTGAAGTGATCTGCCCACCTTGGCCTCCCAGTGTTCTGGGATTACAGGAGTGAGCCACTGTACCCGGCTGATGCAAATGATTTCTATTATTAATATCTTGCAGTTATTCTTCCATTGGATAACCATCAATGTCAAAATAAAGATTATTAGTTACTGAAGGACTGAAAAATCAAAAATCAACTTCATGAGATGCTTTACAAACAAGTGTTCTCTTTTAATATTTGACTCAGTAAAAGTTTTTAAGAAAAGTTAAGTTTGTGTTTTTATTTGTGTATACTCTCTAGTGCTTAAATGTATCAGGATAGAACTTTTCTAAACTAGGTCAGTCTTTTTTCCATATCTATGGTTGAATACTTCAGTTAAATAAAGCAATGGTAGATAGCAAACTATGTTATAATTGGCATTTTGGGCACTTGTTGCAATTAATTGCCAAAAAAAGCATATCTCACCACAATTGATCTCTCATTTTTCCACTCTCATTTATTTCCCTTCACTTTCTTCTTGGCTTCTGCAAAAGCATTTGTTTTTCCTTTTTCTTTCTTCTTTAAAAAAATATATTTGAAGAGATTTATTCTAAGCCAAATATGAGTAACCATGGCCAGTGACACAGCACTCAGGAGGTCCTGAGAACATGTGCCCAAGGTGGTTGGGATGCAGCTTGCTTTTATACATTTTAGAGAGGCATGAGACATCAATTAACTACACTTAAGAAATACATCAGTTTGATCCAGAAAGGTGGGACAACTCAAAGCAGAGGGAGTGGGGGTGGGAGGGGTTGGGGCTGGCAGGGGGGTTGGGGGATGGGAGGGTATTGGGGTTTGGGGGTTGGTTCCAGGCTATAGGTGAATTTAAACATTTTCTGGTTGATAATTGGTTGAGTTTGATTCAAGACCTGGGAATGATAGAAAGGGAATGTTCAGGTTAAGATAAAAGACTGTGGAGACCAAGGTTCTTTTGAAGTCTTACAGTGGCTGCCCTTAGAGACAATAAATGACAAGTGTTTCCTATTCAGATCTTTAAAAGGTACTAGACTTTTAGTTAATCTCTTTAGAACTGCGAGGGCCATTTTTTCATATTATAATTTATCTCCTTCATGTCTGTAACAAAGATAGGAATCGCTATAAAGTGTCTTCCCAGTTTCTGCCTAACCACATCCCTGGATTTCCTGGCTCCTGGCTTGGCATATGTTTGGGGTTAGCCTTCTCCCACTGCTAATTTGTATGCCATAAGATGGTTGTTTTGTTCCTCAGTACATTTATGTCAGATATAATTGTTACTGTAGTAAACAACTATTGTGTAAAAAAATGATAAGTGAGTGTGAAAGTAAAAAAACAAATCAGAAAATGAAGCAGAATGTAAATAAATGATAAAGACAAGTTCTGAAAAAATATCAAATTGGATTGAGGAGTCAGACACCTGTAAGAGGTTTATTTGAGGGGCTAAGCGTGCTGGTATTTACACACATATTACTTCTTGTGTCTCTTCAATTTATTGGTTCATTTCAAAAAACCAAAGCTAAAAATCATAAAATATTCATTATGTAAAAAGAAACAAAGTTCAATGAATCCATACATACATACCGAAGACCTTTGTCGGATAGTTGACAAGTATATTTGCATATATGTTTTCCAAGGTAAAAGAAAATTTGTGGCTGGGCACGGCAACTCATGCCTGCAATCCCAGCATTTCGGGAGGCCAAGGCCGGTGGATCAGCTGAAGTCAGGCATCCAAGACCAGCCTGGCCAACACGGTGAAACCCCATCTCTGCTAAAAATACAAAAAAATAGCTGGGCATGGTGGCTGGCACCTGTAATCCCAGCTACTTGGGAGGCCGAGGCAGGAGAATTGCTTGAACCCGGGAGGCAGAGTTTGCAGTAAGCTGAGATCAAGCCACTGCACTACAGCCTGGGCAACAAGAGTGAAACTCTGTCTCAAAAAAAAAAAAAAAAAAAAAAAAAAAAAAAAAAAAAAAGAAAGAAAAAGAAAAAAGAAAATTTGTAGGATATGGATAAGTAATTTATTTTAGAAGAATTTTTTTTTTGTAGAATGATTTGTGCTAAAGCAATACATCTCTTTCTATCATATACTGATATCTTGAAAACTTTTATAACGTTTCTTGTCACATTCAGTATTTTAAAAATAGGATTGATTCTAAGTTTTGAGTTTATGGTGTATTTGAATATTAGAGATATTATCTCTTATACATTTCAAAGCTTTGCTGCATTCTAAACTCAGCCCTGCCTTAGCCTTAGTAATGGCAATGAAGTGCGGGGATAGAATGTTCACTATTTTTTTATGTGCTGTTAAAATTTCATACCTCCTGTTCTATCTTGAAGTCTTACAGTTTTGGAATGGTGAGTGGGGGAAACAAGCATAAAACTATTACATAATTCATGCAGTTTTCACTGGGCAACAGTATCCTCTGAATGGTGAAATGGCTACTTTTCATTTATTTATTTTTTTCTCTCCTGGGGTAAAACACTTGAAAACTGCACCACTGGGAAATTGCAGCTATAGTCCATGTTTCAACATAGTCCATGCTTCTTTGAGTTGGCCACTTACTGTTTACTCTCATCTCCTTAGGTTTAGCAGTAAAGACCTGTAAGATTTCTTCTGTTAGGATCATCTAGCCATTCCAAACATTTCTCTTAGATTTGATTCTTTCAAGACAAATCAACCCCATAACAATCTCATAAATAAAGGTGAGCTAGCTACCACATTTGGTGTTCTCATCTGACCAAACCAAATTTTATGTATACATTCAATTCTCAATCCAACCCAGTCTGTTTGCCTAAGCCATTCCAGACAAACTTCCACTTTGAAGGTTTTAAATGCATAAGTCAGATAGCAATCCTTCAGTTGCCCCAGAGGCACATCACGTTCTTTGAATGCTTCAGTATAGTCCTCTTCATTTAGCAATCAGTGAGGCAATACACTGGCATCATGATCCCTTTTTTTAGGAACTCTGTACAAAATTCCCTTTGAAAATATAAATTTTGGAAATGAGTGATGAGCAAAGGGGTTTCATTAACATTATCACAATCTCTTGATATATCTGCTTGATAATGTAGCACCTATTATTTGGGGCCATTAGGACCTTGGCAGAAATTCTGGTAAATGTAAAGAAACCACATTTAACATCCAGTTAATTTAGTTTGTTTGTTTGTTTTGTTTTTGTTTTTGTTTTTGAGACGTTGTCTTACTCTGTCACCCAGGCTAGAGTGCGGTGGTGTGATCTCGACTCACTGCAACCTCCACCTCCACCTTCTGGGTTCAAGCAATTATCTTCCTCAGCCTGGGATTACAGGAACCCACCACCATGCCCACCTAATTTTGTATTTTTAGTAAAGACGGGGTTTCACCGTCTTGGTCAGGCTAGTCTTGAATGCCTGACCTCGTGATCCACCTGCCTCGACCTCCCAAAGTGCTGGAACTACAGGCATGAGCCACCTTGCCTGGCCTCAATATTGTTTTTAATAATTTCTGCTTTACTTGCAGTTAATCATATCAGGCCGTCTACCATACCCAGTTGTGTCAGCAAGAAGATCTGTACAATGATAAGTAACACATGGCTCCCAGGGCTAACATATTCCTAACACTTATATAAACACTTTTTCAGAAATTTGACAATATTTTATAATTAAACAATATCTTATTTTACAAGAAAAGATATGGTATCACAATACTCTGAGCAAAGAGTTAATTTGCTTCTCAAATTTCCTAGATAATGAAGTAGTCCTAAAATATTTAACTCAGTATTGGTAATAGTTTCAATTTGAGGAAGTGTTCTGAATAGCCTTTTTAATGCTGATGTCATAAGATTGTGTTACAAACACAGACTTTCATTTAAAGACACTTTATGTTTAATTTTGTTCTAAAAAATAAAATTATATATAAATACACATGTATCCTAAACTATATATGTATAATATACATATATGTATATATATACACAGAGAGAGAGAGAGAGAAGGAGAGAGAAACAGAGACAAAGAGAGCCATAAATCCTGAATTTGTTGTTGTCAATGGTGTTTGATAGCATCACTTTGTAACTCAATAGGATGTATCTGCACAAAGCTAAAATTAATTTATTTTTGCCATACAAGGCAAGTGTATCTTGTTGACATCTATAGAGAAAATAAATCACCCTCTAAAGAACTGTTTATAAATAAATAATTGATATCTGAAAATTCAGAAAAAGTACCACTATCATTTTACTTACCATATTGCATTGAAATTATATGTTTATGCTTCTCTTGCTTCTACCTCTCTGTGAATTCAAGGTTAGAAAAGGAGAAATTTTTATCTTAGCATTCCCAGGACCAATCACAATATCTAATACTTAGAGCGTGCAATGTTGGTTGAACTGAAATAAATCTGATATAAAAACAAATAATGCTTTAGGGAAGTGATTTTTCATTTGAGATTATTTTCTCAGAAAAATTAATATGACCAGGTTTTCATCCTATGCAAACATTAGTATGCCTTATTGATTTTTCACTAAGTTATATAGCTTATATTATAAGACTTTTTTATGGGTGTCTCTACCTACAGATTCCAGGCACTAACAAACCTGTAGAAATTCATAAATTTAATGCATTTTATCAAGTTGATTAATATAGCATGAACATTTTTGAACTGGCTTCACGAATCATTTATTGTTAAATGTTATTCTTATACCTGTATTAGAGAGAAAAAAGCCAGAGGTGGCAAGGTGATATACAGATCAACTGGAAATCCACAAGTTTTGGTTTGGAACTCTTTGGAAAATTGAATAAAGAGTCACACCTTGCTCAAAACTGAATTAGTAAAAGCGATGCACATATCAATAAACAAACTTCTCTAATAAAAAAAAGCATTAAAAATATAGTCAGCATATATTTTTCTGGAATATAAAATTGAGGAACTAGAATAATTCAACTTGAATAAGTGTAACTAATTCATTTTCTGCAAAATATTACCCACAGTTTGAGTATTTTTCTATTTATTCTATCGGAAAAAAATGATATACCACTGTACTGGAAATATTCAGAAAAGTTTGTCTATTTTTTAAAATTGTACTTATTATACCTTTATAACCGTGAGATAATATATTTATTATTTGAATGAGAATTAAATGTTTATGATTTATACAAAAATGCCTGACACAGACTACTATGCCCACAAAAGTTGAATGGTTGTTTTTAGCTTATATATACCTATACGGGTTAATAGATATATCTTTACTTCTTTTTTCTTTTTTTTTTGAGACGGAGTCTCACTCTGCAGCCCAGGTTGGAGTGCAGTGACATGATCTCGGCTCACTGCAAGCTCTGCCTCCCAAGTTCACGCTGTCCTCCTACCTCAGCCTCCTGAATAGCTGGGACTACAGGTGCCCGCCACCACGCCCGTCTTATTTTTTGTATTTTTAGTAGCGATAGGGTTTCACCGTGTTAGCCAGGATGGTCTCAATCTCTTGACATTGTGATCCGCCTGCCTCAGCCTTCCAAAGTGCTGGGATTATAGGCGCGAGCCACCGCACCCGGCCAATATATCTTTACTTCTTATAAGAAATGAGTAACTTTATTAATTCTACCAACAGATAACATTCTTCCTCTCAGAGATTAATATGCAATCATTTCCTAACCTTATTTTATTGCGCTATATTTTAAATATAATAAACGTGTCAAAAATGTGGTTTCATACTTTTTATAAATTGATATATTTAGCTAATTACACTAAATCTAGAAAATACTATTGTGCTTATTCAAACTTCTCTTCTCTTCTTCAGAGGCAAACCTGTATAATTTCTTTGGTTTGTTTGTTTGTTTTAAGACGTAGTCTTACTCTGTTACCCAGGCTAGAGTGCAGTGGTACAATGTGAGGTCACTGCAACCTCCGCCTCCCGGGTTCAAGCGATTCTCCGGCTTCAGCATCCCAAATAACTCAGATTAAACCCTTATAATTTCTATCATGATTGATTAATTTTGTTCATCTTCAAATTCCAATAATTAGAATTCCTACAGGATGTGTGTGTGAGTGTGTATCTGGTTTATTTTCTTTAGCATAAATAAATATTTGAGATTTAGCCAAATATTTGTGTGTATCATTTTTTTATTTTTCCTCATATTTCTGAGTTGCCTACGTATTTGTCAGAGTTTGCTTATTCATTAGTCTGTTAGTGAATATTCAGATTGCTTTCAGAATTAGCTTTTACAAATAAAGGACTTAGGTGCATTCTCAAACAGGTTTTTGTGTAAATATATGCTTTTATTTTTGTTGGATAAATTTCTAGAATTGAAATTGCTGTGCTATAGGGTAGATGTATGTTGGCCTTATTGAGAAGCGAATTATTTTTCAAAGCGGTTGTTCCACTTTTTTTTTTTTTGAGACACAGTCTTGCGCTGTCGTCTGGGCTGGAGTGCACTGGCGTGATCTGGGCTCACCGCAAGCTCCACTTCTCAGGTTCACGCCATTCTCCTGCCTCAGCTTCCTGATTAGTTGGGACTACAGGCGCCCGCCACCATACCCGGCTAATTTTTTTTTTTTTTTTTTGTATTTTTAGTAGAGACGGGGTTTCACCATGTTAGCCAGGATAGTCTCGATCTCATGACCCCGTGATCCGCCCGCCTCGGCCCCCCAAAGTGCTGGGATTACAGGCATGAGCCACCGCGCCCAGCCAGTTGTTCTATTTTACACTCTCACAAGAAATAGACACGACTTCTAGTTTCCCCACATATTTGCCAATATTAGTATTATCATTTTAAATGGTAGTCTTTCCAGTTTCGATGCATTTTGGTTGCATTTCCCCTTATCTAATAACACTGAGCATCTTTTCACATTCCTATAAGCCACTTGTATCTCTTGTTTTGTGAAATACCTGTTCAAGATTCTTATAACTATTTAGTGGATCTCAGGAGTACTCTGTGCGTTTTGAACACGCAATTTTTTTCTCATACATTTATCACAGTCTATGGCTTAAAATTATATTTTCTTACATTTTGCAGTTTTATTAGGATACATTTTTAATTAATATCTACAATTTATCAATTTTTACTCTTATGATAGTGCTTTCTCTGTTCAGAAATATTTTTCCTATTATAATAGCTCGCAGATATTGTTTAATTTTTTTCTTTTAAAAGCTTTCTGAATTTTGCTTTTTCATTTTTATGCCTACATTAAAAATATTGGACTAGTTTTGTGTATACAAAGGACTGATGCATGTATTTTTTTAATATGAGAATGCATTTATTTCAAAAGCCTTTGTTAAAGACTTACTTTCCCCACTGAATTATCTACATGCCCTTATAAACATTTAATTTACTGCATAGGTGGAGGTCTAATTTTGAACCCTTCTTTATCCTTATTATTTTTGTGTTATGATGCTTTGATACTGCAGCTTTCTTAGATGTCTGAAAATTGGCTCTATTTTTTTCTCAAAATTCTAGGTCCTGTGAATTTTCCAAACAAATTTTGGAAACAGCTTGTGAATTTCTCTCAAAATGTTTGCCACAATTTACTACAGAGTTGTAGTAAATAGATATAGAATTCATTGTAGTTAATAAATTACAAACTATAGATTGCATTGATGCTTTTTTTTTTTTTTTTTTTTTGAGACAGAATCTCACCTTGTCACCCAGGTTGGAGTGCAGTGGCACAATCTTGGCTCACTGCAACCTCAGCCTCCCAGATTCAAGCAATTATCCTGCCTCAGCCTCCTGAGTAGCTGGGACTACAGGCCCGTGCCACCATGCGTGGCTAATTTTTTTGTATTTTTTTTTAGTAGAGACAGGGTTTTATCATGTTAGCCAGTATAGTCTTGATCTCCTGACCTTGTGATCCGCCCACCTTGGCCTCCCAAAGTGCTGGGATTACAGGCATGAGCAACCGCGCCCAGCCGCTACTGCATTGATTCTAAAGATTAACTTCCAGAGAATTCACATCAATGTTGCATCTTCAAATCTATGAACATGGTAGATCTTTACATTTATTTAAGTCTTCTGTAATGTTTCTCTACAAGAAATTTTAAAAAGTTTTAGTGTGAAAGATTTTTAAAGGTTTCACTTAAATTATTCTTAACTATTTTTATACCATTAAAATTTTACTTTTAAATGTATTCTCAATTGTTTATTTCTAGTATTTAGAAATTCCATTAATTTTCCATATTGTATTTTGTGTATTGACCTTGCATTCTACACATTCTGCACCATTATTGAATTTGATTCTTATTATTCACAGCTTTTTAAATAAATATATTAGGATTTTCTTCATATACAATATACGTTCTGTGAATAAAAATATTTTTTCTTTTCACTTTTCAATTTTTATGCTTTTCATTTCTTAACCCCATGCAAGTCCAAAATCCAGAGGGGCAGCCAAATCTTAAAGCTCCAAAATGATCTCCTTTGACTCCATGTCTCACATCCTGATCATGCAGATGCAAGAGGTGGGTTCCCATGGTATTGGGCAGCTCTGCCCCTGTGGCTTTGCGGGATATAGCCTGCCTTCTGGCTGCTTTTGTGGGCTGGTGTTGAGTGTCTGTGGCTTTCCCAGGCACATGGTGTTGTTGGTGGATCTAACATTCTGAGGTCTGGAGGATGGTGGCCCTCTTCCCACAGGTCCACCAGGCGGTGCCCCAGTAGGGACTCTGTGTGGGGGCTCCCACCCAACATTTCCCTTCCTCACTGCCCTAGCAGAGGTTATCAATGAGGGCCCCATCTCTGCAGCAAACTTTTGCATGGGCATCCAGGTGTTTCCATATATCTTCTGAAATCTAAGCAGATGTTCCCAAACCTCAATTCTTGATTTCTGTGCATCCACAGGCTCAACACCACGTGGAAGCTGCCAAGGCTTGGGGCTTCCACCCTATGAAGCAACAGCTCAAGCTATACTTTGGTCCCTTTTAGTCACAGCTGGAGTGGCTGGGATGCAGGGCACCAACACCCTAACTGCACACAGCATGGGGACCCTGGGCCCAGCAAAACCATTTTATTCTAGGCCTCTGAGACTGTGATGGGAAGGGCTGCTGTGAAGACTTCTGACATGCCCAGGAGACATTTTCACCATTGTCTTGGGGATTGACATTCAGTTCCTCGTTACTTATGCAAATTTCTGCAGCCAGCTTAAATTTCTCCTCAGAAAACGGGTTTTTCTCTTCTATCACATTGTCAGGCTGCAAATTTTCTGAACTTTTATGCTCTGCTTGCCTTATAAAATGAATGCCTTTAAAAGCACCCAAGTCACTTCTTCAACGCTTTGCTGTTTAGAAATTTCTTCTGTCAGATACCCTAATTCTTCTGTCAAGTTCTAAGTTTCACTAATCTTTAGGGCACGGGCAAAATGCTGCCAGTCTCTTTGCTAAAACATAACAAGAGTCAACTTTGCTCTAGTTTCTAACAAGTTCCTCAACTCCATCTGAGACCACATCAGCCTGGATCTCATTGTTCACATCATTATCAGCGTTTTGGTCAAAGCCATTCAAAACGTCTCTAGGAAGTTCCAAACTTTCCTGCATTTTCCTGTCTTCTGCTGAGCCCTTCAAACTGTTCCAACCCCTGCCTGTTACGCAGTTCCAAAATTGCTTCTGCATTTTCAGGTATCTTTTCAGCAGCATCCCACTCTACTGATACCAGTTTACTGTATTAGTCTGTTTTAATGCTGCTGATAAAGACATACCCAAGACTGGGCAATTGACAAAAGAAAAAAGGTTTAATTGGACTTACAGTTTCATGTAGCTGGGGAAGCCTCACAATCATGGTGGAAGGCAAAGAGGAGCAAGTCGTATCTTACATGGATGGCAGCAGGCAAAGAGAGCTTGTGCAGGAAAACTCCCCCTTATAATAACCATCAGACCTCATGAGACTTACTCACTATCAGGAAAACAGCACAGGAAAAGCCTACCTCCATGATTCAATTACCTCCCACCAGGTTCCTCCCACAACGTATGGGAATTCAAGATGAGATTTGGGTGGGGACACAGCCAAACCACATCAATGAAGCTCTCTGTTGTATATGTTAATGCTGATAATGTTTTTTTGTTTTGTTTTTGAGATAGAGAAGGAGATCTTAGAGACAAAAAAGGGGAAGCTCCATTAAAATTGGTAAAGGAAGAAACATAATATGAAAGGAGGGAAATAATGAGGTAAAAGATGCAGAGACTGCTTTCCAGACAAAGTAAGAATGAACTTCACTTTGGAATAACAAAGCAGTGCTTGCTTGGCAAGGTGAGTCTTAGAATCTGACTAACATCAACAGGGCAGAGTCTCAGGTAATTAACAAAACCAGGAAGGAACAGGGAGCAGCAATGCTAAAACACAAGAAACCAGGTTACTTTGTCCTACTTCATAGTTGTTATTTTCCTAATCATTGGAGATAAGCTATGATTAACAGAAAAACTACCCATGTAAAATATTGTCACCCAACTTTTAAGAAAAACAAGAAAGAAGATACAAAACTTAGCAAACAGAATAAGTAATTTCAGAGAATCAGAATTAAGAAAAGAAACAAATGTAATTACAGTAAGTGTAATTCATATCTTCAGAGACATGCAAGAAGAGGTTACATTTTAGAAAATACTGATAATAGCTCTTGGATTAAAAACTCAACAGATGTTCTGAAGAGAACAATAGACATAGTTAAATATAGATCTAGCAAGTTTGAAGTTTAAAAGTTGAATAATTTTCTCTGAACCCAATGGCTAGGAAAAAATGAAGAAAGGTAAAGGGAGGTAAAGTGAAGATAAAGAATTGTTGACGTAAAGTTGTTTAAAATGCTAGAAAAAAAGGAAAGTAAACATAAAGATGGAAATAATTAAAGAACTAATTTAAATATTTTTTAGAACTAGAAATACTGTAGATTTGAGATTTAAAGTTTTCATAGAAGTATGAACTTATATTAATGGAGAAATTCTACTGACAGACATCTCTTGAAGAAGCAATGGGATACTAATGATTAGGACAGAATCATAAAGACTTCCAGAGTAGGAGGATAGAAAGGTAATTTTCAATGGAATAAGAAGTAGATAGAAAATTTATTCTTAAACATGTAGATGTTGTTAATAACTGGGACAAGACCATCAATGTCTGAAGAAATAAATGTTTTTACAAATAGTGTCCTATAAGTACCCAAATACGCATTTAATTTTGTGAACAAAGCAAAGGCAATTGTGCATATCTCCCAATTCCCAAGCATTTAAAAATCCAAAAATAAAATAATAAAATTAACAAACAGATTTTTAGAATTATATCTGGCAGGAGTTTGGATCAGTCATAGAGCGCAATAGCATACTTGAAAATAAGGACAATATGGCCATTTTAATGATATTGATTCTTCCTATCCATGAGCATAGAATGTTTTTTCATTTGTTTCATCCTCTCTGATATCTTTGGTGTTTTTAGTTCTTACAGAGATCTTTCACCTCACTAGTTAGTTGTATTCCTAGGTATTTGATTCTTTTTGCAGCAATTGTGAATCAGATTGCATTCCTGATTTGGCTCTCCGCTTGACTCTTGTTGGTGTATGGGAATGCGAGTAATTTTTGTATGTTCTTTTTGTATCCTGAGACTCTGCCAAAGGTGTTTTTCATCTTAAGGAGCTTTCGGGCCTTAAGCTTTTGGGCCTATAAAGTTTTCTACATATAGGATCATGTAATCCACAGACAGGGATAGTTTGACGTCCTTTCTTCCTATTTGGGTACCCTTTATTTCTTTCTCTTGCCTAACTGTTTTGGCAAGGACTTCCAATACTATGTTGAACAGGAGTGGTGAGAGAGGGCATCCTTGTCTTGTGCACAAAATACACTAAAATAAAATTGCTTAAAACTAGTGATAAAGAAAAATTCTCAAAGCGGCCAATGACAAAAACACAGTTTGCACAGAGGAACAAAAAATGCCAGCAAACATTTTATTGGAAACAAAGAAAATTAGAAGATAATGAAGCAACATCTTTAAAGTACTGGAAGATAAACATTGTCAGCTGGGAATTGTAGACTCAGAGAAACTATCTTTCAAGATGTAGGTGAAATAAAGATTTTGTTCAGGCACTTAGAACCTGAAAGAAATCATCACCAGTAAAACAACACTATAAAAAATGTTAAAGAAAATGTTTCAGGCAGAAGTAAAATAATATCAAAAGGAAATTTGGATCTACATAGAAGAATGAAAAGCACTGGAAATGGTATCAACATGGTTAAATATATAAGATCCTTTTATTTCTGTTTGAATTCAATTGATTGTTTAAACAAGGGGTCAGCAAGCTATAGCTTCATGGGTGGACTGCCTGTTTATGTGAACAAATTTTTACTGAGACACATTCATGCTCATTTGTTTATGTATTATCAATGGGTGCTATAGAATTACAAAAGCAGAATTAAGTAGTTGTAACAGAGCCTAATGGCACACAAGCCTAAAATATTTAGCTTTTAAGCAAAGCATGTCCGGTTCTGGTGGCTCATGCCTGTAATCCCAGCATTTTGGGAGGCCGAGATGGGCGGATCACGAGGTCAGGAAATTAAGAGCATCCTGGGCAACATGATGAAACCCCGTATCTACTAAAAATACAAACATTAGCTGGGTGTGGTGGCATGTGGCTGTAATCCCAGCTACTCGGGAGGCTGAGGCAGGACAATCGCTTGAACCCGGGAGGCAGAGGTTGCAGTGAGCTGAGATGGCACTACTGCACTGCAGCCTGGTACAAAGCTAGACTCTGTCTCAAAAAAAAAAAAAAAAAGAGAGAGAAGAAAACATTATTAACCTCTAATTTAAACAAGAATAATAACAATTTACAATGAGCTTACAACATATATAAAAATAAATTAATGACAATAACAGAACAACAGTTAGGATAAAATAATGAAAATGTTGTTACTTCATGATACTGTATGTAAAGTAGTATATTATAATTTGAAGGTAGAATGTGATGAGTTAAACATGTATACTACAAACTCAAAAGCAACCATTAAAATTAACAATATAGAGAGTTTTAATTCTCAAGTAAAAAAAGGAGATAAGATGAAACCATAAAATATATTTAATTCATAGAAAAGAAGGCAAACAAGAGGGAAAATAAGCAAAAAACAGATGGGATGGTAGGGGAAGCAAAATTTTATTACCATCTTCTTAGTTTTTTTTTTTCCTCTGCTAAGCCTGAGAATTAAATTGATATAAGACAGATCAACAGGAAAATGCATACAAATTTATTTAATGCATGTATTATGTGGCATGCGAGATTCTTTAAGGAAGGAAGACTCCATGACATAATCACTTATGTTCTGAAGTAGACACAGAGTAGTAAATTGTGAAATATGACAAGACAAAGGAGCTGGAACTAGTGTAGTTAATTGGGTGAAGAGGTGATTAACAGGATAAGGGTTGGTTTAACAAGGTCTGTTTGTACAGGTTTCCCTTGCCTCAACTTCTCATCCTGGGTGATGAGACTGTTACTTTCCTTCTTGTATAAAGAGGGCAACTTTCATGTAGAAATTTTACCTCCTACTTTTAAGAAAAAGGAAAATCAGAGTGCTTTAAAGGAAAATCAGAGTGCTTTTCTTGCATCTGCTATTTTTCAAGTGTCTTTAACTCAAAAAAATCAATATGCCAAAGTGGCATGTTTGGGGGTATCTGGTTCTGAATTCCTTCAGGAAAGATAGAAAGCAAAAGCAAAATAATAGGTTTAAAACTAAAAATATCCAGGTGCGGTGGCTCACGCCTATAATCCCAGCACTTTGGGAGACTGAGGTGGGCAGATCATGAGGTCAGGAGTTCGAGACCAGCCTGGCCAACATAGTGAAACCCTGTCTCTACTAAAAATACAAAAAATTAGCCAGGCATGGTGGCGGGCACCTGTAATGCCAGCTACTCAGAAGGCTGAGGCAGGAGAATGGCTTGAACCCAGGAGGCAGAGGTTGCAGTGAGCCAAGATCATCGCATTGCACTCCAGCCTGGGCAACAGAGCCAGACTCTGTCTCAAAAAAAAAAAGAAAAAAAAAAGAAAAAAAATATATATATATGCACACATAACCACATTACATATAAATGGTCTAAATATACCAATTTAAAAGCAGATTGGATCAATAAAACAAGATCTAAGTTATTACTGTCTAGAAGAAATTCAAGAATATCCTAATAAAAGATATCTATGTAAAAACAATAGCTGGCATCATACTTAATGAAGAAAAATCAGTTTATTTCCCCCGATTTCAGGAACAAGATGAGTCCATTAACTCTTAGCACTTTGTTTTAACATTTCACTAGACATTCTACCAAGTAAAATAGACAAAAAACATAAACAAAAGAATTACAGACGGGAAAGGAAAATGTAGATTGGGTTTATTTATAGACGGCATGTCTATGTAGAAAGTCCACTGAAATCTACAAAAACACTGCTGGCTATAATAAGTGAGTTAGCAACATAAAAAAGAAAAAAAGCAACATATTAAACTAATATTTCCATATACCGGCAATGAACAATAAAAAATTAAAATAAAAGTACTATTAATAATATCATGAAAAATGTAGAAGAATTAGGAATTAATCTATCAAATGATGTGAGAGTCTGGTACACTAAAACTCAAAACACTGCAGAAAGTTAAAGAAGACTTAAATAAATGGAAAGATGTAATATGAATATGGGTTAGAAAATTCACATGGTAAAATGTGATTATCCCTAAATATAGATTCAATACAATCCCAATTAAAATATTATTAGGCATTGTTTTATAGGAATTTACACACTAATTTTAAAACTTCAGTAGAAATGCAAAGAGTCTAAAATAGCCAAAATAATCCTTAAAAATAAGAATATTTTTGAAGGATTAGCACAATCTAATACCAAAGCTTATAAGGCTACAGTAATGAAAATAGTGTGATATTGGCATAAAGATAGACAGAAATGTCATTGGAAGATAATAGAAAATTCAGAAATATATGTACAGAATTTTGGTAAATTGGTGTTCTCCAAAGATACAAAGGTAATTCAGTAAATAAAAGATAGCCCTTCAACAAATTCTGCTGGAACAATTAGATACTCATATGCAAAAAGTAGAACTTTAACATGTAACTCATGATACAAAAATTAATTTAGTACAGATCATATGCCTAAATGTAAAATGTAAAAACAAAGTGAAAAAAAAGGAAGAAAAATTATGTATAGGAGAAAATATAGAAAAGTATTTGACCTCAGGCTAGTAAATACTACTTAGACATGACACAAACACCGTTTCATCAAAGTAGAAATTGACAACTTGAGTTCATCAAAATGTAAAACATATGTTCCTCAGGAAACACTGTAAAACAAATAGAAATATAAGACACTACTGAGGACAATATTTGCAAAATATATGTCTGGCAAAAAAGTTGTGTCCAGAAAACATAAGAACTCTCAAAACTTGATAATAAATCTAACAACTCTAATAAAAGTAGGCAAATGACTTAAATGAATACTTCTTCTCTAAAGAACATATGTAGATAGAAAGTAAACACATGGAAAGATCCTCAATATCATTAGTCATTAGGGAATTAATCTGTGTCTGTCAAAAATGAGTTGGGTACAGTTGCTCAAGCCTGTAATCCCAGCACTTTGGAAGGTCAAGGCAGCAGGGTTTCTTGACCCCAGGAGTTAGAGAGCAGCCTGGGCAACATAGTGAGATCCTGTCTCTACAAAAAAGAAAGAGACATGGCATGGTGTCTCTATTAAGCTAGGCATGGTGGCACATGCTTGTAGTACCAGCTACTCGGAAGCTGAGGTGGGAGAATCACTTGAGCCCAGGAGGTGGAGCCTGCAGTGAACTATGGTTGTGCCAATGCACTCCAGCCTGCGTGACAGAGCAAGAACCCATCTCAAAAAAGAAAAAAAGAGGCCAGGCGCAGTGGCTCACACCTGTAATCGCAGCACTCTGGGAGGTCAAGGTGGGTGGATCACCTGAGGTCAAGAGATCGAGACCAGCCTGACCAACATGGTGAAACCCCATCTCTACTAAAAATACAAAAATTAGCTGGGCATGGTGATGCGCGCCTATATCCCAGCTACTTGGGAGGCTGAGGCAGGAGAACTGTTTGAACTCGGGAGGTGTAGATTGCAGTGAGCCGAGATCGCGCCATTGAACTCCAGCCTGGGCAACAAGAGTGAAACTTCATCTCAAAAAAAAAAAAAAAAAAAAAGAAAGAAAAAAGAATGGCTAAAGTTAAAAAGGCTGGTCATGCCAAGTGTTGGCAATACTATAGAGGACAACCAACATACATGCACTGCTAATGGTAATGGAAATTAGTACAATGACTCTGGAAAAAGGCTTGACAGTTTTTAAAATATTTTGACGTATGCACCTATCATATGACTGCGAATCAATTTGTAGGGAAATGAAAGTATATGTACATAAAAAACTTGTACCAAAACATTCACAGCACTTTTTTATAGGAGAGAGGGGCTAATAGTGAAGAGCATGTAACAATCAAATATTCATTAACAGATAAATGAATAAGCAAGCTTTGATATAACCATATTTTGAAATACTACAAGCAATAAAAGAAATGAAACTTTCATCCATACTATAAAATAGATTAATTTCAATAAATATGCTAATTAATAGAAGCTAGATCAAAAGAGAACAAACAGTATGATATCATTTATATAAAAAGAGGCATTAGAGCCTAGTAGTTAAGAGTGCAGCTTCTGGAAGCAAAATCCTTAGTATGATGTTTTGGCTCATTGACTGCAGCATTTATTTTATGTGCGCTCTTGAGGTTTTTATAGAAACAATATGCCTCAGTTTACTCATCTATAGAATGACTATATTGATAGTCATCTACTTTATAAAATATATATTTTATAATGTAATACTTTATAATATATATTTGATATATATTTTAAAATGTCTTTATTATATTTTATAAAGTATAAATAATATAAAATAATATCTATAGTTGTTGACTTATAAAAATAAAGATTAAATGAACAAAAATATGTGAAGCAATAGTTTACTACCTAGAAAATGGTACATTCTAAATATCTTCATGATTGTAATAAATAAATGTATCCTTATATGTTATTTTATTAATAATAAACAAAAATTTATTTTTAGAATAATGAATATAATTATTTTTATTTTTAGAATAAATAATAATGAATAATAATATTATTATTCATTCTTATACATCTTTGAAAAATCATAGGGTAAGATGATTGAAATTCTGTGTATAGCATCTCAGCAGATGAGATCTATAAGAAAGAACCATTGCACCCCCATTTACTTAAATCAGTTATAGTTTAAGTTGTTTGAAAAAAGTCATTTATTGGAATCACCACATGACATCAATCAAGAGCAAAGTGTGTAGAATACTGTCAAGTTTTTCTCCAAGAATTTATTTCTGTTTTCAATTTGCAACTCACTGAAGCATTGAACATTTTATGAGCTCTACAGCTAACAATGCCTGGGAATTTAAATATTTTCCATGGAATATGATTACTTCAAATGAAAAAAAAGAAGCAGATATGATAATGAATAATTTACCATGTATATATGGTACAAAGTAGAATCTTTAAAAATAAAGACACAAACAGCAACAACCACAAAAACCTCAATTGTTTCTGCTTTTGTTCTATTTTTAGTGAACTTAAAATTTTAAGAGAAACTCTTTCTCCTTGTTTTTAACACGTGTAGAGAGAGCTGTGGAATATTGTAAAGCTTTTTATCTGACTCGGCCTGAGTCTCACTAGATGAAGACTCATCGAGTTTAGTAGGCCGAATAGTTTTTTCTAAAAGATATGTGACGCGTTAATCCTTGGAATGTTTGAATATAAT
This sequence comes from Homo sapiens, assembly GCF_000001405.40. Taxonomy (NCBI): domain Eukaryota; kingdom Metazoa; phylum Chordata; class Mammalia; order Primates; family Hominidae; genus Homo; species Homo sapiens. The sequence continues at coordinate 66,279,411 of NC_000009.12, read as the reverse complement.
GACACGTTAAACAGTGAATATTACCTTATATGGCAATGCTTGTGATTAAGTTAAGGACTTTAAGGGAAGGGGCTTATTCTGAAATATACTCACGGGTCTTTAATTCAATGACAAATGTTCTTCTTTTTTTTTTTTTTTTGAGATGGAGTCTTGTTCTTTCGCCCAGGCTGGAGGAGTGCAGTGGTGCAATCTCTGCTCACTGCAACCTCTGCCTCCCAGGTTCAAGCAACTCTCCTGCCTCAGCCTCCTGAGGAGTGGGATTACAAGCGCCTGCCATCATGCCCAGATAATTTTTATACTTCTATTAGAGGAAGGGTTTCACCATGTTAGCCAGGCTGGTCTCAAACTCCTGACCTCAAGTTATTCGCCCTCCTCGGCCTCCCAAATTGCTGGGATTACAGGCGTGAGCCACTGTGCCTGGCCTGACAAATGTTCTTTTAAGAGTGAGTCAGAGGGAGACTTGACACACAGAAGAGGAGGCAATGTGACCAGGGAGCAGAGATTGGAGTGGTGCAGCCCCCAGAAGCTGGGGTAAAGGAATGCTCGCATGAGTAAAGGAATGCTGGCAGCCCCCAGAAGCTGGAAGATCCACAGAATGGATTCTCTCTAGGGACCTCAGAGCGAGTGTGGCCCCACTGTATTTAGGACTTCTAGCCTCTAGAACTATTTTAGAATACATTGCTGTTGTTGAAGTCATTTAGTTTGTGTCAATTTGTTGTGATAGCCTAGGGAACTAATATAATGAAGCATGGAGAGAGAGAGAGAGAGAGGATAAAAGGTGAAAACCATGTGCCAAAACTAAAGAAAAGAGATGCTGACATTTGTGATTAAATAGAATAATTGCACTATTTAAGATTAATCACTTGAGCCTCGGAGGTGGAGGCTGTAGTGAGTCATCATGGTGCCACTGCATTCCAGCCTGCATGACAGAGAGAGACTCTGTCTTAGGGAAGAAAAAAAAAGATTAAGGTAGTCCAGAATGCACCCAAGCATAAAATGCAAAGATGATCTTGCCCCATGTATATTTTAGCATACTACTTAGGTACTATTTATTTTTTAATTATCTCCTTTTTACATTTTGACAATTTTACCCCAGTGGTCAAGCCTTGTATTAGAAAAGACAGAAAGAAGGAAAAGAAAGAAGGCAGGAAGGAAGGCAAGGGGAAAGAAGGGGAAGGAAAGGAAGTGGAAGGGAAGGGGAAGGGAAGGGGAAGAGAAGGGGAAGAGAAGGGGAAGAGAAGGGGAAGGGAAGGGGAGGGGAAGGAGAGGGGAAGGGGAGGGGAGGGGAAACATGTTGCTTTGGACAGAATAAACGGGTAAGGGTTTCTATTTTAATTAGATTAAGATTAATTAGATTAAACCTCTGAGGAAGTCTTACTTGAGCTGAGAAACTAAATATGAGAGGGAGGAGTACCACTGCATTGGTTATAGATGGGGTAGAAGTCTACAAAAGAGTTCATTGAGGAATAGAATAGTAAATAAGTGACTTAATAATGAGTTTGTTGCCGGGCGCAGTGGCTCAAGCGTGTAATCCCAGCACTTTGGGAGGCCGAGGCGGGCGGATCACGAGGTCAGGGGATCAAGACCATCCTGGCTAACACGGTGAAACCCCGTCTCTACTAAACAAAATACAAAAATTTAGCCGGGCATGGTGGCGGGAGCCTGCAGTCCCAGCTAGTCGGGAGGCTGAGGCAGGAGAACGGCGTGAACCCGGGAGGCGGAGGTTGAGTGAGCCAAGATCGCGCCACTACACTCCAGCCTGGGCGATAGAGCGAGACTCTGTCTCCAAAAAAAAAAAAAAAAAAAAAAAAAATAATAATAATAATAATAATGAGTTTGTATTGTTCTTATTTTGCAAAAGAATGCAAGATCTGGGTAGAGAAAAGGCAAGAGGGAGGACTTCCCAGATTGAATCAATAATATTAACAGTATCAATCTGCCACTAATAATTATTTAAGAAAAGTATTTTTCTGCTTTCAGTTTTATTTATTAAATAGTTTCTACTAGCCTAATGTTAAAGTCTGCCAACTAGTTCCTTCAAGTTAATCACATTCACTTTTGATTCCCTCTTAACACATTAAGATATTTTATAACTCTGTGAGTTTAAAATCTGATGCAAATTCATTGTGGTCAGGCAAGATGCAAGACCAGTCAGGCAAATACACTTCCCTTATTTTTTATGGGTCTGAAATATCTTTTGTCTTGGGAGATGTATTATTATACAAAAGATCTATTTGGCAATTTATAGTTTGCTTTTTATCTATTCAATTGTTCCCTGGTATTCTTAGAACAGAAAAGCGAACCTTTTAAGAATAATAACATGCCAATTACCTTTAATTACTCTCTAGCTCTTTCAGTTAAACAAAAAAACCCTCTCATTTTAGGTTTAGTTTGTAACTGAATAGAACATTTTATATCTAAACCCTTAATGGAAAGGCTTTCCTATTTCCCACAATTTTCTTTTCTATTTAATGCATTCTCTAAATTTAACACATTATTTAAAATGCCATCCATATACCTGATCAACTTGAAAAGATGGAGAAACACACAAGTAAAGTTTGTTATCTTTTCACATTTTATTCTGTTTCCATTTTCATAATCAAATAAATGTAGACTGTAAAATACTTATTTACAAATCTGTCTGATTTATATAATAAACTCTGAGGAAACTGGAATGAAGTAGTGCTACAAGCAAGGGACAGAATAAAGTTTTGTGTATTAATTACCTGATTTATACTTTAGTCCCTTTAAGTAAAAGAACGTAACAAATAGAAGGATAGTTATTAATATATTTGGAGGAGAAAGAAAGATAAAATGAAAGATACAATGTTCTTAAAAACCGAGAGTTTTATCTTTTTTCAGAAGTCTAAAAAATATTTAAACATCTTCCTTTATGTTAGCGCATATTTATGTTATACATTTCATTTACAAGTAATTGTATGGTAAATAGTTACAAAAACAACAAGGAAAAGCTTTGAGTTAAGGAGCTCATGATTTTCAGTGTAAAATACATGTTATTTGAGTAATTTGGGAAACTGACAGAAGCTTTCTTGCAGTCAAGAATGCTGCTCAAAAATTAATTTTAAAATAAAAATAAAAGAAAAAAAATCCTGAAAGCTTATGTAGCAAAACAAGTATTGTAGTCCATTACAAAAATTAGCCTTTTCTGAAATCATGTTAAAAAGCAAAAAGATCTTAGAGCAGAATTTCATGTACAGTTCATTTTGGGACTGATCTTACTTCCTTGGTAGGTGGTCTTACTTCATCCTGTTGGAGCCCATCATGGAGAGCTGTTTTACAAATATTCTTAGCTCTACTACCCACATAAAAATTCAACCTATGACTCCTGTTTCTGATAAAGTAGCTATTTAAATTCATTAAGAATGTTTCATCATTTTAGTATGCAAAATGCATTGTTAGATTATGTAAGTGACACATGCTATCTTAAAAGTTAATAAATCTCCCAGAAGAAATTAGACTCAGATGCTATATTTATTATGGAGAATTAAGAAATACCTAAGGTTACTGTGATCATCACTTAGGAGTTTTGAATCAATTATATGAGAAACTAAAGAAGAAACTTTGACCGGAAAAAAAATGAACCAACAAGAAAAAAATTATATAAAGTCATTTTATTGGACACAAATGCTAAAAATTAGAAAAACCATACATTTTACTCTATCAATCTGTTAGGAAAAACTATAGAATATGATAGTGATTGCATTGATTCTGCTTAGCAAATTAAATGCAAAACTAAGATATTCACCAAATATAAAATATAGTTATTTTCTAAGAAATAAAACTCACACAACTGCCATTTTTAGCAGAAACCAAAACTATTTCCTGTTAACAAGAAGGAAAAACCATCAGTGAACACTCAAGTAATAATCAGGGGACTAGGATGAACTCTCAGTAAGAAACCACTGGAATATACCTGGACTAAATCTATTCTAACAAAATTAAGTATACCAACCGAATAGTTTTGTGTGTGCATTTGTTTTTACTATATACTTTTATAATCTCAAAAGTACCTAAAAGGAGGCAAAACAAGAAAGGATTTGTCTACAGAAAGTAAAAATAAGAATGATTATAAAATATTGTTAAAGAAAAGACACTGCACAGAATAGTCATGGAGATTTCTGTACTAATCACCTTGATCATAATGAATAATCACTGAATTTCACTGGCCTATTTTCCTCCACAAGATTCTATGTTAGGTAAGCAACTTTGGGTAATTCAATAATAGGAAAGATGTTTCTTTTATAACATATCTGATTTGTACAACTAATTGAAATACATTTTATGCTATAAAATAAAAATGGTAACTCTTATTTACACAGCTATTTATTGTGAATTTGTATAAAGACAGCTCATCCTTAGAACATAATAGACTAGGATTCTTGGTAAAGTATATATTGTATATCTGAAAAATGTAATAGTGACAATATTAAAGTGTTGCCACTTAGTGCTGTGTTACCTAAAGTGTGTGACGCTTTCTGTCAGTCTTATCACTGACATTTAAATTTCAGATATAGGTGAATTCAATATTGAAGTGAATAGAGCTACCGACATTTGCTTTCCTAATATTCATGGAAGTTGTTGTTGACCTCTCATAGATAAATAAGCAAATAATATCTTCAAAAATATATCTAACTTGACTCAAATACTTCTAAGTATTTTGTCATTTGAAGGGATATGAGCAAGTTGAGAAGAAGAAATGTGGAGAGAGAAATATTCATGAAAACTAAATTTATAACATTCAACTATTGCTCAATTCTTAGAAATTTAATCACTACTTATATTTTAAAGCAAAATATTTTTGAACTTATTTAGAAAAATATGACTTCATCTCTCATATGTCCATTCAAAGTTTTAAACAAAGTATAAAAGGAAATTAAACAGTGGAGGAAATGAGAAAGGTCACAGGCATTCAAGAGGTTTCAACAAATTTCTGGAGGAATGAAAGGTAATTGAAGGATGTGTTAAAATAATTTCTATTATTATCTTTGTAGATTTAGTGTCCAGTAAACCTTTTATAAACAATCCAACTTGCTGTTTTGTGTTCTTGAACTTTATTTAAACTGAATTATATTGTACATATCCTTTTGTGACTTAATCATACCACTGCATATTATGTTTGTGAGAGTAAGCCACATTAACATATCTAAATAAAGTTATCTATTTTTTTTCTAAAGTGTAGTATTCCACTGTATGAATCTACCACATTCTACAGTTGTTTAACTTTTGCATTGCTTATAGTACTTAACTGAGCCTGTAAATATTTTGGATTACATTTCTTAATGGCCAACCATGTACATACAAAATAAGGAGTGAAAGCCAATTGCTGATTAGAATATATGGTCATCTTCAATATTACTGGGTAATACAAGCCTCTTTTTAAAACGGATATAATTTCCATTTCCAGGAAAGCATATGAAATTATTATTGCTCTATATGTTTGCCAGAAGTCTGTCTTGTCAGACCGTTTTTGGTCAATCTCTTGTATAAGTAATAATGTACATATAAAACATTTTCATTTGCATTTTTGTGTTAAAAATAAGTTAAAGTGATTCTAAATAGGTATGGTGGACACTTACATTGTACATTTTATAAAGCACATGTGCAAGCCATTTTCTTTGTTTTACTGTCGGGTTTTCTGTAATTTTTGCCTGGCTTTACATTTAAATATTGATTGCCAAGGAATTGATTGTTAAATATTATATAAGGTAAAGAATCACTTTAATTATTTTCCATATGTATAGCCAGTTTTCTCACTCTCATTTATTGGCAAATTTATTTTTCACCACTGATCTATAATACTAGCTTTCTTACATATCATGGGTTCTTATATTTTCCTTACTGTAGTCTACCTATTCCATTTCATTGATTATTTATTACTTTGTTAATACCACATTGCATTAATTCTTATATTTCCTGTAATATATTTTTCCTTCCTCAATAAATTATTAACTGAATTTTAATATTTTTAGAGTTTACATAAATTCTAGAATTAGCTTGTCAATATCTAAATCAAACCTTACTGGGTTTTACTTTGGATGCACTAGTTACAAAGATTAATTTTGGGGAGAAGTGATTTCATTAAAGTCTTTCAATTAAGAATATATTTATGTCAATGTTATGTCTATGTTTATTTGAACTTTATTTAAACTGAGTTATACTGTACGTATTCTTTTGTGACTTAATCATGCCACTAAATACTATGTTTGTGAGAGTAAGCCACATTGACACATCTAAATAAAGTTCTCTACTTATTTGAAATGCATTTCAATATTGCATAATACGTTTGTGTCAAAGCATCTTGCTAAAAGCTCATATTCATTAGTATAATGTATCTTAGAATCATTTTGAATTTTCTGTGTACTTAGTGTCATCGGTAACATAGTAATCTGTTTTCTCTTTCATAATTCTTATTTTTTTAATATTTACAATCCTATCCCAGTGTCTAAGACCTGCAAAAGGATAAATAAAATTGCTTGTACCATCTATGTTTATTTTGTTCCCAATCACAAAGGAAATATTTGAACATTCCATTGTTAAGTGTTATAATTTCAATAGAACTTTTGAAAACAAATGTTATCAGTTAAACTAGATTCTCTTTTAATTTCGGGTTGTTAAAATGTATGACTTTTTAAGAAAATAAAATTAAATATGCTTATAATATTGTTAAGTTATTTGTTGTGGTGTATCATATTAATTGATACCTTTACATGAGGCCATTATTGCTTCCCAGGGTTTCTTAGAATAAACATTGGCTGTGATGTCTTACATTTTAATGCATTGCTTATTTCTGCATGGAACTTTTTTAAGTTTTCCTTCAATATTTTCATAAATTACATTGGTGTTTAATTTACTTTCCCTTTACTATCCTTGTCAGGTTATAATATCAGAGTCATAATAGCATAATAAAATAAAATAGAGTATGTTCTTTCCTGTTTCATGCTCAGAAAGAATTGTATGTAAGATTGGAATTATTGTTTTGTTTCATGTTTGAAACAACTTGCCAGTAAAGTCATCATGGCTTGAAATTATCTTTATGATATGATTTCTGACTACTGATTACATGCATTTGTTGTAGCACAATTCAGATTTTTCTTTTCACTTTAGGTTACTTTTGGAAAAATGCATGTTTCAAGTAATTGTACACATTTTACATATATTTCCAAATTTATTGAATTAAACGTTTTCATACTATACTAATTTACCTTCTTGATATTTGTATTATTTATAACAAAACTCAATAAACTGTGGCAAATAAGCCAGACAGTATTTATAAATAAAGTATTACTGGAACACTGTCATGCTCATTCATTGACATACTGTCAATTTATGCCACAACAATAGAATTGATTAGTTGCAACAAACCATATAGCCCAAAAACCTAAAATAATTACCAACAGATCCTTTCCAAAAAACAAAAAAAATTCTTGACACCTGATGTATAATTATTTCCTATTTTGATTCCTGAGATGGCATACTTGTTTCTTCTCTTAATTTTATCAAGCCATTTCTCCAGAGTTTTGTTATTGTATGGCTCCTACAACAACTAACAAACTTTTGGCCATATTTCTTGACTTTTCTTTCCCTGTATTCTTAATCACTATGCATGTATTTATTATTTCCTTTTATTTCTGTTGATATTTCTAACTTCTACCAATAAATTCAAAACATTTTAAAAATTAATTTGTTGTCCTCATAAAATAAGAATTTAAGGTTCTACATTTTCCTCTAAAATGACACATTTTATAATGTAGTATACATTTTTTAATTAAAAATATTTTATAATTTCCATTATGATTTGCTCTTGGGTGTTGAGTTACTAAGAAGTATATTTCTGAGGTTTTTCTTCAATATGACTGACTATAGATATTTGACTCTAGTTATTCTCAGAAAGAGAAAGCAAAGTTATGGATAAATAATCGTTAATTCCAATATCTATATAGACGGAAGTGTGCTAGAGCACCACAAGAAGAAATTTGAACACAGAAAAATAAGGAAGCAAGAACCCAGCAGACATTATACTCTGAGGGACTTGATGTTCCATGGAAAAGCATAGGTGGGGGTGTCTTTTGCTCTTCTCACCTCTGCGGCAGACTGCTTGTTTCTGAACTGTTGGAGAGCCCTCCATTCTCACAAGCCCAAGCACTGGTGTGGGCCGCAATCTTGGAACAAATTGAGGACAGAGAACAAGGCTACTATTTCCTGCAGTGCCACTTGCCCTTCACCCAGCCCCAAGATGAGGTGGTGGGCACCATACTGGATATGCCTCTGTGGTGGACTTCTATACTGCCTTTGAGTGAGAGAGAGGCTTGCCCCATCCCCTTGCCGGCTTCCTTCTCCGTCCCTGCGTCGAGCTGTGGCTAGATTTCTCCATGAGGGCAGAGGGCAGGGCAAGAGGCGTGAGAAGCATCTTCTGGAAGGTCTGCGGGCACCCTCCTGCGGGTGGACAATGAGCGCCTGGGAGGCCGTTGTCCTTGGTTGGGGAGCGGTCGTCTGGATCTAGCCTAGCAAAGAGGCTGCTCCGGATGGGGAGGGAATGAAAACCCCTGCGGCTCCGACGCAGATGCCCACGTTGCCCAGGCCTTCACAGACCCCCAAGCCGGAACCGCCGGGAAAACGATTGCCAACCGGCCACAACACCCAGGCAGAGACGCGGGGAGAGGCTGACCAGAAGAAAGGCCGACGTGCAAGAAACCCAGCCTCCGGCGCACAGGGAACATGTGTCCCAAGGCGCACGCACACACAGACGGACAGAGACAGAAAGCGAGGGCGACGGAAAGAGCGAGAAGGGAGAGAGGGAGAGAGAGAGAGAGAGAGAGAGAGAGAGAGAGAGAGAGAGAGAGAGAGAGAGACTTAAGAGAGAGACGGTAGTGGGCACACAGACACGCACGCACGCGCGCGCGCGCGCGCACACACACGCAGACACACAGACACACACACACACACACACACACACACCCATAATGGACACAGACATACAGCAGGTAACACCCACCCCCAGGCAGCCCCTGAAGCTGCCGGGTTCTGGTCTCCGCGACTACGAGCCACCGGTGAGACAGCAGCCCACGGGCACACAGGGAGACCTGTCCTCGACATCACAAGGGCGCCACTTTTGGGGAGACTCACCCGCACACCGTCCGCGCACGCCTGAGGCTGGGATCCCGCGCTGCCTCCCCGGCGATCTGTCTGAGGTTTCTTCCTCCTGGGGTTTCTTCCTGCTGGTGGACCCTCCGCGAATCCCGGCCTCCGGAGACCGTCCTGGTAACTGCCCTGGCCAGGGCTGGTCTCAGCCCCGACTCTGACGCACGATCACACAGGGCTCCTACTTCGCCAAGTCTCAGGGACCCATCCCCCGGCGACGGTGGCGGTCACTGTGACCAAAGCGGCGGCTCGGGCCTCGCGCATGCGCACTGGCGAGGCCGACTCACCCGCCCCACCCCCCCTTACTCGGCAGAGTCAGGCTGCGGACCCTTTAAAAAATGGCGGCGACGCGGCGGCTGCGGGGACTGGGGCGGCGGTGCTGGAGGTTGCGGCGGCGGCTGCGGCGCAGCCCCGGGCGGCGGGTGGGAAGAGGACTACCAGAGGGGCCTGCGGGAGACCCAGGGTCGGACCCATAGGAGTCCTGTCGTCAGGACCTCCTTGATCGGTCTTCTGCTTGGGTTCTCGGTGAAGGAGGAGCTTCGGGGTGTCGGCTGGGCTGCGCGGACTCCTCTTGGGATCCGATGATGGATCCCACCCGGTGATCGGGAATGGGGTTACAATGCAGTGAGGCGGAAAGGCTCTCGCCGGGGCACAGAAAGATCCCCAGGGCCGCAAGGCGTGCTGTCGCCTGCAAAGGCACTGACCCACGAGCCCACTGCCTCCCTCCTTCCTGGGTGGAGCAGGGGCCTGCCTTCATCTCCAAGGCCCGGGGGCTCCGGCATCTCGACGCGGCTTCCGGCGACACGGGCAAAGAGAGACAGAGGCTAGTCCGAGCCGGAGCCAGTGTGACCACACGTGGCACTGACGTCCCCCAAGAGCACATGCAGTGAGCCTGTGTCTCTGAGGCCGTAGTGGGCGACGATGAGACGGACAGTGATGTCCAGGCCTGCGCCCGGGGGCCACTGGAGACCTGCCCCTCAAAGCGGAGGAAACGCCAAGCGCACCTGAAAACCTGCGAGACAGGGCCTGTGCACGAGTCCAGTACTCCTACTTCGCCAAGTCTCAGGGACCCATCCCCCAGCAACGGTGGCGGCGCAGAGAAGAGCACGGCGCCGGCGCAGGTGCAGAGAGACAGGAGGCTGATGGGGGGAAGTTGAGGCACCTGGGGCAGAGAAAAAAATGCATCGCCAAGCGGTTTCTGGGTCATCTACTGACGAAAATGTCTTCCCATCAGCCCTTGCGCTGGTCCCCAGGGACCCTGGCATCCGTCGTTGGCGCCCAGGGTGCGCGTCGGGCCACTAGGGGTACCCCAACTCGGACAGAAGGCCCATGAGTTGAATTTGAAGTTTGTGGGAATAGAGGTGAGGCACCAGGGGCAGGAAAAAAACAGGAGACCTCGCCTCAGACAAGTGGGGCCTGGGTCCCCCATGGATGAAAGTGCCTTCCCATTATGCTGTACCCTGGGCAGAGTGGACAGTGACGACCCTGGTTCGAGCCCAGGGTGCGCTTCGGGACCGCTTGCGGTACCAGAAAGCGAACAAATGGTCCATGAGCGGAAGGTGAGGCACCTGAGGCAGAGAAAGTAAAGAAACGCGCCGCCGAGAAGCAGTGCCTGGGTCCCTCACGGAGGAAATTGTCTTCTCCTTAGCCCGTTCGCTTGGCACTGAGGTCCCTGGCGTCCCTGGTTTGATCCCAGGGTACGCCTCGGGCCACTAGTGTTACCCCAAGGTGGGCAGAAAGCCCATAAGGGGAAGGCGAGGCACCTGGGGCAGAGAAAAAAAAAACTTCGCTGCAGAGAAGCGCGGCCTGATTCCCCACGGACGAAAGTGTCTTCCCATCAGTCCCTGCACTGGGACCCGGGGACCCTGGTGTCCCTGGTTCGAGCTCAGGGTGTGCCTCAGCCGCTACGTGCACCCCAAGGGGAGCTTTGGGAGCACAAAGCCCATGAGGGAAGGTGAGTTTTGAGGGAGGAGTGGTGAGGCACCTGTCACAGAAAAAGAAAAAAAAACAACCCGCGCCACGGAGAAGCAGGGCCTGGGTCCCCCACGATGAAAATGCCTTCCCATCAGCTCCTGCTCTGGGCCCTGTGGACCCTGGAGACCCTGGTTCAAGCCACGGGTGGGCCTCGAGCCCGCTAGGGGTACCCCCGTGCGCCTCTCTGCGCCTGCGCCGGCGCCCTGTGCCTTTGCGAGGGCGGAGCTGCCTTCTCCTCAGCACAGACCCGGAGAGCATTGCCAGGGCGGAGCTGAGTTCTCCTCTGCACAGACTTCGGAGATACAGCGAAGCGGAGCATGTTCTCCTCAGCACAGACCCGGGCGGGCGGGCCAGGGGCACCGCGAGGGCGGAGCTGCGTTCTGCTCAGCACACACCCGGGAGACACCGCGAAGGCAGAGCAGCCTTCTCAGCACAGACCTTGTGGGCACTGCCTCGCTTTGGGACTACTCGGAGCCGCATCAATGGTGAATAAAATCCTTCCTGTTTGCAGCCCTTAATAATCAGGGTCAGAGACCAGTTAGAAGGGTTCAGTGTGGAAAATGGGAAACCAAAAGCCCCTCTGAATCCTACCCACCGAGGTTCTCCCCAGCCAAGGCGAGGCGGCCGCAGTGCGAGATCCACACCGCAGCCTCGGAAGACAAGCGGGCAGAAATCCCATGAGGGGCAGTTGAGGTTTGAGGAAGGCGAGGTGAGGCACCTGTGGCAGAAAAAAAAAAAAACCGCACCACGGAGAAGCAGAGCCTGGGTCCCCAACGGACAAAAGTGTCTTCCCATCAGCCCTTGCGCTGGGCCCAGGTGACCCTGGCATTCCTGGTTCGAGACCAGGGTGCGCTTCAGGCCGCTAGGGGTGCCCAAAAGCGGGCAGAAGGCCCATGAGGGGAAGGTGATGCACCTGGGGCAGAGGAAAAAAAAAAAAAAAACCGCGCCGCCTATAAGCGGGGCCTGGCTCCCCCACAGAAGAAACTGTCCTCACATCAGCGCTTGCGCTGCGCCCCAGGGACCCTGGTATCCCTGGCTCGAGCCCAGCATGCGCCTCGGCCTGCTAGGGGTACCCCAAGGCAGACAGAAGGCCCATGAGGGAAAGGTGAGACACCTGGGGCAGAGAAAAAAATAAAAAAACTGCGCCGCCCAGAAGTGGGGCCTGGGTCCCCCACAGACGAACGTCCCTACCCATCAGCCCTGAACTGGGCCCCGGAGACCCTAGCGTCCCTGGCTCGAAACCAGGGTGCGCTTCGGGCCCGCTAGTGGTACCTCAAGGCGGGCAGAAAGCCCATGAGGGGAAGGTGAGGCACCTGGGGAAAAGCGAAAAAAACAAAAACAAAAACGTCGCAGAGAAGCAGAGCCTGGGTCCCCGAGGAAGAAAGTGTCTTCGCATCAGCCCTTGCGCTGGGCCCCGGGGACCCTGGTGTCCCAGTTTCGAACCCAGGGTGTGCGTCTGGCCACTAGGGGTACCCCAAGTCGGACAGAAGGCCCATGAGGGGAAGGTGAGGTTTGAGGGAGGAGACGTGAGGCAACTGTGGCAGGAAAAAAAAAAAAAAAAAAACACGCCGCGGAGAAGCGGGGCCTGGGTCCCCAAGGGACGAAAGTGCCTTCCCATCAGCCCCTGCGCTGGGCCCCATGGACACTGGCGACCCTGGTTAGAGCCCAGGGTGCGCCTCGTGCCCAATAGGGGTATCCCAAAGCGGGCAGAATGCTCATTAGGGGAAGGTGAGACACCTGGGGCAGAGAAAAAAAAAAACCGCGCCGCAAAGAAGCGGGACCTGGGTCCCCCACGGATGAAAGTGTCTTCCCATCAGCCCCTGCCCTGGGCTCCATGGACCCTGGCAACCCTGGTTCGAGCCCCAGGTGCGCTTCGCGCCCGCTAGGGTTACCCAGAAGCCGGCAGAAAGCCCATGAGAGGAAGGTAAGACACCTGGGGCAAAGGAAAAAAAAACCGCGCTTGCAGAAAAGCGGGGCCTGGCTCCTCCACGGACGAAGGTGCCTTCCCATCAGCCCCTGCGCTGGGCCCTGGGGAACCTGGTGTCCCTGGCTGGAAACCAGGGTGCACCTTGGACCCGCTAGGGGTACCCCAAGGAGAGCAGAAAGCCCATGAGGGGAAGGTGAGGCACCTGCGGCAGAGAAAGAAGAAAAACCGCGCAGCGGAGAAGCGGGGCCTGGGTCCCCCACTGACGAAAGTGTCTTTCCGTCAGCCCTTGAGCTGGGTCCCGAGGACGCTGACATCCCTGGTTCGAGCCCACGCTGCGCCTCAGGCTGCTACGAGTACCCCAAGGAGGAAAGAAGGCCCAAAAGTTTCAGCTGAGGTTTGAGGCAGGAGAGATGAGGCACCTGTGGCAGAAAAAAAAAAAAAAACAAAAAAAAACAAAAAAACCTCGCAGCGGAGAACTGGTGCCTGGGTCTCCCAGGGACGAAAGTGCCTTCCCATCAGCCACTGCGCTTGGCCCCATGGAACCTGGCCTCCATGGTTCGAGCCCAGGGTGCGCCTCGGGCCGCTAGGGGTACCCCAAAGTGTGCAGAAGGCCCATGAGGGGAAGGTGAGGCACCTGGGGCAGACAAAAAAAAAAAAAAAAACCTCGCCGCGGAGAAGCGGGGACTGGGTCCCCCCAGCGGACGAAAGTGTCTTCCCATCAGCCCTTGCGCTGGGCCACAGGGACCCTGGCTTCCCTGGTTCGAGCCCACAGTGCACCTCGGGCCGCTAGGTGTACCCCAAGGCAGACAGAAGGCCCATGAGGGGAAGGTGAGGTTTGAGGGAGGAGCGGTGAGGCACCTGTGGCAGAAAAAAAAACGCGCCACGGAGAAGCAGGGCATGGGTCCCCCACGGACGAAGGTGCCTTCCCATCAGGCCCTGCGCTGAGCCCCGTGGACCCTGGCGACCTTGGCTCAAACCCAGGGTGCGCCTCGGGCCGTTAGGGGTACCCCGAGGCGGGCAGAAAGCCCATGAGGGGAAGTTGAGGTTTGAGGGAGGAGAGGTGAGGCACCTGTGGCAGACAAAAAAAAACAAAAAAACCGCACCGCAGAGAAGCGGGGCCTGGGTCCGCCACGGACGAAAGTGTCTTCCCATCAGCCCTTGCGCTGCGCCCCGGGGACCCTGACGACCCTGATTCGAGCCGAGGGTGCGCCTCGGTCCACTAGGGGTACCTCCAAATCAGGCAGATGGCTCATGAGGGGAAGGTGAGGTACCTGGGGCAGCCAAAAGAAAAAAAAAAAAACTGCGCCGCGGAGAAGCGGTGCCTGGGTCCCCCACGGACGAAAGTGTCTTCCTATCAGCCCTTGCACTGGGCCCCGGGAACCCTGGCGTCCCTGGTTCGACCCCATGGTTCGCCTCGGGCCACTAGGGGTACCCCAAGGCGGGCAAAAGGCCCATGAGGCGAAGGTGAGGTTTGAGGGAGGAGAGGTGAGGCACCTATGGCAGAAAAAATAAAAACGCCACGGAGAAGGGGGGCCTGGGTCCCCCACGGACGAAAGTGCTTTACCATTAGCCCCTGCGCTTGGCCCCGTGCACCCTGGCGACCCTGGTTCGAACCCAGTGTGCGCCTCGGGCCGCTAGCCGTACCCCAAAGTGGGCAGAAGCCCATGAGGGGAAGGTGAGGCACCTGGGGCGGAGAAAAAAGGAAAAAACCTCGCCACGGAGAAGGGAGGCCTGGGTTCCCCACGAAAGAAAGTGCCTTCCCATCAGACCCGGTGCTAGGCCCCAGGGACCCTGGCATCCCTGGTTCGAGCCCAGGGTGCGCCTCGGGCCGCTGGGGGTACCCCAAGGCGGACAGAAAGCCCATGACGGGAAGGTGAGGCACCTGTGGCAGGAAAAAAAAAAAACCGCGCCGCAGTGAAGCTGGGCCTGTGTCCCCCACTGACGAAAGTGCCTTCCCATCAGGCCTTGCGCTGGACCTCGCGGACACTGGCGACCCTGGTTCGAGCCCAGGGTGCGCCTTGGGCCCGCTAGGGGTACCCAGAAGCGGGCAGAAGGCCCATGAGGGGTAGGTGAGGCACCTGAGGCAGAGAAAAAAAAAAACTGTGCTGCGGAGAAGCGGGGCCTGGGTCCCCCACGGAAGAAAGTGTCTTCCCATCAGCCCCTGAGCTGGGCCCAGGGGACCCTGGCATCCCTGGTTCAAGACCAGGGTGCGCTTCGGGCCTCTTGGGGTACCCCATGGCGGGCAGAAAGCCTATGAGGGGAAGGTGAGGTTTGAGGGAGGAGAGGTATGGCACCTGTGGCATAAAAGAAAAAAAAAACCGCGCCACAGAGAAGCAGGGCCTGGGTCCCCCAAGGACGAAAGTGCCGTCTCATCCGCCCTTGTGCTGGGCCCCGGGGACCCTGTCGTCCCTGGCTCGAATGCAGGGTGCGCCTCTGGCCTGCTAGGGGTAACCCAAAGTGGGCAGAAGGCCCATGAGGGGAAAGTGAGTCACCTGGGGCAGAGAAAAAAAAAAACAAAACACAGTGCTGCGGAGAAGCGGGGCCTGGGTCCCCCACGGGTGAAAGTGTCTTCCCATCAACCCTTGCGCTGGGCCCCGGGGACCCTGGCCACCCTTATTTGAGCCCAGCGTGTGCCTGGGGCCACTAGGGGTACCCCAAAGCGGGCAGAAGACCCATGAGGGGAAGGTGACCCACCTGGGGCAGAGGGAAAAAAAACGCGCCACGGAGAAGCGGGGCCTGGGACCCCCACGGAAGAAAGTGTCTCCCCATCAGCCCTTGCGCTGTGCCCTGGGGACCCTGGCATCCCTGGTTCGAGCCCAGGGTGCGCCTCGGGCCGCCAGGGGTACCACAAGGTGGACAGAAGGCCCATGAGGGGAAGGTGAGGCACCTGGGGCAGAGAAAAAAAAAACTGCGCCGCCGAGAAGTGAGGACTGGGTCCCCCACGGACGAAAGTGTATTCCCATGAACCCTTGCGCTGAGCCCCAGGGACCCTGGCACCCCTGGTTCGAGTCCAGTGTGTGCCTAGGGCGGCTAGGGGTACCGCAAGTCGGACAGAAGGCCCATGAGGGGAAGTGAGGTTTCAGGGAGTAGAGGTGAGGCACCTGTGGCAGGTGTCCATCTGTAAACTGTTTATCCATGTGAGCCCTGATGTCCACCAGGGGCTGGATGTCCCCCTGGGGCTAGATGTTCGCCTGGAGCCTGGTGCCCACCTGGGGCCTGATATCCACGAGAGGCTTAGTTATCCACCTATGGCCATCTGGAGCCAGATGCCCACCTGAGGTCTGGTGTACACCTAAGGCCTGATCTCTACCTGGGGCTTGGGTGTTCATGTGGGGCCTGATGTCCACCTAAGACCATGTGTTCACCTGGAGCCTGGGTGACCATCTGGGTTATGATGTTCAGCTGGGGCCCAGAGTTCAGCTGGGGACTGGGTCAACCTTCTGCCTGATGCACACCTGGGGACTAGGTACCCACCTGGGCTCCAGTGTTCACTGGGGCCTGCTGTCTACCTGGGGCCTTGTATTTACCTAGGACCAGTGCATCCATCTGGGGTCTGAGTGCCCTCATGGAGCCTGGAGTTTTCCTGGGGACTGGGGTCTGCCTTAGGCTTAAGTGTACATCTGTGGCCTCGTGTCCACCTTGGGACAGATGTCCACCTGGGGACGGATATTCAGTAGGGGCCTGAGTGTCCACCTGGTTTGTGATGTCTACCTGGGGCCTGGTGTTCATCTGAGGTGTGATACCCACCTGGGGCCTGGACATTTGCCTGGAACCTGATGTACAGCTGGTGCCTGAAGTTCATCTATGCCTGGTGTCTCCCTGGGGCCAGGTAGTCAACACAGGGCCTGAAGACCTTCTAGAGTTCAGTGTTCACCTGGGGTCCGAAGTCCACCTAGGGCTTGGGTGTCCAAATAGGGCCTGGTGTCAGCTTGAGATTTGTGTATTTACCTAGGGCCTGGTTGTCCACTTGGGGCTTGATTTTTTACTTGGTTTTTGTGTTAATCTGGGGTCTAGTGTCCACCTGGGGCCTGGGTATCCACCTAGGGACTATTGTCCAGCTGGAGACTAATGACTACCTATGGCCTGGTAATCACCTAAGGCTTTGTTTCACTTAGGTACTTGGTGCCAAACTGTTGCCTGCTGTTCACCTGGGGTATGGTGTCCACCTGGGTTCTGGATGTCAGCCTGGGGCTTGTTGTATACCTGTATCTTAGATATCCAGATAAGGGTCTGTTTTCTGCTTAGGTGCAGCAGTCCATCTGGTGCTTGAGTGTCAACCTAAGGCCTGATGTCTATGTTGGACCTAGGGTTCACCTGAGGCCTGATATCCACCTGGGGCCTCAATGTCCAAATGGGGCCTGATGCCCATCTGGGCCCTGGGTGTCCACCTGCAGCATGGATGTCCACTGATACTTTATGTCCACCAGGGGCCTAATGTCCACCTAAAACCTGGAGTTCACCTGGGGTCTGATGTTCAGCTGAAGACCGGATGTCCACCTGGAGCCGAGGAGTCCACCCGGGGACTGGTGTTGAACTGGGGCCTGATGACCACCCGGGGACAAGGTACACACCAGGCTTGATGTCCACCTGTCACCAGATGTCCACCTGAGTCCTGATGTCCATCTTGATCCTGGGTGTCCACATTGGGCCTGATGTCCAGCTGGGGCCTAGGTACCCACTGGGGGCTTCCTGTTAACCTGGGGACTGGTGTCATTCTGGGGCCTAATGACCACCTGGGTTGTATTATTCACCTAGGGCCTGGTGTCCACTTGGGGCTTGAGTGTAACCTTGGACCTGGCACCCACATAGGATTGGGTATCAAACTGGCCCCTTGGTGTCCAGTTAAGACATCATGTGAACTTGGCTCCTGAGTGTCCACTTGGGGCCAAATGACTACTGGGGGCCTGAATGTCAACCTAGAATCTGAGGTTTACTAGGGGCCTAGGTATCCACCTGGGGCCTAATGTCCACCCGAGCCTGCGTGTCAACCTGGGGCCTGATGTAAACCTCTAGTTCAGTATCCACCTGGGGCCAGATGTCTTCCTAGAGACTTATATTCACTTTTGACCTGATGTCCACCTGGGGACTTGCTATCCATCCATGGTCTGATATTCACCTGGAGACAGATGTTCAACTGTGGCCAGAAGTGCTCCTGGGGTCTGGGCTTCCACCTGGAGCCTGATGTTTAGCTGGGGCTAGAGTTCACATGGAGAATGATGTCCACCTGAAGTTTGATGTTTACCTGGGGCCTGATACCTACCTGGTGCCCAAGTATTCTCATGTGCCTAACGTCCACTAGTTGGCCTGGTGTTCATCTGAGGGCTTGGTGTCAACCAGTGGCTTTATGTACACCTGGATTCTAGTGTCCTCCTGGGGTCTTATGCCTACCAGGAGTCTGGTACCCCTGGGGTCTAGTATCCACCTGGAGTCTGGGCGTCCACCTGGAGCCTAATGTTGAGGTTAGACTGAGTGTCAGCCTGAGGCCTGATGTCTACTAGGGCATAGGTATTCACCTGGGGCTTGTTGTTTACCTGGGGACTAATGTCAACCTTGAGCCTAGGTATCCACCTGGGGAATAGTGTCCAGTTGCAGCCAGATGTCCACCTATGGCCTGAAGCATGGTTGTTATCCTAAGGCCTTGTATTAGTCCATTTTCACAGTTATAAAAAACTACCTGATATTGGGCAACTTATGAGGAAAAGAGGTTTAACTGACCCACAGTTCTTCAGGCTTAATAGGGAGCATGACTGGGCGGGCTCAGGACACTTAAAATCATGATGTAAAGCCAAGAGGAAGCAAGCCCTTTTTACCATGTGGGAGGAGGAGGGAGACAGAATGGGGATGTGCTACACACTTTCAAATAACCAGGTCTCGTAAGAACTCTATCACGAGAACACCAAGTGGGAAGTCTGCCCCCATGATTCAATCACCATTCACCAGGCCCATTCTTCAACCCGTGGGGATTACAATTCAACATGAGATTTGGGTGGAGACATAGAGCCAATATCAGGCCTGATGCCCGCCTGGAGTCATGTCTACCTGAGGCCTTATGTAGACATGAGGCCTGGGCATTCACCTAGGACCTCATGTTAAGATAGGGGCTGGAGTTCTTTTGGTGCCTAGTGTATACCTGGGGCCCAGATGTATAACTAGAGCCTGATGTTTCAGATGGAAACCTGGGCCCCAGGTGCTCATCAGATCCCAGGTGAAAACTCAGGCTTCAGGTGCACATCAGACTCCAAGTGGACACATAGGCCCTAGGTTGATACCAAGATTTCAGGTAGACTCTGGGTCCCAGAAAAACACCCTGCCCTAGGTGGACAGCTGAACCTGAGTAGACATCAGGCCCCAGATCGACATCTGGCCCCAGGTAGATTCCTTGGCCCAAGGTGAATACTCAGTCTCCAGCCCTAGGGGAATTCAGTCTTAGGTGATTAAGGACTGGCGTTCCTCTGGGGCCTCATGTCTACCTGGGCCCTGGGAGTGCACATGGAGCCAGATGTCTATAAAGGGCCTGAGTGTCCACTAGGGCCTGAGGTTCACCAGGAGCATAGACATCCACCTAGGACCTCATGTCCACCTAAAACCTGGTGTTCACCTGGGGCCTGGGTGACAACCTGGGATCTGATGTTCACCTGAGACCCAGAGTTCAGCTGGTGCCTATGTCAGCCTGGCACCTGATGCACACAAGAGGACTAGGTGCCCACCTGAGGACTGGTGTTCATGGGGAACTGGTGTTCAGCTGTGGCTTGATGAGCAACTGGGTCCTGGTGTCCTCCTGGCAACTGATGTCCACCTGGGACTGCATGCTTACCTAGGGCCTGGTGTTCCCCTGGGGCCTGGTGTGCCCCTGAGATCTGGGTCCACCTGGGCCTAGTATCCACTTGGGGCCTCATATCCATCTGGAACATCATGTCCACTTGGGGCCTTGTAGTTACCTAGGGACTGGGTGTCCTTCTGGCACTTGAGTGTCCTCCTGGGGCCTGGGGTTCTCCTGGGGCCTGGGTGTACATCTCTGGCCTGATGTCCACCTTGGGTGGATGTCCACCTGGGGACAGATGTTCGCTTGTGGCTTGAGTGTCCATCTCGTGTCTAATGTCTACCTGGGGCCTGGTGTTTGCCTGAGGCCTTATATCCACCTGGGGCCTGGGCATCCATTTGAGGCCTGATGTCTACCTAAGACCCGGTTTTAACTGGGGCACAGATTTCTTCCTGGAGCCTGACGTTCATCTGGAGCCTGAAGTTCACCTGTGCCTGTTGTCTACCTGAGGCCTATGTGTCAACCTAGGGCCTGATGACCACCCTGAGTTCAGTGTTCACCTGGGGCCTGACATCTGCCTGGAGTCTGGGTGTCCACATAGGGCCTGATGTTGGCTTGGGACCAAAGTATTTACCTAGGGCCTGGGTGTCTACTTACAGCCTGACTTCTACATGGTTCATTGTGTCAACCTGGGGCCTGATGTCCACTTAGGGCCTAGGTAAGCTCCTTATGACTAAAGTCCACATGGGGGCTGAAACCATCTCAGACCTTGAACCTAGGGCTTAGTGTCGACCTGAGACCTGGTGACCCCCTGGGGTCAAGGTATCCACCTTGGGCCTGATGACCAACTGGGGTTTAAGGATCTACCTAGAGACTGGTGTCAACCTGGAACCTGATGTCCACTTGGGGTCTGGTGTACACCTTGGGCCTGATGCCCACCTTGGCACAGGTGTACACTTTGGGCCTAGTGTGCACCTGAAGCCTGGCTGTCAACCTGGGTCTTGATGCACACCTTTAGTCAAGTGTTAAACTGGGGCCTGATGAAATACTGGAGCCTGATTTACACCTGTGTACTGGGTCTCCACCTGGGGCCTGATGTCCACCTGCAGCCAGATATCCACCTGGCACCAGATGTCTTTGAGGAATCTGGGTGTCCACCTTGAAAATGATGTATTCCAAGAGACTAGGCATGCACATTGGGCCTGGGGTCCACCTGGGTCCTGATGTCTACCTGAGGCTGGTATTGAACTGGGGCCTGTGTGTTCACTTGGAGCCTGATGTTCATTTGGAACCTGGTGTTCACCTAGGACATGGGTATCCACCTGGATCCTGATTTTCAAGTGGGGAGTGGATATAGACCTGGGAACTGATGGCCACCTATGCTATAAGTAACCCAACCACCTGGGGCCTGGTGTTCACCTGTGGCCTGATATCCACCTGGTACCTGTGTGTCAATCTAGTGCCTGGTGTCCACTTGAGGACTAGGCAGACACCTGGGGCCTGGTGTTCATCTTGCACCCAGTGTCCACCTGGACCCTGTGTATCAACCTGTGGCCTAGGTGGCCACTTGGAGCTTTACGTGCACCTGGGGCCTGAGAGGTTCCTAGGATCTGATGACCACTGGGGCCCAGGTATCCACCTGGGATATCAGGCTTCAAGTGTACACCCAGGCTCCATGTGGACACCAGGCCAGGAGAACGCCAGCCCTTATCTGAACATCAGGTCCTAGATGGACTCCCAGGCTCCATGTGTACATCAGGCCCCAGGTATACATGGGACTCCAGGTGGACACCAGCACTCAATTGGATACACACCCTGAAGGTGGATACCAGGCCCCACGGGAATTCCTACACTCCAGGTGAACATCAGGTCCCAAGTGGATACCTGGACCCCAGGTGGATACCAGTCTCTAAATTAATACCAGGCCTCAGATGGTCCTTAGGAGCCATGTGGGCATTCGTCATCAGGAAGTTACCTAGGCCCAAAGTGGACATCAGGCCCCATGTTGACACAAGATCTAGTTGGAAGTCAGGCACCAGGTGGACACCCAGGCCCTAGGTAAATACTTAGGTCCCAAGTTGACAGCAGGCCCTATGTGAACACTCAGAACTCAGGTGGACATCAGGCCTCAGGTGGACATCTGAGTTCATCTGGAACCTCGTGTTACAGGCCCCATGTAAACACCAGGCCTTAGGTGGATACCCAATCTCTAGGTGGACATCAGAGCTCAGATTGACACAAAGACTCCAGTAGACATAATGTACCAATGAATATCCAGGCACCCGGTAAATACCCAGGCCCCAGATTGACACCACGGTCTATGTGGACACACAGGCCCCGGGTAGTAAACAGGCCCAAGGTGGACACTGGACTGGACATCAGGTCCTAGGTTGACAACCATGCTCCAAGTTGACACCAGGCCCCAAGCGAACATCTGGCCCCAGCTGGACACTAGTCCCCTGGTGAATACCTAGTCTCAAGGTTGACATCAGACCCTATGTGAACACTAGACCCCAGATAAACACTTATACCCTAAGTGGACATCAGGCCTCAGGTGGTTACCCAGTCCCAAGGTGAACATCAGGACCCCGATGGCACCAGTTATCAAGTGGATTCCTAGGCCCCAGGTGAATATCAAGCCCTAGGTGGATACCGAGCCCCAGGTGGATACCTGGATCCTGGTAGACATCAGGTCCCAAGAGGACACTAGAACCCAGGAGTACATTAGGCCACAGGTTAACACGAAGGCCCCAGATGAATACCAGGCCAACTTGTGGACATCAGGCCTGAGAAGGGTCCTGTGGACATCAGGCCTGAGAAGGGTCCAGGTGGATATCAGGCCCCAGGTGAACATCCAGCACTCAGATGAACATTAAGCTTCAGGTAGGCATCATGCCTCAGGTGAACTCCAGGCCCCAGCTGAACATCAGGCCTCAGGTGGATGCCCAGAATCCGGGTGCACATCTGGCCACAGTTGGACATTCAACCCCAGGTGACCATCAGGCCATGGGTGAATACACGGTTTCCAGGTAGACATCAGATCAAAGGGGAACATCAGTCCCCCAGTGGACATCAGGCCCAAGGTGGACACTCAACTAGAGGTTTACATCAGGCCACATGTTGACACCTAGTCCCAGGTGGACATCAGGCCCCAGCTAGATACCTAGGCTTCCAGTGAATTTCAGACACCAGGTTGACATTCAGGCCCCCAGTGGTCATCTGGCCTCATGCGAACACTCAGACCCCAGGTGCAAATGATGTCTCAACTGGATACCAAACCCCTTGTTTGATAACCAAGGCCCAGGTGGACACCATGTCCAAGGCTGACACTCAAGCCCTAAGTGAATACCAAACTCTAGGTGAATAATTCAACCCAGGTGGTCATTAGGACCCAGCTGGATACCAGTCCCCAGGTTAACACAAGGCCCCCAGTGGGCACCTAGGCACCAGCTGGACATCAGGCCCTATGTAAATACCCGGGTCTCAGGTGAACACCATGCCCCAGGTGGACATCAGGCACTAGGTGAACACGGGGCCACAGGTGGACATCTAGCCCCTGGGCAACATCCAGCCCCAGGCGGACATAACCATTTCCATGGATAAACCATTCCCAGGTGGATATCAGGCCTCAAGAGGATGGCAGTCACCAGGTAGACATCAGGCCTCAGATAGACACCAAGGTCCCAGATGTACAGCAGGCCCCAACTGAACCCCAGACTCATGTGGACATCAGGCCACAGGTAGACACCAAGCCTTAGGTAGATACCTAACTTCAGGTAGTCATCAGACCCAAGGTGGACACCCAGTCCCCAGGTGGACAGTCAGGCCCCAGGCACACATCAGGCCTTAAGTGGACACCCAGGCCCCAGGTTGATATCCAGTTCCCAGGCGATCACCAAGCCCCAGGTAGACACCAGGCCGTAGGTGAGCAACAGGATGCAGTAGGTCATCAGGCCACAGCTGGATACCAGTCCCCGGTGATCACAAGGCCCCAGTGGGACATAGATCTAAGGCAGACATCAGGCCCCAGGTGGACATACAGATCTGAGGTGGAATTCACCCTGAGGGGGACATTCGGCCCCAGGTACGCATCAGGCCTCAGCTGAATAACCAGTCCCCAGGTGGACATTAACCCACAGGTCAACCACAGTCCCCAGGTTGATATCTGGTCCCCAGGTGGCTACTCAATCTGCAGGGTAACATTAGGCCCCTGTAGGATCCCAGGCCCCAAGTGGATTCCTAGGCCCCTGGTGAACATCAGGTGCAGGTGTCCAAGTAGGCCCTGGGTGGACATAACTGTGTACAGGTAAGGAGTTGACCTGTGGGGAGGATGAGCAGTCAGCAGCCCACTGGGGTCCTGAGTAGGTCTTCTGGAAGGAGGAGGCTGAGGGGATGGAACCTTAAAGAAGCAACCTCACTTCCTTGGCAACAGACCCTAACAGAACTTAGAATTCTGGTAACCAGGCCAGGCACGGTGGCTCACACCTGTAATCCCAGCACTTTGGGAGGCTGAGGCAGGAGGATCATGAAACCAGGAGATCGAGACCAGCCTGAACAACATGGTAAAACCACATGTCTACTAAAAATACAAAAAACAAACAAGGTCAGGAGATCGAGACCATCCTGGCTAACACAGTGAAACCCCGTCTCTACTAAAAATGCAAAAATTAGCCAGGCGTAGTGGTGGGCGCCTATAGTCCCAGCTACTCGGGAGGCTGAGGCAGGAGAAAGGCATGAACCCAGGACACGGAGCTTGCAGTGAGCCCAGATCACGCCACTGCACTCCATCCAGCCTGGGTGACAGAGCGAGACTCTGTCTCAAAACAAACAAACAAACAAAAAACAAACACAAAAAAACTAGCCAGGTGTTGTGGTGCGTGTCTCGTGCCTGTAATCCCAGCTACTCAGGAGACTGAGGCAGGAGAATTGATTGAACCCAATAGGCGGAAGTTGCAGCGAGCCGAGATCATGCCACTGCACTCCACCCTGGCCAACAGAATGAGACAATGTCTCAAAAAAAAAAAAAAAAAAAAAAAAAAAGAATCCCGATAACCAGGCACCAGGCACCCACATCCTAGAGTTAGCCCCATAGCCAGCTCACTTGGTGGGAGATGCTCAAGAGAGCAAGATGTTCTTGTGCTGCATCCCCACATCTCAAGTCTCCTGCTTCAGGAATGGCAGGAGTGAGAGCCTTTCTTTTCCAACGATGCCCTTGTAGGCTCATCCCTCACCCCAGATGTCTCTGGCCATTTGACAGAAGGCCCCCCCAGGTACCACAGGACAGGAGTCACCAGGTAGACATCAGGCCCCAGATGGAGCTACCAGGCCAGGCCTCACCAGTGATCCCACCAGGGCCACATCTGCACATTGTCCTTGTCCAGCTGGAGCCTCTGGAGCTCATTGAGACACAGGCACATGGTGAGGTCACCTGCAGTCTGGAAGTCTTTCCAGGGACAATGTTTTCAGGCTGAAATTCCTTTAAATTCAGTGAGGTTGTTTTCATGTTTGGAAATTCCAGTGGAAAGTGAGTGATATTGGTGACCTCTCTCCTTTTTCAGCTCCTGCTTCAGGTGCAGAAACACAGCTATTTCCAGTGCCAGCTGTTGAGCCAGTGCCAGCACCAGGGGCAGAGCCCCTTCCAGGGACAGCGCTGGAGCTAGAGGAAGCTCCAGAGCCTTCCTGCCGCTGCCCTGGGACTGCACAGGACCAGCCCAGTGAGAAGCTGCCTGACTTCATGGCACCTCCTGTAGAGCCACCGGCCTCAGCCCTGGAGCTGAAAGTGTGGCTGGAGCTAGAGGTGGCAGAGAGGGGGTGACCAGCACAGCTCCAGCCAGCAGCTCCCACACTGCTCCCAGTCCTGGGCACAGTGGAAGCTATGGAGGCAGAGACCAGGGTGTGCAACCTGGGCTCCTCTGCCTCACTGGAGAGGGACTTCTCTCATTCAGCAGAGCAGCAGCCCTGCTGCTGAAGGCCCTGCTGCTACTGCTGCTGGGGGTGTTTGCCTGCCTGCAGGAGGTGCTGGAGAGCAAGAAAAGGAGCCTGTGAGCAGGGGTTCCAGCAGGTCCTCCGGCTCCCAGAGGTGACCTCCTCCTCCAGGAATGGAGGTTTGCCCTCAGCTGGGCATCTGGGCCATTTGCCTCTAATGTGCTGCCCAGGATGGCCTCTTCTTGACAGGTGGACAGGGGTTGAGGGGGCCAGGGGGCATCTCCAAAGGAAGCTCTTAAACTCAGCAGCAGCACTCCAGAATCTCCATGCCTGCACCTGCCCAAGGATTTATTCATAGCTTAACTAAGAATTTCAAATTTCTACCATAACACTGAAATAAAGTTTGACTTTTTGAAACTTCTATGACTTCTTTCACTCCCTAATATTGTAGATGGTGTTTTTGAGGTGACGTTGAAAACCTCTGATAGTTGTGTGTTTTGTTGTGGTTCTTTGGGTGACTAAATTACCATCTGATCAAGTGATATCGAAAACCCTTCAGGTATGGCTTTTAGAAGACTTTGACCTATTTTTGCTTGTGTTGACTCTCCCTCCAGCTTTGTGGAAAGAGGGATCATGTAGGTTCATTTCTCAGGCAGATCAGTCACCTTTTGCCATCAAAGTTTTAGCATCCATTTCGAAAATTTGGTGTACAAGTTGATATTTTGGTGTTTTTAGCTAATCTGGGGTCAAAACAGAATGCCATAGATGAGGAAGCTTATAAACAAATTTGTTTCTCTCAGTTCTGGAGATGGCAAAATTCAAGGTCAAGTGGTTAGCAGATTCTGTGTCTGGTGTGGGCTTGCTTTGTGGTTCATAGCCATGTTTCTACCATGTCCTCACATGACAGAAGAGATGAGGGAGCTCTCTATGGTGCCTTCAATAGGGGCTACTAATCCCACTCATGTGGTCCCTGCCTTCATGATCTAATCATTCCCCAAGGCCCTACCTCCAAATATCATCACATAGGGAATTAGATTTCAACACTTGAATTTGAGAGGGACAATAACATTTGGTCTATAGCATCAGGTTACCCAGAGCCTTATGCATTCGGAGGAAATCCAAAATCTTCTATAAGTATTTGCTGGTCCCCTCTGGGCTTAGGGAAATCTTTAATTGCAGCTCTTGATTCAGCTTCGTCCAAGCCGAAATTCTACGTTTGCCTGGGTAACTTGTTCATGGGACAGAGGGAAGTATAGAGGCAACTGACCATTTGGAGTTTTAGGACAATTGATGGAAGAGGGCTTGGCATCTGGATGAGAAGTGGAGGGAGAATAGAACAAAGGCACAGAAGGAGAGAGCACAGTGAGAAAGGGGAAGAGGGACATCTGGACATAAGGGCCAACTGGAGGGCAGGGAAGGTAATTTTCCTTGCATTTTAAACTCAGACCACATATCACATCAGAATCACCTGAGGGAGACGTTTTCAATGCATATTCCTGGGTTTCTTCTCTTGGAATTTTTTATTAAATCTTGAGTTGTGCTGATTTATCCACATTTATCATAAGAATTTTGGATAATTCTTACTTTGAGAGGCCCAGGCAGTGGATCACTTGAGGTCAGGAATTCAAAACCAGCCTGGCCAACATGGTGAAACCTCATCTCTACTAAAAATACAAAAATTAGCCAGGCATGGTGGTACATGCCTGTAGTCCCAGCTACTTGGGAGGCTGAGGCAGGAGAATCACTTGAATCAGGGAGGCAGAGATGACAGTGAGCTGAGATCACACCACTGCACTCCAGCCTGGGCAACAGTAAGACTCCATCTCAAAAAAAAAAAAAAAAAAAAAAAAAAAAAAAAAAAAAAAAAAAGAATTGTGGATAATTCTGATGCAATTAGAAAACAAAGCAGAGCTTGACAACCACTGGGTTGGGACGTATATCAGGAAGACATTTGATTATGTAAAATAACTGCAAAACAAACTGAAGGGGAATTATTTTAAAATGCTTGAATATAATTATATAATTCAACTCTTCTTATGTATGTAGTTTGACCACATATTTGATGTCTGCTATACTAAGATTGGAAATGTGTAGAAGTTTTTTTAAAAATCAGGTAGAAGCACAGAAAAAAGGAGTTGGAGAGAAAAGAAAACTAGCTATTGTCTGGTAACAAGAGAAGAGAAGGGAAACGAAGTAGCATATTTTTGTTCATTGTTTGATGGCATCTAAATTATGATCCCAAATATTTTTTTCCTAAGAAATCCAATAATACAAGTATTCAGAGTGGAGTACCAACACTGATTTACTGGGAAAGAGAAGTGTACTCTGTTTTGCTGCACAATGTTGAGGGAGAAGGAAAGGAAAATTATTTGAGTAAACAAGTAAGAGACTCGTCCTCAGGGAAGCTGTCTGCCTGAAAAATCACAACTACTGCACCTACAGATAAGCCCTGAACAGATAAGCATGCAGGGTCCAGCACAGATGCCTTCTGTTCTTTGTGTATTTGGCAAGCTCCCAGGTAAAATTTTCCTCCCTTTTTCAGGCATATACATGGCGGTCTCTGTGGGAACTTGCGCAGGGAGGAGGGGGGCTTACCTAAAACAAACCCACAGTTATAGAAACAAGAGAAGCCCACTTTGTGCTTGACTAGAGACATACCCACAGCTGGATATATAAAGGGAATTGTGCCGACAGTTTTATATATAGCTGAGAGGAGTTTCTTATAAAAGCTTTTTGATTCAACTGTAAAAACGGCAATCCACTTGGACGCCCTTGTCTGCTGCAGAGAGCTTCCTCCTTTTGCTTGTTAAACTTTCACTCCCACCTCACCTGTGTGTCCCCGTCCCTTAATCATCTTGGTGGTGAGATGAAGAACGCCAGGTGATACCTCACAAGAGAGACTGCTACGTTGTGGTGCATTGGCGAGACTGCAACTTTAAGAAGTGTGACTTTTATTGCTGCTGAATTATTTTATCTCCTACCCAATTGAAAATAAAGGATATAAAGTGCTTAGGTTGAACACAAAGTCCTCTGCTCTAGGTAACATCTTCAGCAGCCACATTAGCAGAGGCATGGGTGGTAATGGTGGAGTAGATATCTCTTTGCTTCTGACAGGGTGTCTGCTTATGTGTTAAACAAAATAGTATGGTATATATTTCATTAAGAAATCTGCTAAAAAATGAAGTAAAACAGGTTCATGTTCTTAAGAGGCACAGGATTTGCTACGGCAGCAAGACCAAAAGGCTTAAGTAACAAAAATGTGCATAGTAGTTACAAACATTTTCATCTAAACAAAACAATGTGAGCATCTGCATATGACAATAACTTATGCAAAAAATATTTTTAACTGAGATTGAAATCATTTTATACATAACAAATGTTATCACTGTATTCTCAGGTAATATATTGTTTGTATATAGATGTTATAAATAGTAACTTATTTAAGTTATTCATCATTTATACAACAATTAATTCTTTGGAATCTACAAAATGCTGGTTTTGTTCTAGGCACTGAATGTACAAATTGATTTAAAATATGTGTTCTTAGAGTGTGGTAGATTAAAAAATACAAAATAGGCCGGGCACAGTGGCTCACACCTGTAATCCCAGCACTTTGGGAGTCCAAGGTAGGTGGATCACCTGAGGTCAGGAGTTCGAGACCAGCCTGACCAACATGGTGAAACCCCATCTCTACTAAAAATACAAAATTAGCCGAGGGTGGTGGCACAAGCCTGTAGTCCCAGCTACTCGGGAGGCAGAGGCAGGACAATCGCTTGAACCCGGGAGGTGGAGGTGGCAGTGAGCCGAGATTGCACCATTGCACTCCAGCCTGGGCAACAAGAGCAAAACTCTGCCTAATACATATACATATATTATGCATAGATACTTATATACATATGTGTGTGTATATATATACATATGTGTATATATAACATATATACATATGCGTGTATATATAACATATATACATATGCGTATATATAACATATATACATATGCGTGTATATATAACATACATATGCGTGTATATATAACATATATACATATGCGTGTATATATAACATATATACATATGCGTGTATATATAACATATATACATATGTGTGTATATACATATATACGTAATATATAATATATGCATATGTATTATATACATATATACATAATATATAATATATACATATGTATTATATACATACATACATAATATATAATATATGCATATGTATAATATACATATATATCTGTCTAATATATATACATATATACATATATTAAATATATATACATATATACATATATTAAATATATATACACATATATGTTAGAAGTTGTACTGCTGAAAACAAGAGCTACCAATAAAAAAATTTCAGGAAACCTAGTGTGATTATTTTTAATAGAAATGGATATTTTAATACAGGTCTCTTGTTTTTTCTTGTGGAAATAAATGACAAGATGGAATTTCTGGGTGTTTGGTATCTGAATATTTAAGTATAGCAGGTATGGTCAGTTTTTCAAAGGCATTTTACCATCTTACTTGTCCATCGGTAACTCATAAGATATGTGGAACAACGTCCTCTCCAACAACCTCTAGTATCAGTCTTTGTAAAGTTTGTCAATTAAATGGGTGTTTTTTTGTTTTTGTTTTTCTTTTTGAGACCGTCTCACCCTGTCACCCAGGCTGTAGTGCTGCTGCGTGATCTTAGCTCACTGCAGTCTTTGCCTTCCAGGTTCAAGTGATTCTCCTGCCTTGGCCTCTCAAGTAACTGGGATTACAGGTGCCCCCCACCACACCCAGCTAATTTTTATATGTTTAGTAAAGACAGGGTTTCACCATATTGGCCAAGCTGTTCTCAATCCTGACCTCAGATGGTCCACCTGTCTCAGCCTCCTAAAGCGCTGGGATTACAGTCATGAGCCACCGCACTTGGCTGGGTTTTCTCTCTCTCTCTCTCTCTCTCTACTTTAAGTTCTGGGATAAATGTGCAGAACATGCAGTTTTGTTGCACAGGTATACATGTGTCATGGTGGTTTGCTGCAACATGGGTGTAGGTTTTGCAGGTAATTATTATATTATTAAAAGATAACAGAATACCTAGCTAAAAAAAAATGCGAGGAGGCATTGATGGGCACATGTTTACTGAGCACATCCTGACTCCAGAATTAAAAATCCAATTTATGCCTCTGCAGTCCAATAAAATTTTTCCTTAAGAATCCAGGGATCAGACTTTCATCTCAGCAACCACTCCAATATGGTTTCTCACCTACTCATTCCAACGAGCTGCTCATATCAAAATATAAGTGCTATCCATATTGTTAAATTATAAATTGAACCATAACTTCTCAGCCTTCATCTTAATTTATATATCAGCAGCATTTCACACAGTCTATCTCCACCTTCTCTTTGTAAAACTTTTTTACAGAATTCCAGAACACTTAACTTACTTTCCCCCCACCACGTTTTTGAAAATTACCCCTAGTCCTTTTTTGCAGGTTTCATCTTTACTATTTTTCAAATGTTAGAGGACCATTAGGCTCAGGAATTTCACTTCTTATCTTTCTTATCTTTGCTTTCTTACTAATTTTTGTGTCATTAATTTCCTGATATTTCATATTACACCTAAACACTGGACACTACACCCAACACTCCCTGACTTATCCACGTGGATGTCAGTTAGGAATCTCAAAATTAATATGTCTGTATGGAGCCACTGAAACTCCCCAAATTTGCTCTTCCCCATTCTGTTTAATGGCAACTCCCATTTTATAGTTTCTCAGCTCAATATTCTTGGTGTCCCCTTTTAATTCTGTCTCTGTAGCTCTGTCACTCTCTTCCTGTATCTGTCTGATTCTCTCCCTCTCTCTCCTCTCTCTCTTGCTCACTCTCACTCTTGCTCTCTCTCCCTGCTTCACACACACACAAACACAGACAGACACACACACACACACACACGCACATTTTCAGATCTGATGTGTATGGAATTCCTGCCAGCTTTACCTTTAAAGTGTAATAATTCCAAATGTTGTTTCCAAATTCACATTCCCACCCCCACCACTTGGTAACTATAGCGCTTCCCTCACAAGGCCAAGTGCAGAGATTTCTTGGGGAAATAATGAGAACTATTATACATTCTTATTTCAAGGACCCTTAAAATTATAGGATTACCATATTTGATACTAATTTAAGCTTCTGTCATTGCCCTTTTTTAAATCCAGTCTCCACACAGCTACCACAGTGTGCAAGTAGAAGTCTCAGCCATATCACCACACTCCTGCTTTAATGTCCCTACTCCATTGCTGCTTTTCTCCTTCAGAAGAGTTTAAGCTTAATGAAGCTGGGCAACTTTACATATTTTTCCACGAGCTGGAGATCACTTGGTGTAAGGTAAAAATGATCAGTAAATATTTTCAAATAACAGAATCCACGAATAATAGTTTTGTTTCTTTGAGAGTACATTAACTTTTAAAAATCAAGAAAATAGATTGGTCAAGAGAATTCTGCTTGTTTTGATTTTGTTATCCCTCGATTAGATTAACTGTGTTAGTATAAATGTCAGTGTGGAAAGCTATAAGCATTTCCTAAACTTTAAAATGAAAGGCATGGAATTTAAATATCTGCTCCTTTTATTCAAACAACCAAAAAACACAACTTTTTAAATATATTTTATGTATGTATGAAATCTAAATTTATTTTTCTCTCTTTATCCCTGAATACTTTTTAAAATTATTCATGTCCTCATTATTTTTTAATCCACTTCAGTCACATTTTAAAATATATTTTCGACTTCATTAAGAATATCTTTGTGTTCCACTGAATAGCTTGCCAAATAATAAAACATTAGCAGTATAATTTCCTCATAAACTTTATTTAATTTGCTTGGTTAAACATAGATTTCCTACTCTCAACTCATAATTTCATTCAATAAGAAGTATAATATATTCTACTTGACATTTGCGGGGTTTTCATACCATGCATTTGTCATTGAAATTGGTTTTTGATATTTGAACCACTAGTTTATAATTGTATTGTTGGTTAGACTGGTCTGTAGAATCTTTCTTCGTTTTGATTCTGTGGTTTATTCATTATGGAGTAGCTGTGCTATTGTAAATTTTGAGGTCAAAAGCTTAAAACATTTTATGTATTTTCAAACAAAGTGGATGGCATTTAAATATCTGTTCCTTAAAATTTGGAAGAAAGGTTAACACCATATAAACCCAGAGCCTGTTTTTTAGATTAGTAGCACGTAGACATTTTCAATTTCTTCTAAAGTTGAAAAAAATAAACATTTTATATTCATAGAATGCTTGATGAAGGTAAATATTTAATTTTCACTTAAAATAAATTTGGTTACATTGAAAGGAAATTTGGCTAATGTAAGTTAGATACATTTCTAATTAAAACAATAATTTAAGATAAATAATGCTCAAAGAACAGTGGTCACTGCATTTATTCCAGAGAGAGGACATTTATCCTGATCTGACTGTAATAACGTAGTAGGTAGAACTGCTGGCGTCGACACCCAAGCAAGGAAGGGAAGCTGGTGTCTCAAGGGGTCCCGCTGAGATGGAAAGGGTTCAGGGCCCAGACTGTTGATGTCACCTGGACCCAACCACCATGTCTCAGAAGAAGAAATGACACTCCCCTCCTGGTGCCACCCCAAACAAGGAGCTTAGCAGTGTTGCACACAGGATAGTCCTTGCAGGAGACACGTTTGACAAGTTGCTGAGGTGCCTGATGGGGCCAGGCTTTTTTTCATGAAATGAGTTTGCATCGTGAGGAAGCCTTTTTATTGGAAACCTGGCAGGGATCCAATTTCCCCTTTGCCTTAACCCCGTAGGAGCACAGTAGACAGGGAGGAGGTCACCCAGGTGGCTGTTCCTGCTTGGCCCCCACTTCCCAGACCATTCCAGGCAGGGAGAGCCGCTGAGATCACTCCATGGGCTGCTCACATGTGGTCTGGACCCAGCCACCCTCCTGTGCCTGGCAGGCAGCCTCTGGGCCATCAGAGGACCCACTGTGTGGAGATCAGTGGCCCACCACCTGCCCTTGTGGTGGGTGCAGTTCACAGGTGCTGCCCCGGTCCTGGCACACTGGCCTTCCCAGCCTGGCCCAGGATAGGGGATGTGAATGATCCTTGCCTGTGCCCCTTCAGACCATGTGAGGTTGGACACTCACTGCAGAAGTCCCTCCAGGTCCCTTTTCAACTGAGTTGTGGGGGACTTGCTTAGTCCTCATGCCCAGGGTCAGGGGAGGGGTGCAGAGTCTGCACCCTAAATCCCCTGGGGCTTGAGGGAGGTCTCCCAGGTGACCTCTGTCCTCTCCAGTGACATGAGTCCTCCCAGATGGCCTCAGCCCTCTCAGGTGACATGCTTCCATGGTGACTCTGGCTCTTGCAGGAGGTGGGCTACTACAGGGACATGAGCTGCCTAACTGCCATCCTCCTCCTGTATCTGCCAGAGGAAGACAACTTCTGGGCACTGGATCAGCGGATGGCTGAGGAGAGGCACTCCCTGCAGGGTAGGTGGACAGCTACCCCCAGGGCCTCACACAGCCGGGCCATGGGACGGCCACCCTGGCTGGGCGATCCTGACTTCCAGGCAAGGCAGTTTCCTTGTTTTCCAGCTTGTTAGGAGCCTTCAGGACATCCCTGCTGGGGGTCCCAGAGGGGCCCATAGCTGAACAGGGACCCTTTCACTTCAAGGTGGACACCTTTCATTCCCAACAGCAGAGGGCGCTGCAGCCTCCCCCTGGCCACCCTGTGTGTCCCAGAGCCACAGCCCTCTAGCCCTGAGTTCATGCAGGTGACTCTCACTTCCCCAAGAGTCCTCCTACCTCCCAGCTGGCCACACTCCCAGCTGCCCCCCTAGCCCACAGATGGGCCAATGAAGTCAAGATGGCAGTGTCTGCCCATCCCATGTCCCCTAGCCAGACCCCATGTCCAGGAGATGGCCATGTAGTCCTTCAGCACCCACCCGGTTCCCTCCACTAGCCACTGCCTGCCCCAGCCCTGCCTCACAGCCTCAAAGGCAGGCCTGCCCTCCTGGCACCTTTACCCAGGATGCTGCTGTGCAGTGCCTCCAGCTAGGGCCCATCTCCCTAGAGCTGAGACCACATGGTAGGGTCACCTGATGGAAGGGAGGAAGGCCTCAGGGTCCGGGGTCCCCTGCCACTGCCCAGCTCTTCCAGCTGATGGCTCCACATCTTGGGAGTGGGCTCTGATGCATGATGGGTCAGGGGCTTCTCAGGTTTCTACAGCCCAAATACTGCCCAGCTCCGGAGGCTCCTATCCCACCAGGAGTAGGTATAACACAAATCCTTCCCAAAGATCATGCGGTACCTGCTGAGTGGATGACACCCTCAACTCTTTCCCAGAGGCCCAGGGTCCCATGGGGCAGGGAAACAAGGGAAGATGGAGCTCCTCGAGGGCCTGACAAGGGGCTGAGTCCCAGCCAGGGCCTCACCCAAGATGAGGATTCTCCATGGGTTTGGAGTTGGGTTTCCTTTTCCTGCCCTGGAGGAGGAGGCAGAGGTACTAGGATGGGGGCTGAGCTCCAGCTGAGCAGGGTTAAGGGAAGTGTGTCCACCAGGCATCTGTGCATGGGGGAGTTGTTGGGAAAGCACTGGCCACTGCCCAGTGTTCTGCCCCAGGGCAGCTCAGGGGGCCCTGAGCACCTAGGGTCCAGGAAGTGCCGTGCATTGAGGTTTGTTGAGTTGGCTCCTCTGGTGTTTTGCTGATGGGGTAAGGAGGCAAATGGAGACCCCAGGCCAGGGACTCTCCTGTCCCACAAGTGCCCAGCTCCCCCAGGAGGACCTGGCTCACCCCAAGCCAGCAGGAAGCACAGGAAAGTTTCTGCATGGCACAGAAGCCAGGCCCTCCTCAAGAGGGGGCATCACACTGCAGGTGTCAGGACTCAGGCCCACTGCTATTTCCACATTATTAATTTTATAAGGTGATATGGTTTGGCTGCGTTGCCACCCAAATCTCATCTTGAACTGTAATTTCCATAATCCTCATGTGTCCTGGGAGGGACCCAGTGAGAGGTAACTGAATCATGGTGGCAGTTTCCCCATGCTGTTCTCATGATAGTAAGTGAGTTCTCATGTGATCTGATGGTTTTATAAGCAGCTGGCATTTCCCTTGCTTGAGGTGATGAATGCCCCATTTACCCTGATGTGATTATTACACATTGCATGCCTGTGTCAAACTATCTCATGTACCCCATAAATATATACACCTACCATGTACTCATATAAATTAAAAATAAAAATAAATTTTTTAAAAAAGTGTGAGTTTTAAAGGTGAGGTTTGCCCTCCAGCGCTGGTGCCTGCCAGGTGTGACCTTCACATCATCTTTCCACATGGTCCAGGTCCCCATCTGCAGAGGCCAACAGTTCCCAGAGTGACCTTCCTCAGAAAACAGGGTCTTGGAGGAGACAGTCAGAGGAGGGGGCCTCGTCCTCCCCACTGCACAGCCCCTTGTGGGGATTGGAAGTGAGGATCTCTGCCCACAAGTTGGCAGTCACCCTAAGCTGTTTTGTGGGAGGAAGCATAGGGAATATAGGTCAGTGCTGGAACAGCATTTCCTGATCCTGACTTGGAGAAGGTGTTAAAATCTTGACATTCCCGACTCCTCCTTTGTGAGAGCCCCTGTCCTGCAGGTCTCACAGGGTTGTTGTGAGGGCCACCTGTGGTGATGGGTTTGGAAGTGCTTTGTGAATGACACAGTGGGCCTTCCTATTCCTGTCATTGGCCTTTCGACCTTCAATACTAATTGCCTGGGGATCTCCAGGCCTCAAGGTCTAATCCTGGAAGGGTATGAGATGTCCCTAGTGGAATATTCTACACCTCCTGGGAGGTCTCTCACTTCAACCTTCACCTGACATAACCCCTGCTCCTGTTCCCTCAACCTGGAGAGCTTGCCCAGGAGCACAGGGTAGTACTGGACTGACCTCTTTGGAAAGGGTGATTACATCCTCATTTCAGCTCTCCCTCCTCCTAGTTTTCCACGTAGAAATCCAGGGCTCCATGCAGCATTTGCTGGACATGAGGGGAAAACTTTTAGGGCAGGCATCTGCCCTGGGTGGGGACAGAGGAGTATCCTGGAGTCTGAGTGTCAGGAGTGTGAGACCTGCCCAGCTGGCCAGCCCCTGTCCCCATGCTGCTCGATGCATGATGTTTCCTGCACAAGCTTCCTTTAGAGGGAAGCTTCCGGAGTGACTGCAGTGAGGTCCATGCTGTTGGGGGTGACAGAGCAGCCCTGGAGGCCCTCTGCTCTTACCCTGGCAGGAGGTGGCCAAAAAGAAGCAGGCAGAGGAAGCTTCTCCAACACGCTTGGAAAGAAATTTCCACATATCACTCACGTCACTCTTGCCACTAGAAGGAAAATTTCTACAGTGGAGTGGAAGAAAATGACTATGCTGTGGGAGAGAATGGATGCATCCAGAAGAGCAAGGGGGGAGGGAAATGTGCCCATTGCCAGAATTTTGTGTCTTTTGAAGACATTGGCCAGAATTCTACTTTTGAAGGCTGCCCCTTTTGACAATCAGTTACTGAGGAAGCTGTGGGACATTTTCAAAGCCTTTTATATAAAAAAAAACACACAATATACTGCTGTGGGTCTGTGTTCAGGGACTATGAAGAGCACAGCTGCCACTGTTCTGTGTCGCAGATGCTGTGGGAAGTGCCTTAACACACAGAGGTTTGCTTCATGCAACCAGGTGAGGAACATCTCTAAAACATTTTACAGTCAAGAAAATTCAGTGTTCAGGAGGTTGAATGCGTTATCCAAGATCACACATATGTCCTGACAGATTTGGGGTTCAATGAAGAATTATGTATTTTAATTAAGAATTATGTATTTTAATTAATAATTATATATTTTAATTTCACATTTTAAATTTCTGCAGTTTCCTTCCATCACTTTTCACCATGCTTTCTACACTTGGAATTACTTTTTTTGGCTTCTTGATCTTCTTTACTTGTATGTTATTGATTTTCTACAAGTTTTAACATATATGATTAAAGAATATTTCTTAATGTTTTAATAATTATCCTAGAATAAAATATATTTACTTTGATGTATGCATTGGATATTACAGTGTATTGTGTACATTTTCAAACACTTTGTGTTATACCAGAAGCATTATTCAACAGTGGTCATTTTTTTACCTGAACTATGTTCAGAAAATCTTTCCACCACAGTACAAAAGATCGACTTCATTTTGTTAACAGATGGATGTGCCATAGTGCAATTAACTGTTTAATTATCCTGTTATCCTGTTGTGGATATTTAAGTTCAAACAATGCAGTAATAAATATGCAAGAGTGCTTTTAGACATTAAACAATATGGCTCTAAATTAGGGACCTAGTGCCTGTAATCCCAGCACTTTGGGAGGTCGAGGTGGGTGGATCACCTGAGGTCAGAAGTTTTGAGACCAGCCTGGCCAACATGGCAAAACCCCGTTTCTACAAAAAATACAAAAATTAGCTGGGTATGGTGATGCGCACTTGTAGCCCCAGCTACTCGGGAGGCTGAGGTAGGACAATTGCCTGAACCCACGAGGCAGAGGTTGCAGTGAGCTGAGATCCTGTCACTGTACTCCAGTCTGCGGGACAGAGTGAGACTCTGTCCCAATAATAAATAAATAAATAAATAATCTAGAAGTACAATTGCTTAGCCAAATTTCTTATGCATTTTGAATGATAAGAGTTGCTGCCTCATTTCTGTTACAAAGGCTATGGTAATTTACGCTCAAAACACAGAATAGGTTGGTTGTTGTCACATATGGAGTCTTACTGTTGCCGAGACTGGAGTGCAGTGGTGTAATCCTAGCTCGTTGTAGCCTCCAACGCCTAGGCTCAAGCAATCCTCTTACCTCAGCCTCCCTCCCAATTAACTAGGATTACAGGTGCATGCCACCACACCCGGCTAATTTTATTCTTAGTTATGGGATCTTGCTATGTTGCCCAGGCTGGTCTTGAAATCCTGGCCTCAAGGTGACCTCAGCCTCCAGTGTAGCTGACATTACAGGCGTGAGACACTGTACCTGGCTGAATGAGTGCCTCTATCCTGACACTTGTGTCCCCACGGGATCCTGCAGAATTCAGGACCCTGTCCACACAGGGGAAAACTCTCTGTTGGGGTCCTGATGACTGAGGAGGGAGCTTACCCATGGCTCTCCTGGTCATTTTTATTTAATAGTGAGCACAGAACCTCACATTTTCTGGAATGTTCCCATATGATTTTGTGAGAGAAAAGAGAATAGAGACCCCAACCCCAAGCTCACTGTGTCAAAGGGAAAATTAAGCTTGGGAACTGAGTTACGCAATACTGCCTTCCTTGTTCTCAAACACATAGCTATAACTTCACAACCCTGTGTCATAGCCTCATCCATAAGCCAGGTTCACACAGTGACAGAAGGCCGCATGTCTCCTCAGATGTCCTCCCTCACAATTTGCTGTGAACCCCTAAATCTTTCAGAATGCACATCCCACCTTAAACTATCCCTAAAAGTGAGTCGGCTCAATTTCACCCTGACAATCTCAATTACCAGCTTATTTTCATAGTTCTGGGACAAGGTCAGGACCAGAAATCATCCCTCTGCCTATCCTGAGATGAATGAATCATTGAGTTTTCCTCTACTCCACTCCCTCTATTCACATGCTTACTTTATCTTATGTAAAATGGAGATTTACTGAATGTGAGATGAACGCATAACTGTTTCCTCTGCTCCCTCCTTTCCTATGTAAAATGTAGATATCCTGATGCTAATCAGAGCCACACAAGAATGCAAGCATTTGCTTCACTGCCTACCTTCAGTCTCGCGGGAGTTCTCTGGATTTCTTGTATCAGCATGTGGACCTCTTTAGCAAGATTGAGGACAGTTTCCTCAATTATATCCTCAAAAACGTTTTCCAAGTTGCTCACTTTCTCTTCTTCTCTGTTAGAAATGCCAGTAAGTCAGCTGGGCACAGTGGCTCATGCCAGTAATCCCAGCACTTTGGGAGGCCAAGGTGGGAGGATCACCCGAGGCCAGAAGTTTGAGATCTAACTGGCCAGCATGGCGAAACCCCATCTTTACTAAAAATACAAAAATTAGCGAGGCATGCTGGCACACGCCTGTAATCTCAGATACTTGGGAGGCTGAGGCACGAGAATTGCTTGAACCCAGGAGGTGGAGGTTTCAGTGAGCCAAGATCATGCCACTGCACTACAGACTGGGTAACAGAGTGAGATTCTGTCTCAAAAAAAAAAAAATTCCAATAAGTCATAGATTTTGTTCCTTTACATAATCCTACATTTCTCAAAAGTTTGGTTCATTATTTTTAAATTCTTTTTTTATTTTTGTCTGACTGGGTTGATTCAAAGGTCTGGTCTTTGAGCTCTTAAATTATTTCTTCTATTTGGTCTAGTCTGTTGCTAAGGCTGTGAACTGTTTTTTGAAATTCCTATAGTAAATTTTTCAATGCAAGAAGCTCTGCTTGGTTCTTTCTCAATATGGCTATGTTGTCATTCAAATCCAGGATCGTTGTTATGGGGTTGTTGCTGGATTTCAACTTTCTGTTGGCTTTTGGTGATTTTTTTTGCCACTTATATCTTGAGTACTATACCTGTCATTTCAGACGTTGCATTCTGGTTAGGACGCATTGCTAGATTGCTGGTGTAATCCTTTGGAGGTGATGGAACATTCTGGCTTTTTGTATTGCCAGAGTTCTTGTGATGGTTTCTTCTCATCTGAGAGACTTGATGCTTCCTTTGTTGAATTTGCTATCATTTGGAAGGAGTTTTTTTTTAAATTTTTCATTCTTTCTTTCTCTTAAGGGTATGACTGTGGTGTATGTTGTATAGGATCATTTTGCTTCATTTCTGGGTACTTTCAGAGGACCAAGGCTCTGTACAAGTTCCTTGGTTGCAGATAGGCTCCTGTGGTGGCTTGGTGTGATGATGTATTTTTGTTTGGTGGTGTAATTCAGGCTTCAGTCCAGTAGACAGTGCTTAAGAGTAACAGCTGGCTGCAGGGTCTTCTCCTCTGTGTACTTGTCCTCGACAGGTGCAGAAGTGACAAAGTGCCAAAAGCGCCCTGTCCCAGTGGGTACTAGTCTTCAGCAGGGGCAGAGCTGCTGGAGAAACCTAAGAAGCAGCCTCTTTCAGCCCACGTTCCTTGGGTCCCAACAGGATGACCACTGCTGGATCTGCAGCAGTGCACTAGGAAGGGGACAGAGGGCAAGAGATGACCACCTCTCTAAATCTGTTCCTAGGCTTTGGTGTGCCCCTTTCAGCAGCTGATATCGTGATCGTGTTTCCTTTGACCCAAGGGGTGGCTTTGGCAAGCTGTATTCCTCCTTCCCTTAGGGCTGGTCCTCACCAAAGTTTAGGTCTCCTGGGGAATGGGGTTCACCTCCCTCTTGTTTCTTGGAACTGATGGAGTACTCTCTCAACTGACCAAGGGAGCAGGCTGAGACACCCAGCAATGACACACACAGACCAGTTCCAGGTTGCAAAGCTGTTCTTGGCTGCAAGTCTCACCATCCTTGAGAAACCTCTGCTTTAGCAACTCTCTTCCCACTACAGTCCTGCAAGAGGAAAGAGCCTAATACCAACACTTACTGCTGGGGCACTTTCCACACTCAACACTCAATTCTGGCTGTTGAGGCTGCTCCCCTGCTCCAGAGCAAGCACTCCATTTCCTAGCCCAAGATTAAAGTGTCTGCAGTGGCCACCATTGCCAGGCACCAAAAAATGATTGACTTTGTATGAGCCCAGATTAAAAAGGGCATCCTTCTCTCAGTCCCAGGTCTGGGTAAATGCCTGCAGCTTTTCTGAGTGTCTTTCCTCTTTCCCCATCTCTCAGCCACTTTTGTGCTAGCTCCAAGGCTTGGGAGAAACAGAGTGTTCTCCCTTAATCTGGATTGCACAAATCCCCAGTGAAAAGGTGAGTTGCAGAGGGAGACTGGCTGCTCTTCTCTCGTACTGGAGTTTCACTCCCTTCTATGAACCAAATGCTATCACAGAGTCTGCTTTCCCACCTCCCTGTCCACAGGGTCTGGAGTGTTCTTCTCTATTCCTGTGAATTCCTATTTTTCTTCTTGAATTGAAGCTCACAAAGTTTATCTTTATGCTTATTTTTCTACTTCCAAGTGGCTGAGGCACATTGAAAGCCCCTAATCCATCATTCTAGGAAAAGAGGATGGTTTAAATAAAGGAATGTTCATATAAAATATATATTAATTAGTGCAAACATATTTTATTTGACATGAGTTAGGTGAATCTTTGATACATTAATTAATTTTAAAATTGTTAAATAAAATTAGAAATATCTTCGAATTTGCCAAGGTATGTTTCTCTCCTGGGATTACTGGTCAGTTTTATTTTTTCCTTGGATAGACATTTTAAGCCATAAATCTTGACATAGACCTGATGTAGACCTCCATACCTTTCCCAGATGTGGGACGGAGCAACTGGGACAGGTCCATCCTAGCACTAAGGGATGATTAAACCTAACTTGTAGTCATTGTACAACTATAAACATGGTTGATGCTTTAAGAGAAAGATCTTGATGGAAAGGGTTAAATGTAAAAATTGATCATATGAATTGGGTCATTCTTATCACACCAAATAAAACCATCAACGAGCCAGGGGGAGGAGGCATTCAGGGCAAAAACACCACTCCAAAAGCGTAATTCTCTGCATGCCTGGCTGCTGAAATTACCTGCTTTAAGCTGAAACCAGTTTTATCAAATGGTTACTGAAACAACCTCTTGAACACTAAGACTAGCTTTACCCACCACTGTCCCTCACCTATCAGAGCCTGCCAGCTCTCAAAAACCTTACTGGTGTCAGTGAACTTTCTCAAAGAGAAATACATACCGTTTTTCTCTCTGTCTCCCTTTTTTATAAAACCTCTAACTTTCTCTTTATGTTTTGGACATACTAAAGACACCCATTCTGCATGTATGTGTGAAATTGTAATACTTGTATCTCAAATAAAACATTTTAATTTCAGATGTTTGTCTCTATATTTATTTGACTTTGACAATCTGATATTATTTAGCATTATTTCCAGTCTCCCAAATAATGTCAAAATTTTGTTATGTTAGATAGGAATATCTTGTTATTCAACTTGAAGGTAAACTGCTTGATCAATGCATGTAATTCGTTGACAGATTGTCAGCACCTCTAAGACAACATGTAGATATTGCTCATTATTAACTCATTTCATCTTTTCATGATAAATTACAAAAATTTAATTTTCATTTTTAAAATGCAAACCATTATGCCTTGTATTATGGCATTCTGGCATTACTATAAAGGAATACCTAAGCACTACATAATTTATACTGAAAAAAAAGATTGACTTGGCTCACAGTTCTGCAGGCTGTACAGGAAGCTTTGCATTGGCAGTTGCTTGGCTTCAAGAAGGGTCCTCAGGGAGCTTTTACACATGGCAGAAGGTGAAGCAAAAGAAGGTATGTCACATGGCCAGAGCAGGAGCAAGCAGGGAGAGGTGCCACACACTTTTAAACAGCCAGATGTAATGAGAACTCACTCACTCTTGCAAGGACAGTGCCAAGAGGATGGTGTTAAACATGAGAAATCAGCTCTCATGACCCCATCACCTCCCACCAGACCCCGACTCCAACACTGGGAATTACAATTCGACATGAGACTTAAAGGGTACAACATCCAAACTATTTCATTCCATCCCTGGCCCTTCAAATCTCATGTTCTTCTCACATTGCAAAATACAATCATCCCTTCTCAATAGTCCCCCAAAAGTCTCAACCTGTTTCGGCATCACTCGAAAGTGCAGCTTCTTCTGAGACAAGGCAAGTCCCTTCCACTGATGCGCCTGTAAAATCAAAACAAGTTATTTACTTCTAAGAAAATTGGGGTACAGGCATTGGGTAAACATTCCCATTACAAAAGAGAGAAATTGGCCAAAAGAAAGGGGCTACAGGCCCCACACAAGTTCAAATCCCAGCAGGGCAGTCATTAAAACTCGATGTTCCAAAATAATCTGCTTTGAAACCATGTCCCACATCCTGGGAACATAGAGCATTCCCACGATGCATAGGGTGGGCTCCCAAGGCCTGGGGCTGCTCTGCTCCCACGGCTCTTCTACACTGAAGGCATGAGCTGCTGGTGGCTCTATCATTCTGGGATCTGGAGGGCAGCAGCCCCCCTCCCACAGCTCCACTAGGCAGCCCCCCCAGTCAGGACCCCGAGTGGGGCCTCCAACCCCACATTTCTACTTGGCACTGTGCTAGAAGAGGTCCTCTTTGAGAGCTCCAGTGGTGCATAGTCTTCTCCCTGGGCATCCAGCCTTTCTCATACATCCTCTGAAATTTAGGCAGAGAATGCCAAGCCTCCTTCACTCTTGCACTTTGCTCACCTGCAGGCTTAACACCACATGGAAGCCACCAAGGCTTATAGTTTGCACCCTCTGAAGCCATGACCTGAGCTCTATCTGCAGCCCTTTGAACCAAGGCTGGAGCTAGAAGGGCCAGGATGCAAGGAACACCCTCCTGGGGGTGGTACAGGACAGTGATGCCCTGGCCCTGGTCCAAATGGAACAGGAATTAAAAGAAATTAAAGAATGTGTAAGCAGAAACTCAGTTGTATGTGAGAAAACCCAGTTCCCCCTGAGAAAGAGAAAGAGCTGGAGCCCTTTAAAAATTAACTGCCTGTTTTTCTGTGGCTAGTGAGCTTCATCTCTCCTCCTTTCCCAGGCATTGTGAAGACCCTGTTTCCCTAGCTGTGCAGCTGCAAGGTCACTAGACAGATAAACTCAAGTCGTAAAACATGTTTTTCCTTGAAAAGTAAGAAATGATAT
This sequence comes from Homo sapiens, assembly GCF_000001405.40. Taxonomy (NCBI): domain Eukaryota; kingdom Metazoa; phylum Chordata; class Mammalia; order Primates; family Hominidae; genus Homo; species Homo sapiens. The sequence goes on along the minus strand of NC_000009.12, from coordinate 66,234,830 downwards.
AATGCATGTCTCAATTAATTGAATAACTGTCTTTGTTTCTCACTTCTGTAATATGCTTCCCCCTGCACAGATCTCCCCACTCCCCACCACCCCACAAAATGCTTAAAAGTTAACTTAAGTCTTTGTTCAGGACTCAGTCCTTTGGTTGTTAATCTGACTGGGCCGGTGCACCTAAATAATAAATATCCTCCTCAACCCCATCAGTCTCTCTGATTCCTTAAAAAATCCCGCTACAGCCTGGGCACGGTGGCTCACGCCTGTAATCCCAGCACTTTGGGAGGCTGAGGAGGGCAGATCACGAGGTCAGGAGATTGAGACTATCATGGCTAAGACAGTGAAAACCCGTCTCTACTAAAAATACAAAAAATTAGCCAGGCATGGTGGCAGTCACCTGTAGTCCCAACTACTTGGGAGGCTGAGACAGGAGAATGGCATGTCCCGGAATGCAGAGCTTGCAGTGAGCTGAGATTGTGCCACTGCACTCCAGCCTGGGAGACAGAGTGAGGCTCTGTCTCAAAATAAATAAATAAATAAATAAATAAATTAATTAATTTTTAAAATCCCACTACACAAGAAACCATTCTTTCATCCTAGACCTCTAGGTCTGTGCTGGGATGAGCTGCTGCAAAGATTTCTGAAATGCCTTCAAGGCCTTTTTTTAATTGTCTTGGCTATCAGCACCTAGCTCTTTTTCAGTTATGCAAATGTCTCTAATAAGTGGTTGCTCCACAGCCTGTTTAGATTCTTCCCCTGAAAATGCTTTATCTTCCTTTGCCAAATGGGCAGGCTGCAAATTTTCTATACTTGTATGGTCTGCTTCCCATTTAATTGTAAATTCCAACTTTAAGTCATTTTTTTGCTCCTGCATCTGAGTGTTCAAACTTCCTCAGATCCCTAGTACATGAACAGACTGCAGCCAAGTTCTTTGCAAAGGCATAACAGGCATGACCTTTATTCCAAGTCCCAGTAAGTTCCTCATTTTCATCTGAGACCGCATCAGCCTATCCTTCACCGTCCATATCACTATCAGCATTTTGGTCACAACCATTTAACTAGTCTCTAAGAAATTCAGAACTTTCCTTCATCTTCCTGTATTAGGAGCCCTCCAAACTCTTCCAACTCCTGCCCATTACCTAGTTCCAAAATCACTTCCACATTTTCAAGTATCTTTATAGCAATGCCCCATGTCTCAGTACCAATTTTCTGTATTAGGTCATTCTTACATTGCTATAAAGAAATACCTGAGACTGGGTAATTTATAAAGAAAAGAGGTTTGAAAAGAGGTTTGTATAGCTGCAGGCTGTACAAACATGATTCTGGCATCTGCCTAGCTCCTGGTGAGGCCTCAGCAGGCTTTATTCACGGCAGAAGATGAAGAAGGAGCAGGCAGGCACATCACCTGGCAAGGCAGGGGAAGCACCACACACTTTTAAACAAATAGATCTTGCAAGAATTCACTCACTATCACAAAGACAGCACCAGGGACAGGATGCTAGACCATTTCTGAGAAATCCACCCCCATGATCCAATCACCTCCCTCCAGACCTACCACCAACATTGGGGATATCACAATTCAACATGAGATTTAGAGGGAACAACATCTGAGGTATCTCATGCCTCATGTTGTGACTTGGTATAATGTCCATAAGATTACACTGACTTTACACATCATATTGCAGTTTTTGCTAGCTCTTCTGTAGTAAGAAAATGGAATTCATCAGCAATGCCTTCTAAGTCTGGCTCTGTTTTCCCATGCAGACTATTCCCTGAGCTCTGCTTGTCAGTCTTGCTAGAACCTCACCCTAGGCAGCAACCTCCAGTCTGAGATTGCCCTTGACAGTGGCTGAGGTTTGCATTGTTGGAATGGATTAGAAAAAACAAAGGGAAGACAGACCAAAACAGATTTAAATACAGATCCCATTTGTTGAAGTTTTAAGTAATTGTAAATGTTTATTTGCACCAGCTGCCCACTCCCATTGTACTCTCCTCACCCAAAAAGGTGACTTGATATTCTAGTAAAAAGCCAAACTGTGCTTTAGAGAAACCCACTTGTTACTTCTTTAAATCCATATTATTTTTCCAAAGTGAATTTTTCTTAATATGCTCTGGCAGAATCAGTAAACTAATTATTTACACCAGAGTCACTTAACCTTTCCTCTTGGTCATTTGCATGTAAATTATTTTTATATGTATAAAATTTGCTTACTCAAGAAAGCTCTTGCTATATATATATATATATTTTTTTTTTTTGTGGTATCTTAACATACTCTAGTCTTGTCTTGAATTCCTTAAGACTTTGAGGTAAAGAACTCTATTGTAACAAGTTTCCAAATCAAAGTGGGAAAGAGGAAGATTAGGTTAAGCATTAGGTCATCAGGTATGTAGGACAGCTAATTCCATTATCAGAATGGTAGTGATAGCCAGTTTGCATTTTGTATATTAGTTGTAACGAAAATATTCAGCATATTAGTGACAAAACCAAAGTTATTGTGAATCAGTTTATAATTTATTTTTTGAGATAGGATCTTACTCTGTCACCCAAGCTCAAGTGCAGAGGCATGATCTTGGCTCACTGAAGCCTCAACCACCTGGGCTCAAGAGATCCTCCCAGCCCAGCCTCCTTAGTATAGGTGAGTGCCACCACACCCAGCTATTTTTTCTCTAGTTTTTGTAGAGATTGGGTCTCACTTTGTTGCCAAGGCTGTTCTCAAACTCCTGGGCTCAAGCAATCCTTCTGCCTCAACCTCCCAAGTGGTGCTGGGATTACAGGTTTGAGCCACCGCACCTGGCCAGTTTATAATGTTAATGGCTTTTGGAGCAGGAACCAGTGGGTGCTGCTTCTTGTCTGCAAGATGAGGAGTCTCCTCTCCCCAGAAGTGAGGCATCTTCTACCACAAGGGAGGCTTTGCCCAAACAGTCACCGAAAGGCAGAGATTGGGGAGAGAACAAAACAGGAGTGAATATGTTCCTGGAACCTAACTGCTCCCCAATTCAATTCTACTGCAGACATTCAGAATGAAGGGGACATTCAGCTGAAGAACAGGAGTGCACTGGCTGTTAAAATCTCAGATTGTAAAAACAATTTTGCTTCATTTTCCCTAAATAATTTTTAAACAATTGTTCTTAGGTGATTTTCTAAACTTCAGGTAATATCTGTGACTTAGTAAATGTTCTTTAAAAGGTGGGATAATATTTTTATTTTGTTTAATTATATGTGTTTTTAAACTAATTTTATAGGAAAAATAATTTCTTTCCTTCCCTGTTATACCAAATACAGCCTTTAGCTCAAGACACAAGTAATTCCAGGAAAACTGGAATGTAAGTTCAATATGTTGCACTAAGTACATTTGAAAGTGCATGCATTTTTATTTTAATTCATCATTCTCAGTCAACTATCGCTGGAAACCATCATTCTTAGCAAACTATCACAAGGACAAAAAACCAAACACCGCATGTTCTCACTTATAGGTGGGAATTGAACAATGAGAACACATGAACACAGGAAGGGGAACATCACACTCTGGGGGCTGTTGTGGGGTGGGGAGAGCGGGGAGGGATAGCATTTAGCCTAAGGCTAAATGTCGAGTTAATGGGTGCAGCACACCAGCATGGCACATGTATACATATGTAATGTATACATATGTTAATGCACCAATTCTGCATCAAGTCAGTGCAATCAGAGACACTGCAAGAATGACTTTTGGTTTTCTTTTCCTAGTTTTTGAAAGTTTCTCAAGTCTGTCATACTGGACTCTGTATTACATCTTGAATTTTTTTCACTTACTATAGATCTCCTATACGCTCAATTGTTTAGCTATTACCTTAACATTTACCCTGTGAACCCATGACATTTGAGGCTGCCAAAGTGATTATTACATGATAAAACATATACTCGGTTAAAGGCAATATTTAACAATTGTAAAACCAATAAATCAATAATTAAATCTTTCTGGCTTAGACTTAAAACTGCTTAATTTAGTCATATCTCTACCCACAATATAGGGATTCCAGCAAGGGTTGAAAGTAGAGTTGGCAAGCATTTCCATTCTCTTCTGGGAAAATAATTCTTACTACCAACACTGGTTCTGACCAGTGAAATTCAAAATCAGTGAAACACTACTCAGAGTCTGAGTGAGCCAAAAATAGTTTCACTTTAGGAAAAAGTCTATATCCTTAGATGTGAGTGATTCTCTGTGAACATTTTATTCACTTTAATATATTTAAAGAAAATCTTTCTGAATTGGTGTGTTTTCTTTAGTTTGTATTCTGATACTTTGATGCTAAAAGCTTTTGACTTTAAGTTTTCATGGAGGGGCTATCTACATAATAATTTTTATACATCATTATATGCATCAATGATTAAAAAGGAGTAGAAATTTTTACACTAATTGAGAAATATTATAGACCTAACTAAATGCGGGCAAACTATAAGCAATTTGGGGAAACTATAAGGATGTAATTAAATAGTCACTGTTTTTAGAAACCATTAACTGCATATTGAAATCTTGACACTTGTTGGGAAAATGAGGTGGTAAATCAACTTGTCAGCGTGAGTACTAAATAAAACAAAATATGGTTAAGAGTGTCCCTTTAAAGTTCAGATAGTAGTTCTGCAATTTCTGATTTTAAATGTTTCTGCAAAATAGTTTATCTGAATGATTAAACTATTATTCCGTGTTCACCAACCATTAAGAAAATCTGCTGTATGACCAGGTTAAACCTGAAAATGGTATAATTCAAAACTTGATGTAGGCAATAGGTATGTAGAATGTGTTTATTCTAATATGAGAGGGCATATCAAAGTAATTTTCTTGGAGCACACTGTCAAAACAAAGCAATGGGATTTGGCCATGGACATTTCATTATTATCAAAGAGACCTGGACACTACCTTAGAGTAATAACTTTATTATTTAGCAAAGATGTTTTATAAAAAGAACAACAAAATGAGAGGAATAGAAATCACACAGGTAAAACAGATAATCTGACTTTGTGGGTCTCAGAGCAGAGATTAGTGTCTTTCAGTTTCAGAGTAAATGACCTCACTGCATTTCTCTGAACTGTCATGGTTGTCACAAATATACTGTGTTCTAACTCACTCCATGATTTAAGGTCTACAAAGTAACAAAGGCAAAATAACCTATATGCTCTACCATATTTTCCTCAATTCTAGTGTTCTTCAAAGAGAGAATGTTTTCTCTAAATCTAATTGAGAGTAATTCTGTATGGATCGCTAAACCTTTCTTCAGGCAGTTGGAGTAATATGTGTCTAGGGCTAACTCAGAGGGGTCTTTTATGTCTTTTAAAAGAAGCTAACTATACTCTTGTGATATGATAAGCACCGTCATTGACTTACAGTTTCTAAGGTTTGAAGGGATATTGAACACTCAAGGGGCTCACATTCTTACTGATTCATGAATCTCTTCAGGTCCAGGGAACTTAGTATTTTTCAAGAGTGCAAAATGCCTAGAGACAGCTGGGAACAAATGAATGTCATTCCTGATACTGTGCTCATAGTTACTTGAGCTTCATCTCAGAAAACAAATTGTCTGGTGCAATATTTCTTACAACTTAGTTCCTAAATGAACTCAACAAACTAGTTCTTTTGTTTTATTTTATTTATTACTATTATACTTTAAGTTTTAGGGTACATGTGCACAACGTGCAGGTTTGTTACATATGTATACATGTGCCATGTTGGTGTGCTGCACCCATTAACTCGTCATTTACCATTAGGTATATCTCCTAATGTTATCCCTCCCCACTCCCCCCACCCCACAACCGTCCCTGGTGTGTGATGTTCCCCTTCCTGTGTCCATGTGTTATTGTTCAATTCCCACCTATAAGTGAGAACATGCAGTGTTTGGTTTTTTGTCCTTGTGATAGTTTGCTAAGAATGATGGTTTCCAGCTTCATCCATGTCCCTACAAAGGACATGAACTCATCATTTTTTATGGCTGCATAGTATTCCATGGTGTATATGTGCCACATTTTCTTAATCCACTCTATCATTGTTGGACATTTGGGTTGGTTCCAAGTCTTTGCTATTGTGAATAGTGCCACAATAAACATACGTGTGTATGTGTCTTTATAGCAGCATGATTTATAATCCTTTGGGTATATACCCAGTAATGGGATGGCTGGGTCAAATGGTATTTCTAGTTCTAGATCCCTGAGGAATTGCCACACTGACTTCCACAATGGTTGAGCTAGTTTACAGTCCCACCAACAGTGTAAAAGTGTTCCTATTTCTCCACATCCTCTCCAGCACCTGTTGTTTCCTGACTTTTTAACGATCATCATTCTAACTGGTGTGAGATGGTATCTCATTGTGGTTTTGATTTGCATTTCTCTGATGGCCAGTGGTGATGAGCATTTTTTCATGGGTTTTTTGGCTGCATAAATGTCTTCTTTTGAGAAGTGTCTGTTCATATCCTTCACCCACTTTTTGATGGGGTTGTTTGTTTTTTTCTTGTCACTTTGTTTGAGTTCTTTGTAGATTCTGGATATTAGCCCTTTGTCAGATGAGTAGGTTGTGAAAATTTTCTCCCATTCTATAGGTTGCCTGTTCATTCTGATGGTAGTTTCTTTTGCTGTTCAGAAGCTCTTTAGTTTAATTAGATCCCATTTCTCAATTTTGTCTTTTGTTGCCATTGCTTTTGGTGTTTTAGACATGAAGTCCTTGCCCATGCCTATGTCCTGAATGGTATTGCCTAGGTTTTCTTCTAGGGTTTTTATGGTTTTAGGTCTAACATGTAAGTCTTTAATCCATCTTGAATTAATTTTTGTATAAGGTGTAAGGAAGGGATCCAGTTTCAGCTTTCTACATATGGCTAGCCAGTTTTCCCAGCACCATTTATTAAATAGGGAATCCTTTCCCCATTGCTTGTTTTTGTCAGCTTTGTCAAAGATCAGATGGTTGTAGATATGTGGCATTTTTTCTGAGGGCTCTCTTCTGTTCCATTGATCTATATGTCTGTTTTGGTACCAGTACCATGCTGTTTTGGTTACTGTAGCCTTGTAGTATAGTTTGAAGTCAGGTAGCGTGATGCCTCCGGCTTTGTTCTTTTGGCTTAGGATCGACTTGGTGATGCGGGCTCTTTTTTGGTTCCATATGAACTTTAAAGTGGTTTTTTCCATTTCTGTGAGGAAAGTCATTGGTATCTTGATGGGGATGGCATTGAATCTATAAATTACCTTGGGCAGTATGGCCATTTTCACGATATTGATTCTTCCTACCCATGAGCATGGAATGTTCTTCCATTTGTTTGTATACTCTTTTATTTCATTGAGCAATGGTTTGTAGTTCTCCTTGAAGAGGTCCTTCACCTCCCTTGTATGTTGGATTCCTATGTATTTTATTCTCTTTGAAGCAATTTTGAATGGGAGTTCCCTCATGATTTGGCTCTCTGTTTGTCTGTTATTGGTGTATAAGAATGCTTGTGATTTTTGTACGTTGATTTTGTATCCTGAGACTTTGCTGAAGTTGCTTATCAGCTTAAGGAGATTTTGGGCTGAGACAATGGGGTTTTCTAGATGTACAATTATGTCACCTGCAAACAGGGACAATTTGACTTCCTCTTTTCCTGATTGAATACCCTTTATTCCCTTCTCCTGCCTGATTGCCCTGGCCAGAACTTCCAACACTATGTTGAATATGAGTGGTGAGAGAGGGCATCCCAGTCTTGTGCCAGTTTTCACAGGGAATGCTTCCAGTTTTTGTCCATTCAGTATGATATTTGCTGTGGGTTTGTCATAGATACCTCTTATTATTATGAGATATGTCCCATCAATACCTAATTTATTGAGAGTTTTTAGCATGAAGTGTTGTTGAATTTTGTCAAAGGCCTTTTCTGCATCTATTGAGATAATCATGTGGTTTTTGTCTTTGGATCTGTTTATGTGCTGGATTATGTTTATTGATTTTATGCAAGAATAATCTAAATTTCTCTGGTGAAAGAACCTAAACATGCCTTTTAAAAATTTATATATCATTCCTTTTGTAAAATCTAATGAAAATAACAATTTTGTCTATTGTAAAAGGCAAGTGATTGCAACAGATGGAAATCACTTTATTTCCTATATCTTTGTAAAGATAATGACTGCTAATAAACAACATGAAGAATTTTCAGGTATAATTTTGATAAAAATTTAATGGTTTTGGGCTTCTAGGCCAAATCTGCAATACAACCCTTCATAAGATTGTACTTTGAAACTCTCGTTGTCATCTGACATATGCAGATAGTACAGAAATATAATCCCCTTTCTAAATGTTTACATTGTCTCCCTGGTATGAATTAGCTTGCTGGAAACATCAGTAATCACTGACATAAAGATCCCACTATTAAATAAAACTGATACTTTTTAAAACCATGCAGCAAATAAGCAACATTTCATAAAGCAACACAGGATTTTATATGTTTCCCATTCCATTAGAGGCTATTATGCTGAATTGGATCCTCATTCCAACCTGTGTCCATATTTTAGGGTTGAAATAGTCTAAAACATAACATTTACTGTTCTCCTGTTGTGATATCTGTATAGCTAATATGTTCACATTCTCTGTATTCATCTATGTTAATAATTTTAAAAAGGAAAAGAAAGGGGGCTTTAGGAAGAACTTTACATCACACGTCAGAGTAAACATCAAATCAAGTTCTCAATTCACTAATAAACCCATTTAAGAAAAAGTATTCCGCTAGAGAGCAATGAATCTTATTGTCTTTGTGTCTGATCCATATTTCTCCACCTGACACATGGAAATAACCAGAGAGTTACTATAAAATACCTCAGGTGCATTGTTGAAAGTAATTTCCTGCTTTTGTGGGATAACTGAAACATAAACGTAAATAAGATAGTTTGAAAGTTCACTTTCTCATCAATGCTCAAATAATTTGTTCTAATAAAGCCCAGTAAAATTTAGCTTGTAATGCCATCAAGGTAAATATATTCATGAAGTACTCACTTGCTAAATTTTTAAACACAACACATTATCTCATCTTTAAGCTTTAGCTGTTATTTCAATTATCCATTGCTGTGTAATTAGCAGTCATCAAACTTAGTTGCTTAAAACACAAACTCACAATTTGTTAACTTTGGTTGGGCTCAGGAGGATAATAGTCGGAGTCTTGCCTAGGTTTCCTTATATGACTGACAAGGCCTACATAGTCCAAAGTGACATCACTCAAATATCTGGCACTTCACTGGTGCTATCAGCTGGGTTCTCCTCCACTTAGTCTCTCTGGTAGAGTAGATCAGGTTCTCATTTGGCATTGCTGCCATTTTAATTTGGCAAGCCTAAATTTACTATAATTTGTCAAGTGTCTATTAAGTCAGTGTCAGAGAGGGCTATATAAGGATATGGCTATGAGGAGACTTAATAAATCGAGGGTTCTTTGATATAACAGGCTACCCAGTTACATTTCTTGTTCTAAAGATTTTTTCAGATACAACAAACAATATTTTACAATTTAACTGGTAGATGAATGAGTTTCCTGAGATATAATTTAACTAAGCAAACTCTTTCATACTAAAAATCTTATGACCTCTTTACCCATCTTAGGTTTTAAGATTGATATGAGAGGTATTCTGGAATAGAAATCTAAATTTAAGGCTAGAGTCAAGAGTGCCGAAGATAAGACTCTTATCCAAAGGAAAATCAAGCAACTGCTATGTCTTGCAAAGGCCAGTGAGCAGACAGAGGGGAGAGAATACAATTGCACCAAATAAAGACTCACTTTGGAACTCAGTGATTATATGTGTGCATATATGTGTATATATATGTATATTATACATGTGTATGCATGTATATATGTATATTATACATGTGTATGCATGTATATATGTATATTATACACATATATGCATGTATATATATGAATATATATAAAACTGAAAACTGCACACATCCCATATACACCATATACATGAAAGTGAACACACACACATACATAAACATATATATTCAGTTTCAAACAATTGTTAGGGAACCTGAGGAAGAAACTAAATGGAATATAATGGTTGCATCTATGATAGCCATGGTACTAGAACTAGTAGTAGTTCTACTAAGGTGAGAATTGACATAGTAAAAGAAATAAGATACAAAGCAGTAAGAGAGAGCTACATTTTCCTTAAGGCCAGGCTGAATATTCACTAACAAGGAAATTTCTACAGTCATTATTTTAATCTGATTCATTCTCTTGGTGGGATATTCCAGAGTTACCACCTACAGAAATTCCACTTTTCCTTACCGAGGTTCTCTTTTTTTCTTCTCAGTCCAAATATTAGTCATTTTGGTAGAGAAGGCAGAAACAATTAACAATTGAGTAATTCCTCAGGAATCATGTTAAAAGGTTTCCAAATCATGAATGTATAGTTATATTTTGTTCACTAGATTTTAACCCACATACCTCACTTGTAGAGAAATTATGCTTATTTGGATATTCAATATATTTCTTCATACAAAGACAAAATCTATAAAATGTACACACACACAGATGCTATGGATACATGCACACATGTGCACACACAAATATGTATACATGGTTTACCATTATTTTCTAGATCATTCAGAGGTCAGTATTAATTAAAACATCATAGATCTATGGCAAATTTTGGGCCACTTTTCCTAAGACAGGAATTTAAAAAGCCTTCAATTGTCATAACAATGGGAAGAAGTCTGAGAGCTGGAGTAAGGGAAGTTGGTGCTCAGAAATATTAACTACCATTTATATAGGATATCCTTATGAGATAATCTTAAAGCCAAATGAGGCTAAAATATTAATACGAGTTATTTAGCCAAGTTTTCCAGCAGGAAGAAGGAAATAAGCAGTGAACTAAAAAGCATACAAGATACAGAGGAGCAGGTTAAATGAAGCCATTACAGCAGAAATTGAGAAGAATAAACAGGAGTTAGAAGATGAGAGCAAGCAATTGCAAGTGGAGTGGGCTGAGCTGGAATTATGGTGTAGAAAATGACTGGTTGAGAAAAACCCAAACAAATATTTCTATAATGTCATGTGCATAAGATACCTGTAGATGTTATCAAGGTATATACATAAACTACCTGTCATTAGAGCTAATTTCTTAGCAAATTATTCATAAAAGTTTATAACTTTGTGAGGCATTACAGACACCAAAACTAATGATTTGGCATTTCCGTGGCCCAATTTGTCTAAAGAACTATCTTTTACACTTTACTGTTTTTTAATAGGCAATACAGTGCTCAAAAAGTCTTTTATACCAAGTCCAGTAGGTTGATAACATTGAGTATAACTGAGTATTGCTTTGTGTCTACCCTCAGGCAAATCTGGAGATTTTCTCAAGCCTCTTTATGAAAATGGAGAGACCTCACAAGAGATGCTAATGGACAGCTGACCCTGCTCCCTGCTCCATCACAGGTTGTAGAGTATTAATTCCCAAGTTACCCAGACATTTAGTTCTGAATGTGCAAAAATGGTTTAGGTTCAAATGTTTTCAACTACTGACAAGCTCAAGAATTCAGAGGAGGTAGTACTAAGGGAAATGTAATTAATATATAATATCAAAACTTAAGCATAGCACCATAACACCTAATTTTTGATGATGTCAAATACTTAAAGTTCTCCCTTTTTATTTTCTGGTGAAAGGTGCGTAGTATACAAACCTCTACTAACTTCTTGGGCTTCTGAATAAAGGAAAGGACTACCTAATGACTGTAATAGCTTGACTGCTGAAGAATTATGTCAATTAATAAAAATTGCTTCATAGGAAAAAGATGAATTGTCTCTTCAAAGTTTTTTTAAGCATGGGTGACCAAAGCCATCCCATACTTAGAAGAAAATATTGCATTGTTTTATACAAGATATGCTGTACACGTTACAGAAGATTCATGTTTAATAATGCATCTTGTAAAAATCTTAGAGAGCTATAACCTTACAACATAACTTAACCCAAATACATTGAAAACCCCTTGGATTTAGACCTACAGGGAGGTGGTTTTTCTTTCTGTACCATAGCACGCATAGTTGAAGCAAACATACTCCTTCAAACATAATACTCTTACATAATAGAAAGTGTTCTCTGTTTTCTGGATGAAAAGGCATGAGGTCTTTTGTATTAGCAAACTGAAATTGTTAACTATAAAAAGTCAAAAATCAAAGGTGCTCTCACTTATTTATAAGGACCTTGAATGGCTGAGATTCATCAGGAAAAAAAAACATTCCTCAGAGAGTCTGATCTCAAGCTGATGTTTCTTTATTGAATTTGATTCTAAACCATCATTTTTGTTGAAACCTCTGTGCTTTCAGAATGCTGAAATGTAAAATATTTTTAACTTATGAAAGAGATAATTTATTTTTATTTTCTCCTATACATTTTTAAGTAGCACCTTAAAAAATAGACAAATCCATCCAGGGTCAAAAGAACTCAACTCAATTCTCTATCACTGTGAAAATAGACTTAGTTCTTCATTACAAAAGCACTACAATAACTACAAAAATTATACCTCCTGGAGTATATATTTACATATCCATGCAAAAGGGGAATAGATTAAAAGATGTTTATGAATGTCTAAAACCTTAAGTCAGTTTAACGTAGTATTATAAATCAGGTTTGTGGGTGATATTTTGTCTGCTTCTAGACTTGTGAGCAAGTTATTAAGTTTTAGGTTACTTATATTTAAAATTCAAAAAGGAAATGATTGTGATTGCATTCAAAGAAAGAGAGGACATTTTGAAGCTTCTTTTTTTTACTAATATCAAAACATAATATCACATTTGTAAAACACGTTGATGGCTTACAACCAAGTAAAATACCTCAATACCCCACTTTTCAAGATCAGTAATATTGGCCTAAGAGTATCACTCTATAGGAATTATAAAAAGTTGTATTTATGCCCTGAGATTATACCCTATAATGTGCAAATATTATAGGATAGACAAGTGGATATAAGGTTTCTTTCTAGGTTTCCTTATATACTCCAAATGGTAAAACTAGATGGAAGATTAAAATTCTAAATGTTGTTAATTTTAGAACCTTCAATGTCAGAGTTACTTTGTATGAATGAGTTTAGCTAATTTTCCACACTATGCATATCTAATAGAAATTACTATTGCACAGGTGAGAAAACTGCATCTCTGATTATTATTATTCACTCTAGTCACAGAGATAAGAAAGGGCAAAATATCATAATAGAAGCCCAAATAGGTCTTATTTTAATGGAATATTTTTCCACTGGACTTCAACTGGTTTATCTTATTTATCCATCCATCTAAGATCAGTTGAAAAAAGAGACTTGCAGATGCAATATTTTAGCTAATATATCCAATCTCCTATTTGAAATCTCCTGCGTATCTAACAGAAAACTCAAATTTAGTATGTCTGAAATCAAGCTGACTGCTGCACGTGTTCACACTGAAACAAAGCAAAACAAAATTCCTTCAACAGCTTTTCTCATCTCAATAAATGGTACTACACTGTGCCTGTATGACTCATGCCCAAAACCTAGAGGTCGACCTAGGTTCTTTTTTTCCCCATGACTCTCCATTTCCAAGATTTCCGTTTCTTCCGTGAACACTTCTCAAAGCCACACCCATCTCTCTGTCAGAATACCACAATGCATTGCAAATCTGCCTCCCCACTTGTCATCTCCTCCCTAAATGCTCTATTTTCACAGTAGTCAGAGTGGCTTTTTTTTTTAAAGCACACAAGATCTTGACTCTTCATTCCCTACTTTCTGCTTTAACTCCTTGTTTGGCTTTCCTCTGCTAATATAAAGAAAAATTTCCAACTTCTTTTTAATGACCATAGATCCTGGCTTGATGTTTTCTACCTACCTCTCCAACCACGTCATACACTTCCCTTCTTTTCTTATCACACCCAAAACATTCTTAATTATTTCCACAGTCTTTGTATATGCCAACCCTTTTTCTGCCTCTAGAATTTTGTGCTTGTTTCTCTTTCTTTCTAAAATAAGCTTTCTGTGGCTTTTTGTAAAATTAGATCATTGTTCTTTGAAATCTCGGCTAAGAAGTTTTCTGAAATACCTTAATTAAAGTTCCTTCCCTGGTTACTAGCAGTCTCCTCACTTCGTTTATTTTTATTGTAATCTTTAATGATTGCTTTCTATTTGTTTGACTTCTTGATCAACTCAAATTTGTATCCTCAGCTCTTATCAAAATACTAGGTAACTACACACTTATTAAAACAACTAAACATAAAAATAGTGACAACAAAAGCTGGCAATGATGAAGAAACTGTATCATTCATACATTATTTGAATTGTAAAATGTTATAATACTCTGGAAATAATTTATCAGTTTCTTTAAAAACTAAACATATATTTATAATAAGATCCAGCAATTGCACCCCTGGAAATTTATCTAAGAGAAATGTAAACCTATATGCGATCTTTAATATCTTTCATAGCACCTTTAATTCTAACAGAGAAAAACTGGAAACATCCAAGATGTTGGACAGGTGAATGGTTGAATAAACTGTGGTATATCCATATGATTAAATACTACCCAGAAATAAAAAAGAATATACTTTTGACACATGCAATAACTTGCATAGATCTGAAGGGCATTATGCTTAGTGAAAAAAAGCAAATATCAAAAGGACACATGGCATATTATTTCATGTATATAACTTTAATAAAATAACATACATATAGAAAACAGATTAGTGATTTCCAGAGGTTAGTGATGGTATGGGAATGTGAGATGAATATGGCTATAAAATGTGAGGAAGACACTTTTAGTGATGGAAGAGTTCTGTAACTTAATTGTAATAATGGTCACATTAATCAATACGTGATAAAATTGGCATAGACCTATGAATTCACATTGTATAAATGTCAATGCCTGGTCCTGATATTGTACTAAATTATACAAGATGTAACTCTTGAAATAAACTGTGTAGAATAGTACACGAGACCTCTCTGTATTTGAAACTCCCTATGGATCTAAGATCTTTTCAAAATAAAAAGCTAAAAAATGCTAAGTGTTCAATAAATAAAATAGTAACTGTATTTTATCCAATTCTTACCATATAAAAATGCTTCACATACATTAACTCATACAATTCAGTCTATAGCAAGATCATATTGATGCCATTATTAGTCCTAATTTATGGCCTAGTAGCTTGTTCAAGGTCACATAGCTAATAGGAGGAAGGGTTATGATTTTAATCCAAGCAACCAGCTCCAGAGAATGTGCTACCAACTGACACATCACAGCGTTTCTCAAAAATAATTCTGGATGGAAGGAAAGAAGGGAGTTAAGGAAGGAGAGAGAGAAGGAAGGAAGGAAGGAAGGAAGGGAGGGAGGGAGGGAGGGAGGAAGGAAAGAAAGAAGGAAAGAAGGAAGGCTGGAAGGGAGGGAGGGAGGGAGGAAACAGGGAAAGAAGGAGGGAAGGAAGGAAGATACAATAAAGGAAGGAAGGAAGGAAGGAAGAAAGATACAATAGCCAGTATATTTACTCAAAGAGAAGACATCATAAAACCCTTTTAACAAACACAGCCTGACGTCTCAAATTCCTTCTCCATTCAACTTCCTTGACTGTAGAGTCCTATTCAGGGTCAAGGGAAGGAGAAATCAAACTAAAGATCATAACGCTGCATGTATGTGGCATTGTATTGCCAGAGTTCTCTGAGTAAACCTTTCTAGAGATGCACATTTTGCACTCTATTGGAAAAGTTATCTTAGTTATAATGTTTCTGAAGATGCATTTGCCATATTGAAAGCAAGCAGTCACATACAATTTGATAGACACCAGCACAAATGACAATAAAAACTTGGTAAAGTTGAAGAGACTGCCTTTGTTATATCTAATATTCTATCACCCCAGATCTATCTTCTCAAATCTCCACATTACTTAGCCTAACCCTATTTTTCTATTTTCTAGAGGAGCCCACCACATTGATCAGGTTGATTTATTCACATTTTCCCAAAAATGCTAGGTAGATTCCTTCCTAAATCCATTAGTAAGTTATAGTCTGTATTCCCCATGGATGAACTGTGTTCACCAGTTATGACTCTTAGGAGGAACTTCATAGAAGATCTTCAGTGGCATCTATTGGTACATGTTGGACATTAACTAAAAATGTATAGTTTTAGCAACCAACAGATTCTATTCTTATACCTGTTGGTCATGTCCAGGCAGTTATGTGTAAAATAATTACACAATGTTTCAAAATTTCAAGATGTTTGCCTACCTATATAGTGTCCTTCACTCTCCTCTCCAGCTTTCCAAATAATATCCATAATTCAAAGACCAGTTAAATCCTACAGGCATATTCACAGAATAACTGCCCTGAAAACATTGCTTAAATTAATGAGACCATCTATGGGCAATGCATCTTCAAGAGCTCAAGATCTGGTGAAAAAATGGAAACAAAGATGAAATTTCAATACAATGTGATGAAAATTTTAAATTATTTCTCTCTTGCAAATTTCCATTGCTTGTTTGAACATTCAGGAGAATAGTACTGCTTTCCCATTGAATGTATAAATAAATGTAAGAATGAAGGTTGGCCCTCCCTCCAAATTCATTAAACATTAAATTTTTTAAGTAAAAGATAAGAGGGCTGTATGAAAATTAAAATTCATAATTACTTCCAATATAGAAAATAATTGAAATAGATAAAAACACAACCAAATAGAAATGGATATTGCTAAAAATCACCTTCTTAATTAAATTAGTAACAAAAGTGAAATTATTGTTCTATCCATATTGGTGACATTGCTTCTTAAATTATTCAAATTAAAATATATTCTACTGGTGAGTTCAGGAAAAATTGACAATAAACAAATAGTATCATACACAAAGAAATATAACTCACTGTTTTAGCCTAGCAACTAGTGTTTACAGAACAAGTTACAGATTATTCTGCAATAAGAAACAATCCTAAAGTGTTTTTAACCTTAAATCAAAATTCAAATTAGAATTAGAAATGAAATGATGTTCTCATTTCAGCAATGAATACAGAAGTGAAATCACTTGATTTTTCTGAAGACTGTATTTTTCAGTGTTCATCTGGATTTAACACTTTAAAGAATACCTTTTATTCCTTAAATAACATTCAGTTTGTGAAAGTAAGCACACCTTTTTCAGCTCCGCTTATTCTGCAGAAGGATCCTTCCATATCAAGGATTAACACAATATGCATCGTGGGTTCACAAAGTTCAGTTTGCAGCTATCCTTAGCAAATCATGAGAACCATCTGGACTGATTGATGTGGAGATTGAAAGTAATTGATCCTGCCATTGAGAAGCTTTTTGAAACATGAAATTAAACAAGATGATATTAAGCATTCTGAAGTCCATCAGAGTGGCACATCAAATGTGTTACTAGCTGTTCATTTTCCTTTGTATTTTTATAAAGACCCTTGGCTAGCAGAATGGAACAGAAATAGAAGCTAAAAGATCTAGATATTGATGTAGTGATCAAAGGCATACAGCTGGTTTACTTTGTTATAATAATATTTTATGTGGTACATGAAGACTTTGATCCCTTGACAAATGTCCTTTGTAGGTGAGCAATTATTAATAGGATTGTAAGTCTTAATATGCAAGGATCACCATTAATAAAAGTAGACTATTGTAAAGTGAATTAGCAATAATTTTACTTATGAATAAAAACTTATACTATTTCAGGTCATTTTCTTATTGTTTCTTGAAAAAAGAAGTCCTTTATAAGTCCAGTTAAATATTACCTAATTTTTGCATAAAATTTCATGGTAAACAAGGCTTATTTTCTTACTTTACTGATGTCTAAAAGCTAAATTTCACTGGTGATATATCATTTGTTTAAGACTAGGTAACTGATAACCTAAGCTGAGACCCAAAATTTGTTATTTTCTTTATTTCCAGCACAATATTTTCCATCATGGTAAAAGAAGCTATGTTTCTTTAGCAAGACAATTGAAAAGCATAAACAATGGTTTACTAGAAAGATTTTTAATATTCCATATTATTTACAACTGTTTGCTTATTTCCATGTATAAAATGACATTGATTCAATAGACTTTTTCCACATTTGCATGATATTCAGCTATAACATTAACTCAGGCAATATTCATATGGCTCCAGAATTAAACCGGTATCTGACCTCCCAATTGAATTAGACGATAGGCATTTTGTGATTTGAGGAAGACATCCTATGAATTTACAAATGTCCAGAAAGTTATACAAAAGAAAAACAAAAGACTTTAGTCTAGTTAAAAGTAGTGCTACTATTTCTTGAAATTCTGAAAGCTGTAATAAGTATCACTCCCAAATCTGGGGATAAAGTACAGAAAATGGCAGCTCCCAATATAATCTTGGACATATTTGTCATTAAGAAGCACAATGAAATATGACAAATTGTACAGCAACTTTTAAAAATTGCTAATAACTCTTTGTTTATCTCAGTAGTAAAATTTAAATACTGATCCAACCTGACACATATGAACATAACATACCTATTCTGAAAGACAAAGAATATGTATCAATATTTATATTATATTTAATACAAATCATGGAATATAGAATTATAGAATTGTGCCTACTTACCTAGAAAATATTACCCCAATTTTGTTTTTCTAAGCTTCAAGAGAGATTTCTTGGAGAAAATGAGATTTTATAAGCAATGCTAGCAAAAAAAGACAACTTAAAAGATTATGGAGAAAAAGGCGTATTTTAGATACAAAACACAGATTGAGAAACACTTAGGGGCAAGAAGTAATGCATCACTGGCCAGTGTAAATGAACCGTTTAGGCAGTAAAATGTGTCCAAGCAAGTGGTGAGTATATCCTGTTCTCTTTTATATATCTAGACAAGTGATTTCAAACACCCACGTGGAGCCCTGAGACCCTGGGTGTTCACCTAATGTAAGCCCCAATATAGGAGCTGAGGTCAACTAATTGAGGGAATATGTCCAACAATCAATAAGCAAATTAGAATGAGCTAACTGTCACACATTCTTACCCTCATCCCTTTGCTGCATTAACTGAGCAAACAGCTCTCTCTAACTATGTAGGAAAAGTGTTAGTACTCAAATAAAAAGGTAAATTTAATAATCTGCTTAAGGCTGTATGAAAAAATGAAGCAATGTGTATCAGGTTTCTTCAAATATATGCATATTGCAATCCACCCTTATTTACCCTCGATTGTAAGAGCTAAAAGCAGGCCGGGCACGGTGGCTCATGCCTATAATCCCAGCACTTTGGGAGGCTGAGGTGGGCGGATCACGAGGTCAGGAGATCAAGACCATCCTGGCTAACATGGTGAACCCCGTCTCTATTAAAAATACAAAAAAATTAGTTGGGTGTGGCGGCGGGCGCCTGTAGTCCCAGCTACTCAGGAGGCTGAGGCAGGAGAGTGGCGTGAACCCGGGAGGCAGAGGTTGCAGTGAGCCGAGATCACACCACTGTACTCCAGCCTGGGCGACAGAACGAGACTCTGTCTCAAGAAAAAAAAAAAAAAAAAAAAAAGGAAACATTTTGCAAATGTTGAATTTAAATGCATATTTCTGCTTTCATATAGCTTATATGATAATAAAGCTATATGCACCAGCAGATATATTAAGTTTTATATTATATAACATATTATATATATTTTACACTAGATAATGGAAAAATGGTACCTATTATGTTGGTGACCACAATTTTGGCAGCCTTAGAAAAACTTCAGGGCCGGGCACGGTGGCTCACACCTGTAATCCCAGTACTTTGGGAGGCCGAGGCGAGCGGGTCACGAGGTCAGGAGATCGAGACCATCCTGGCAAACACGGTGAAACCCCCTCTCTACTAAAAATACAGAAAATTAGCCAGGTGTAGTGGCGGGCGCCTGTAGTCCCAGCTACTCGGGAGGCCGAGGCAGGAGAATGGCGTGAATCTGGGAGGCAGAGCTTGCAGTGAGCCGAGATTGCGCCACTGCAATCCAGCCTGGGCGACAGAGCGAGACTCTGTCTCAAAAAAACAAAAAACAAAAAACAAAACAAAAAAAAACTTCAGAGCATAAGCCAAAACAATTAGAAATAGCATGGCTTTAAATTAATTTTTCAAGAATCTTAAGGTGACAAATATTCTGTCATCTGTCATGCAAATCTAGTTCCACAGAAGGGCAAATTAGGAATCCATTACCTGGAAAAACCATTCCTCATGCCTAGAAGAAGAATCTCTACAAGTAGGATTCTTGCTTTCAACATGCCCTTATAAATTGGAGTCAGACTGAATCATTTTTTCTTGGCAATGGACAAGAAAATCAGACTGTAACTGTAGCTTTGTCACTGAGAATTGGTCAACCATTTCAAAATAGGTTAAGTTTTCTCCCTCTGATGTTTCTACTGGGGCTTGAAGGATTGATAAATATGCTTCTATTCTCTGTCAGAATTTTGAACTAAGGGAGAGATACCAAAGATTCAGGCAGATGGAGATCAAGATGGCAGGTTTATTTTTAAAGGAGCTATGGGGAATCTTTGTGGTGACAATAGATTTTTCTGTTACTGTAGACACACATACCTTCCCAGCCACAAGTGGTGCTAGACAACTGCACACCTCTCCATCCCACCTCCCATCCCAACAGATACATAGGCATTTTCTTCAGATGTTGATGAAAATAATTATTTTATCACTATATCCAGATAATTCCAACAAGCAATATGCTTGTTGAGGTGAAATAATTTTTCTAAGATACAAACAGAAAATATATACGATTGAAATAGACACTAGGTGATATTTCACATATGCAATATGAGCTCTGTTTCTTTGACAAGACAGATGAATGAAGAATTCATGTTTGAATGATTGGCATTAGTCTAAAGTATTAAATAATGAAAGTGTCCATATTCTCTGCCCAGTATGATCTTTTAAAATATCATCCACACAAATACAAGTGAGGTCATATTTTTTACAATGAGGCATCAAATTTAAAGGCAGCAAAAAAGTAATGAATATACCTCTTAGGCTAATTGTTTACCTTAGTGGCTTTAATGATATGGAAAGTTGAAGTTTAGAGTGAGAAAAGCACCAAAAAAGAAACTAATCAGTCTCCTGACTTTCATATCTGGTAGTCTTAGAATGAATGTCAGAACTGTCACAGGTCAAATAATGGCCCAGTATGTTTTCAAATAAGTGACACTGAACACCATGTTTTAGAAGTACATGATTGTCCTTCTTGATGTTAATCTCACAACTTAAGGACATGCTTGCCAAACATCATAATTTCTTTTAATAACTCATGTCAGATAAATCTCCAGTGGAGACCTATGCTCTGGACTCCAGACTTATGCCAAGTAGCCTAATTACTATCTCCACTTGCAGGCAAAATAGGCATCTCAAAGCGAACATACCTCAAAAAGAGCTCTTAATCTCCTACTATTCTCCCCACTTACCCAGCATCTTCCCCATTCTCACCTTCTCTCATCATGTTCCTCATATCAGGAGGTAATAGACTCCATCCTTATAGTTATACAGTTATTAAGCCACGAAACACCCTGTTTATACCCTTGGCAGCCCTATTTTTTTCTTTAATTATACTTTAAGTTTTGTGATACAGGTGCAGAACATGCAGGTTTGTTACATAGGTATACATGTGCCATGGTGGTTTGCTGCACCTATCAACCTGTCATCTACATTAGGTATTTCTGCTAATGCTATCCCTCCCTTACCCCCGACTCCCTGACAGGCCCTTGTGTGTAATATTCCCCTCCCTGTATCCATGTGTTCTTATTGTTCAACTCCCACTTATGAGTGAGAATATGCAGTGTTTGGTTTTCTGTTCCTGTGTTAGTTTGCTGAGACTGTGGTTTCCAGCTTCATCTATGTCCCTGCAAAGGACATGAACACATTCTTTTTTATGGCTGCATAATATTCCATGGTATATATGTGCCACATTTTCTTTATCCAGGCTGCTATCATTGATGGGCATTTGGGTTGGTTCCAAGTCTTTGCTATTGTGAATAGTGCTGCAGTAAACATACATGTGCTTGTGCCAACCCCATCAAAAAGTGGGCAAAGGGTGTGAACAGACACTTCTCAAAAGAAGAAATTTATGCGGCCAACAAACATGAAAAAAAGCTCATCATCACTGTGCCGGGTCCATCCCGCAGACCCTGGCTGAGCAACAGAAGAAAGGAGTACTCAGACACAAATATACAGGGTAAGAGCAGGCTAGGAGGCTGCGAGCCCTAGGGGCAGAGGAGAGTTAGCAGTCTCGATAAGCCAGAGCTGCTTGTATTTATTCAGTACTGGCATAACGTCCAAGGCCTGGAGTCAACACAATTGCTGGGTAATTAACATTTTTGCTCCCTCTTACAGGGAGCAGTCTCATGCTCAGAAGTTCAAAAGTCAGTTTCCTGATGACATAAGTAAACAAGCATATTTAGATAAACTTCTTCACTTTTCCTTGCACCTACTTCTCACCCTTAGCCTCAGAGAAAGAGAATTTTCTTCCTTCACCTTTATTCTCTCATGAAGCTTTTGCAAGACCTTCCAACCTTTCAAGAAGGCTTGCGTCTTTCCTTATAGCTTCTCCCACCACCCTGACCGATCTCCCACATCACTGGTCATTAGAGAAATGCAAATCAAAACCACAGTGAGATACCATCCCAAGCCAGTTAGAATGGCGACCACTAAAAAGTCAGGAAACAATAGACACTGGAGAGGATATGGAGAAATAGGAATGCTTTTACACTGTTGATGGGAGTGTAAGTTAGTTCAACTGTTGTGAAAGGCAGTGTGGTGATTTCTCAAGGTTCTAGAACCAGAAACACCATTTGACCCAGCAATCCCGTTACTAGGTTTCTACCCAAAGTATTATAAATCATTCTACGTTTTTTTTTGACATGGAGTTTCACTCTTGTCATCCAGGTTGGAGTGCAATGGCATGATCTTGGCTCACTGCAACCACCACCTCCTGGGTTCAAGTGATTCCCTTGCCTCAGCTTCCTGAGGAGCTGGGATTACAGGCACCCGCCAACATGCCCGGCTAATGTTTGTATTTTTAGTAGAGACAGGGTTTCACCATGTTGGCCAGGCTGGTCTCAAACTCCTGACCTCAGGTAGTCCACCCATCTCAGCCTCCCTAAGTGCTGTGATTACAGGAGTAAGCCACCATTCCCAGCCACCCTCATTTTTTTATAGCTCATACAATGTTAACAAATTTTATCAATAGTAATTCAAAACATCTTCAGATTCTGTTCCTGTCTCACCACCATCACTACCCCCCTGATTCAAACCACCATCTCTCCACTCTCCAGTTAGGTTTACTGCTATAGCCGCCTAACTGGTCTTCCTACTTCCCTGTAGCCCCTTGCCTTCAGTCTATTCTTGTTTCTGCAATTAGGGTGATTCTTTAAGAATAAGTCAGACCGAGCCATTCTTCTCTTAAAACCCTCCAATGACTTCACTCTCCATCCCACTCAAGGTATTAGTTTCCTCAGGCTACTGCAACAAATTACCACCAACTGAGTAGGTTAAAAGTACAGAAATTTATTCTCTCACAGTTCTGGAGGCTAGGAGTTGAAAGTAAGGTGTCATCAGTCTCAGGGTCTCTGAAGGCTCCAGGGGAGGATCCTTCCTTGTCTTTTCCTAGCTTCTCACAGTTGCCATCAATCCTTGGCATTCTCTGGCTTGTAGTTACATGACTCCATTCTCTTCCTTCATCTTCCCATACTTTATCCACTGTGTGTTTTTCTAAATATCCACGTTCTTACAAGCACACTAGTCATTTGATAAGGGCCCATCTGAATCCACTTAACTTGATTGACTAGGCAAGATTTTATTTCCAAGTAATGTCATATTTACAAGTACTGAGAGTTGGGATTTGAACATCTTTTTGGGGAAGACACAATTCAACCCACATTACTCACATCCCAAAGCTCCTTACCATGCACGCATCTCCAGTCCTTTGGTATTCAAAGTGTGATACACAGACCAGTAGCACCAGCATCCCCTGAAACTTGTAAGAAATATAAACTCTCCAGACCACCTGAATCAGAATCTTTATTTTAATGTGAAACCTTGGTGATTTATATGCAAATTAGAATTTGAGACACATACCCCTCAAAACGACCTGCCTACTTTTCTTATTATTTCATCTGCTCCTCACTCCATATCACTCTGTCATTACTCTGCTTGTGTCATATTGGCCTTTTTGATATTCCTGTAGTGCCTGGACTATTCCTTCCCCAGATATTTGCATGGGTTATTTACTCACCTGCACCAGATATAAAGATATAGTTATTATATATAGTGATATATAATTATACATATGTTATCACACATATATAAAACACAGTGCAGTTGTTCCTGGTTAATCTATTTTAAATATACATCCTATCAACCCCATTCTTCTTCCTTGCTTTTTCTAATTCAAAAGTATTTATTTTCACAAATTTTTATCCACAGCTAAATATTACAGTGACTATTCCAAGCATTTTTCTATAAAGAAAGGTGTAGTTTACAGATTTGTTCAAAGTGGAAAAATATTTTCATCAGTAGTCTTTCTTCCCTGGTGTTAGGTTCACCCCTGAATATGTTCTGAACTCTTCCGGAGAGGCAGTCCTTCATCTAAATGTCAGTGGGTGGCAAAATGTTATATTCAAATCTGGATTATTCTGACACAGTGTCACTTCAGAAAGTAGCTTAGTTTCATTTCTGGTTGATCCCCTTTGTTAGAATTAGGAATTTAAAAAAAAAATCTTTTGTATGTAATGATCTTTATAATAATAATAAATCCTGCCCTGTGTTTGTCATTGGCATTAACCTCTGTCTACACCCTCTGATTCTCTAATTATGGCTCCAGTGGGTACAAAAGGTGAATTATGGTTATTTGGCTCATGCAGCAAATTAATTGGAGAAACTGATGACAAATAGTCTGTGAAGAACTACAAGGTCTTGCCCCATGCTGTCCCATTTTAGTTACCATTTAGTTATGTAGGCATTACACAAATGCCTCAAATTAGGACACCTTTGCTGTCTCAGTAGGTCGAGTGTATGAAAATTTACTTTATGCAGAAGAAATAAATTCTAATTTATTGGTTACCAGAATCTTAATGTATGAAGGTTCTAAGTAAATATTTGATGAATTGATGGTAGCAGCGTTAATTTTTAAATGTTCCAAGCTCCTAGTTTTTTCGTTTTGTTTTTACAAAAGCCTTAAAGTTTGGTACTAAGGAAATCAAAGAATCAACTACCACCATCATGCTTCAGGGAAAGGGAAAAATGTCTACCTTTGGGTCTAATCTGCCTCCCAGGCGAGCCTACAGGTACTAGAACTCTAACTGCAACTATGATGGCACAGGGAAAATGCATGTATGTAATATGCTTGTCGGCTTCAGCAACAACTCATGTATACATACACATTTACTATATGTAAACAGGTCCCGTATAATACTTAAAACACAAGTGTTTGATCTATAAATATTTGATTCTTAGTATTTAAAATGCTTCTAATGTTTTAAAAGACAAAACTCCACCATGATATCACATTGAACATTAAAATTATTCCCACAGCAACACTTTTTTCAGAGAAACAATTGAGAAGTCAGTTATCTTAGTCACCACTAAAGGCACCTGGTGAGAAAAGCCTGAACTAAATTTTAAATATTAAAAAATTAAAGAGACATCTAGTGCAGAGTTCAAACCTTTATGTTGAATTGTTTAAGAGTCATTACTGATTTCATGACGCTGATAAGTGTTTGAGATGAAATGATTTTTTAAAATGCAGAGAAAATGCTAACAGAATATTATATAGTTCCCCTAAAGATGCTTCTTCTAACCTCCAAGTATTAAATAAGATTGATCTAAATGTTAAGTACATATAAAGTATATATTTGCTAGTCATCTATAAATTTTAAGTACAATTCCAGTGATATACCTGTATCTTTTGGAAGAGAAGAACTAAACCTGCCGTTTCTTAGGCTAAGTAGACAATTCATAAGGTCCTTCCTTCCCCATTTATTCTGATTGCCAAGCTTTTGTTCAGTAAGCTCTTGGCATCTAGTGATTAACCAGTGACAGCAGACAGTAGTGTTCCTTGTGTTCCATATCGTATTTGCCATCCTCAATGTCTTCCAGGTGAGTTTTGCAGTGCGGGACTTTCAGGAAGATTTTATTCCTGTAGGACAAATTAATGATAGAAACACAAACAAGAGTAGGAATGGGGAAGGATTTCAGCCCAGAGGAAGCCTCAGCTCTAAAGAGCAGTAATAATGAGAATTCAATGAGATGGAAAGAACACATTCTTCTGATCCTATGGAACCTCATGCTTTTTATCACCTACATTATAATTTAGTGTCATTTCCCAGTCTCTGCTAAATACCCTGATTACACCAGTAAAAGGAAAATCCCCATTTGTCTAAGATTATCTTGATGCAGTCTATTATCTCCTAAATGAAAATCCTGTCTTTGTGAGGACAGGGATTGCCCTTTTCTTGTTCATCACTATACCTCTATGCCTGATAGAGACCTTGGTACAGAGTAGGTTCTCAATAATCATTTGAATGAAATAAATCCTATGTACCACATAGCAGCTTCTCTGGAAACATCAAAAATCAAAGAACGAATGTCCTGTGAATGCCAGACAATCTGCTTGATTGTACTACAATGCAAAAAACATCTTCTTTGCTCTCCTGCAGCACGTAACTAATTACAATGCAGACCAGTTTGTTAGAAGAAATATAACAGAGGTATAGATAGCAAGCCTTTAAACCACAAGGAAGGAAGTGATTAATTCTGTTTCACCCAATGGAGAGGTGATAATACAGGAAAAAACCTGCCCAAGGATTGAGGCCACTGTGAGCTTGTGAAGAGGCAGAGGCTGGAGGTGCACTTGAGATACTGCTTTCAGGATGCTTGTGCCAAGAACATATGAACCTTAATTTCTGTTACTGGGCCTGTGTCTCCAAGTTATAAAGTTCATATGTAATGACCTTCATGATATGCCTCATTTGGAAGGAACTAGTTATCCCACCCCATAGCCAAGATTCTCATCACAACTATGTGAGGAATATTGTAGACACAAGAGGTGTATAAATAGCATAACCAACAGGACCTCCAGTTCTCAACCAAAGGAAAATGGGAAAATAGAAAATATCCTCCTAACATCATAACATTTAGAGTCCCTTGGTGTGGACCAACTGCCTCTCATTGAACAGTATCATGTACTGGACTCATTCCATAAACTCAGATAGAAAAAGAAGTAGTACAAATTTAACACCAGGTTAATAGTACTTTCTCTTTTGCTGGACAATAGACTATAATTAAAATGCACTTCTTTTTAATCTTTTTTTCTCAGGGATTATTCAGTTTACTCTTTGGATGCCTCTAGGATCTGAAGGTAAGAGCAATGACAGTTTCATGTTTCTAGAAAAGCGTGAAGTGCTTCTGGCATGTTGAAGTTACGATAGCTTCTTTTTAACAATGCAGGTACAGGAAGCTTTGCTGAATAAGTTTTCATTGTCGAGATGGTCTTCACCACACTCAAAGGTAAACCTTTTCTCTGCAGATACTTTTCGTTTTATAACCTCATGTATTCCACTAGCATTCTGAAGTACAGAGTACTAAATTTTTTCTTCAGGATTTTGATTAATTAGGCTAAATATATTGCATCCTCAAACCCATCTCCCTCAACAGCTATATTTGGCATAGATCATTCCATTGTTTTTGCTTCTCAAGTCATTCTGCCTATTAAACAGAGCCATAGAGCTGTCATTGAGATGCTACTCCACATATTTAAATAGGGTTTAAAATAATATATGATATAAACTGAAGGTTGAAATCAAATGTTCAATGAGAAGCAGTCTTCTGGGGGGATTCAAGGCATTAGAGAAAACAAGTTGAAGAATAATAATGGATAAAATTTTCTATAGTTCATTGTGGAACATAACTATTGCCCTTGGATATATCTGACTGCCTTTCACATGTCAGAAAATACTAGAAGCCTAACAAACAATAAAACTTGTATTTGACAGTTATTTTTCTAATACAGATGACAAGATTCCAGTATTTTAATGTGACCTCTGGGAGTGGGACTAGAGATGCCGGCAGTGACCACTAGAGGGTGGAAAATCAATCCTTCTAGGGATGTAAACAGCTTTGGTCCCACAAATTTGCTTTGTGATTTTCCCTTTTTTTCTCTCTTCTAGTCAACATCCCTGGGTTCATCCACACCTGTGTTTTCTATGAGTTCTCCAATATCAAGGAGATTTAACAGTTTGTTTGGTAAAACAGGTGAGTAGTGGCCTCTATGTTCTCCCTGCTTGCCCAGAACACATTTGGTCAAATGGGGAGCCTCAACACCCCTACTCTTTCACCCCAATCATGGCATTTACCTAAAATGTCCTCTTTTGGGGTAGAGGTTAAATAGAGGAACTTACATTTTCACAAATCACCAAAAAGTGGGTACAGAGGGCAGCTGCCTTTGTTGGGAACTTATAATAACTCATAAAGAATAAGATTTGGAGAATCTAGACAATGATTTGGAGAGCTGTCTGTCAAACTATCATCCATCAAAATGAGAACTGTAAATTGCTGGCCTTGTCAAACACAGAGTTCTTCTCAAATTATGTCAAATAAGAGTAGATAGGTGATGTTTCAGGGTTACGGGGCAGCAAAGAATACAGTTAGAAAATCTTACTACAGGATCTCACTATTTAGGTTTGTTTTCCTTTTGTGTTCTTTTTATAAAGTGTGCTTGTGTTACACATGGAAGCACATAGAAGTGTGCATGCATTACATAAGGGATCACCCTAGTTAGCTATTCTATTAGAAATATTCACAGTTAAATTTCTACCTTGGAGATTTGAAATGAATGGAATTAATAACTTTGGGCAACAGATCTCAGCTATTCTAGCAAATTGAAACCCCTGTCCCATGCCACCATCCCTCCCCCACAGGAAAATAAGCCCCAGGATTTCTTCTAGCTTTTTGAAACTCAACAGATCTCACAAATGCAGAGTTGAGAAATGTATCAATGTTCCACATTAAGGCTTTTCATATACAAGCAAATTTTGTGAATGCCTATAACTGTTAAAACTCCAGAGGACTTGGGTTCTTTTCTGCTTCAATTTGATGAATTACCCATGAAACTGGGGGACCTTCACTTCTGATTATGAAAGTCCCAATTGGGCATGTTTGGGGGCCCCATAAGTACCGTAACTTTGGTTTATGTTGTCAGCAGCCCCTAAGATCCCCCCAGGCCATGACGGAAACTTTGTTAGCGGTGGTGGCGGTTCAGCAATTTGATGGTAGGGTGGGCACTTCAACCCTTTTCTTGCCCGACACACACTCTCCACGCACTCCCTGTGCACAGTCCCCACCTCCCCGCAGACACAAGCCTGTGCAGTTGCTCAGAGGCTGCCTTCCTTGCTGCACTGATTCTCAGCAGTTCTGTTGACGTTCCTGACTCCTGCTTCTTTTCTGGTCCTGCCTTTTCTCTCCCTATAATTTTCTCTTTTCTTTCCCTTTACTCTCTTTACAAACCTCCACTTTCAGTAGAGCCTCCAGGTGCCTCCCAAGAGCTTCTGTAAGTCACCACAACCCAAGAGGACCAGGGAGATTCCCTCATGCAGATGTTCCCAGACCATGCACGTGATGGCATATGGAGGGCTTCCCACCTTGACATCTTCCCGTCCTTTGTAGAAACCTGGCTGCTGGTATGATGTGAAGTAGTGACTGCTTGTTGGCTGCCACACATGCATGAGAACGACAACTCTGTTAGTTCTCTGGCATTTCTAGCTCTTGGGAAGAGGGCAGGTATGGGTTGGTTTCCAGGCATGGCCGAGTTTACCTAGTGCCTAGACCACTGCTCCCCTGGGTCCCTTAGGAGATGTTCACACCCCAAAGTTCATGATGGCTTGTCTTCAAGGCTGAGTTGCTGCTCTGTTTTTCAGGAACATATAATGTTTCCACCCCAGAAGCAACCAGCTTATCCCTGGAAAACTCATCCAGTGCTTATTCGTTGCTCAACTAAGAACAGGATAATCCAACATACGTGACCTCCTGGGGACAGTGGATGGATGTGCTTTTAAAAAGAGATCCTTGCAAAGCAATGGAGAATGTGTTCTTGGGGCAGGTTTCCAGGAGCAGATGTCAAAAAGACTTTCATAGAGAAGAGGCTTTCTTTTGTAAAGACAGACTGAAAATAATTGTTATGTTTATGTTTGTTCCCTCCCCCTCCCCCTTGTGTGATACCACATGTGTATAGTATTTAAGTGAAACTCAAGCCCTCGAAGGCCCAACTTCTCTGTCTATGTAATATAGAATTTCAAAGAGACATTTTCACTTCCTACAAATTGGGCACAAAGATAAGCTTTGATTAAAGTAGTAAGTAAAAGACAACCTAGGAAATACTTCAGTGAATTCTAAGAAGGAAGGAAGGAAGAAAGGAAGGAAAGAAGGGAGGGAAACAGGAAGAAAGGGAAAAAGAAGAAAAAGAGAAAGATGAAAATAGGAACAAATATAGACAAACAACATTAAGGGCCACGTTTTAAGATTTCCATGTTAATGATCTAATATAATCACTCAGATAGTGCAACATTGAGAATTTTTTTTTAATGGCTCAAAAATGGAAACTGAAAGTAAGTCATGGGGAATGAATACTTTGGGCAGTGTCTTCCTGATGTCTTCTTAGCTAAGAGGAGAAAAAAAAGGCTGAAAAAATAGGGAGGAAATTCCTTCATCAGAACGACTTCAAGTGGATAATAATATTTATAAGAAATGAATGGAAGGAAACATGATTCTCCTGAGGCTAACTTTGTATGTTAAGGTTTGAACTAAGTGAATGTATCTGCAGAGGAAGTATTATAAAGATACGTCATTAGATCCAAGTGCTGATTAAATTTTTATAGTTTATCAGAAAAGCCTTGTATTTTAGTTCGTTCCATATTTTGAAAGCAAAAAATATATATTTTATATACCTTTCAATTGCCAAATTTGATATATCGCACTGAAGACAGACCCTGTCATATATTTAATGGCTTCAAGCAGGTACTTCTCTGTGCATTATAGAATAGATTTTAATAATCTTATAGCATTGTACATTATTATTGCTGTTGTCACTGTTATTGTTACTGTGGATAATGGCCCTTGGTGTGTTGCATAGCTCCCTAGGTATTCTCTGTTTCCATCTTTACTTTCCCAGACCAATATACATTAAGAATTTTGCATGGTCTAACTTGTGTTTATTCCAACCACTTGGAAAGCTCCTGAAAAGAAATTTTACATTTGGCTGTTCTGTGCTCCTAATGACACTTGACCTTGTTGAACAGATGGCAGAGACTTTCCCAAGGATTTGATTGTTTGTGAATTATCTGCATGTGTGCTTTTTTTCGTGTGTATGTATTTCATTAAAAAATATAAATACTTATGAAAATTGCATCCATATTAGAGTTAACCATGTGCTATGGATACAGCAACCCTACATTGCAAATAAAAGTCTGATCCCAAAAGGAGAATAAGACAAAAATAGAGATGTGGGGCTACTTAGGATATGTGGGCTGTGTGGCAACAGAAATGGGCCCAGCCATTAGGAAGATGGGGCAAAAGAGGCTGAGATTCAACAGCCATTTCTTTATTGAGGTTCAAAGGAGTTTTCTTTTAATATTTTAACCCTTTAAAATATCTTCTTTTTATTTTTAATTTTAAATTCTACTTAAATTCTACTTCTGCCTCTCTTTTCTTCATGGGGAAGGAGAGGTATGGGACAGAGGTGGGACAGTTGATGTAAATGAACTCTTTATTTCTACATATTCACAAATGACATAGACATCTACTTCCACATTTGCCTGAGAATTGTCACATCACTGTCCCAAATGAATGGTGCATTACTGAAAGTCCCTAAAGGAAATCATTGTTATGCTATAAATGCATGCCTTGTTCTTCAGGAATGATCAACTTTGGGCAGAGCTTGATACTAAGAAGATGGAGACAGAGGTTGGGTTGGGGGAAATCCCTTGAATTAGAATTAGAATTAGAGAAAGAAGGCCTTTGGCTGATTTGGTTCCTGGAGTTATATCAAGAAGAATCGAGCCAGGCTTGGAACACAATGTTAGCAGGGCTATCTTGACATGATCAATCAAGGAAAGCACACAGTATCAGGAGCAGGACGTGGTTGTCATGTTCAAAAATTCAGTGGGACAAGAAACGCTGAACTTCCACCCACTTCAGCCAGGATCCCTTGGGGAATCACTGTGTTCAACCCTGTGAAGGGAACTTTCATCGTAGCAGGAGCCTGTGGGAGTTACACAGGATGTGGATCTGGCCCACTGCTCCATTCGTTAACTGGGGCATGTTCCCTTATCCCCAACACACACAAATACACACATGCACACATGTGCACATGTGCACATACATGCATGTGTTTCACCCTTTCAAGCCACATACATGCATGTGTTTCACCCTTTCAAGCCACAGCACTGGGTCCAAATTCCAGAAAAGCTATGAAAGCAAATAATTGGAGAAACACTTGCTGGTTTTCTGCCCACTGCAATACACGTTAGCCCAGCCACTACCCTTTCCCGGGAAAATCCTAAAATGAACAGTAGAATTCAAAATTGTAGAACAGCAGTTATGAAGCTGAGAATTTTATGAATGCAGGAGCCTCATTTGGCCCTGAGGTTGCCATCTCTCAATCAGTAATGATTACAAGGCTATTAGTAGCAGATTCCTGAGAATGAAGGCACATGGAGTTGTGCGATCTACTTTGTTCGTAAGGTGCCCAGTGCTTCCCTGTGTTCCTGACATCTCTCAGTGTATAAAGTCCATTCCCTGAGCCTAAACTTTCTTGCATTAAGAGCTTTCCATTAAGTCAGTTTCTTGCAAAGGGCTTTGTCCTAATGCGTCAGAGTCTGTGAGGTTAGAATATTCACAAATGAGAAGCTAATACAGATTATAGGAATATTCTCTGGGAATATTCTAAGTCCAGACTAACACATCATCTCTTGAGTAAGCCAGATGTCTGCTATCCTCCTCCCCCACTTCTTATTGTTTGCATGGGAAAATGGTTAAATAAATGTCTGTGGGGTTTTCAGGTTTTTGCTAAGGCCAGAAATTCAGAAAGACTGTGGGAAGTCACGGCCTTTTGTGGTTTGTATAGAGAATTTCAAAGAGATCCATGTTGGAATGCTTCAGAAAAAAAAAAAAGTTACATGGAGATGAGAAAGATTACAGTAATTAGTAAGTATAGAAAGGACGTGTGGGTGAGTTATTGAGGTGAATGGAGCAGGAAGTCACAATCATTTGAAGAAAAAAAGAAATAGGTGGTCCTAGAAATGCCAGGTAGGTGGAATGCGTTTATTTTGTGCCATGTGATGGTGAAGTCAAATAAGCCCTCCTCATCCAAAAGAGAAAACCCAGTGACCCAGGCCAGTAAAAGACTGATTCTTTAAGTGTACAAAATGAAGGTGGAACTTACAGGGAACTTACCTCTTGATAGTGTTTTTAAAAGGGCAACCGGAATAGCATCTCATCATTTCAAGAGGACAGTAGTTTAGCTTTAATATTAGGTTCTGTTGGTTTCTAAAATTATCACTTGGGATTTAAAATCACATCATGTATACCAGCACACAAATATGCTTCCTTTCCATACTATAACAATGAAATATCTAATGAGATCTCGTGAGCTGTCTTATCGGGGGACCTGCCCCGATAATCACGTAGGTTCTTTTCTATTTTCCTAAGTGTCGACTGGCTTGAGAAATAAAAGGACAGAGTACAAAAGAGAGAAATTTTAAAGCTGGGCGTCCGGGGGGAGACATCACACATTGGTAGGATCTATGATGCCCCACAAGCCACAAAAACCAGCAAGTTTTTATTAGGGATTTTCAAAAGGGGAGGGAGTGTGCAAATAGGTGTGGGTGACAGACATCAAGTACTTAACAGGGTAATAGAATATCACAAGGCAAGTGGAGGCAGGGCGAGATCACAGGACCACAGGATGGAGGCGAAATTAAAATTGCTAATGAAGTTTCGGGCACCATTGTCATTGATAACATCTTATCAGGAGGCAGCGTTTTGAGATCAACCGGTCTGACCAAAATTTATTAGGTGGGAATTTCCTCTTCCTAATAAGCCTGGGAGCGCTATGGGAGACTGGAGTTTATTTCACCTCTGCAATCTCGACCATAAGAGACAGGTACGCCCTGGGGGGGCCAGTTCAGAGACCTACCCCTAGGTGCGCATTCTCTTTCTCAGGGACGTTCTGTGCTGAAAAAAAGAATTCAGCGATATTTCTCCCATTTGCTTTTGAAAGAAGAGAAATATGGCTCTGTTCTGCCCGGCTCACCGGCGGTCAGAGTTTAAGGTTATCTCTCTTATTCCCTGAACAATTGCTGTTATCCTCTTCTTTTTTCAGGGTGCCCACGTTTCGTATTGCTCAGACACACATGCTGTACAATTTGTGTAGTTAACACAATTATTACAAGGTCCTAGAACGATATACATCCTCCTCAACTGACAGGATTAAGAGATTAAAGTAAAGACAGGAATAGGAAATTAAAAGGGTATTGATTGGGGAAGTGATAAGTGTCCATGAAATCTTTACAATTTATGTTTAGAGATTGCAGTAAAGACAGGCATAAGAAATTACAAAAGTATTAATTTGGGGAACTAATAAATGTCCATAAAATCTTCACAATCCACGTTCTTCTGCCATGGCTTCAGCCGGTCCCTCCATTTGGGGTCCCTGACTTCCCGCAACACTGTCTCTGTAGCAATTGTTTGCCTTCTTGCAATGTGGTGCTGCTGCCTCTCAGGCTTCTGCATGTCACCCAGAATGCAGCTCTATTCTCCAAACAGCGAACGATCCTTTCCATCTTCCAGGTATGGGGGAGGCCGGCAGCTCGCCCCTGAGCTCAACTGGCTGGCAGGTCTGATGGCTTCCCTCACACCATCCGCACTCCCAAGCCGTGTGCAAAGATCCAGCACGTTATAGAAGGTTTAAACAAGGGTCCTTGAAGTAAAGTTTTCAGAACCAGTTGTCTGGCGAACAAACAGATGCCTGTTCCAACATTTGTGTGAGGATGGCTTGAAATTTTCATTGACAGCTGAAAATAGAGCCCTCATGTCCTATAGATTAATATAAAGGATGTGAGGGCTCTATTTATCCTCTAGCACATTCTAGACGGAAACCAAGTTTCCCACTGTTAGTGGACAGAAGAAGAAAAGAGGGGAGATGGGCAACTCCCGAAGTCCGCTCTATGCCAGACACAAGTTCTGATCTCCAAATATCATCTGTACGTGTCCGGGGTGGGCGTGGGGGCCTTGGTCGTGGTGTCCTATGATTCAGACACAACCGTCCTGTCTATTCTTTTTTTTTTTTTTTGAGACGGAGTCTCACTCTGTCCCCCAGGCTGGAGTGCAGTGGCGCCATCTCGGCTCACTGCAAGCTCCGCCTCCAGGGTTCACGCCATTCTCCTGCCTCAGCCTCCGGAGTAGCTGGGACTACAGGCGCCCGCTACCACGCCCGGCTAATTTTTTTTTTTTTTTTTTTTTTTGTATTTTTAGTAGAGACGGGGTTTCACCGTGTTAGCCAGGATGGTCTCGATCTCCTGACCTCATGATCCACCCGCTTCGGCCTCTCAAAGTGCTGGGATTATTCTTAAATGATTTTATACACACCCATTTTTCCCCTTTTACCTGTAAACTTTGAAATGAAGTTGAAAGGCCACCAGTGTCCATGACAGGTCCCTCTGCACACATGGTGGCATGGTTAGGAGATACATGAGCCTGTTCCCACCCCAGGGTTTTTATTCTGTCATGCAGAGCCATGTGAAGGATGCCGGTGACTATTGAAGCCTAAACAGAACAAACCCAGGAGCCCGGGGGGAAAAATGGCTTTATTCTCAGTATGAAAGGCAAGAGGACCTGAATGGGCAAGTGGTGGGCAGATTGCTGTCACGGCCCACTTCCGATGACATTAAACAACAAAACCCAGGAATGACTTTGGACCCTGCCTTTTTCGGATTTTGATTGGTGCCATCCTGGTTCTTCCATCCTGCCAGCCAGCTGGCACCCCAGCAGTTGTGGGAAAAGGAATTTGACTTTGATTAACCGAGAAAAACTGTGCATGCGTTTTCTGTTTTTTTCTGGAACTGTGAGGGTTTTCCTATGCCCCAGGGGCTCCCTCACAGCTGTCCTATCCCAAGCATTCCCGACAGGAATCTCCAGCTGGGTTGGAGTGACAGCTGGCTTCCAGCACCGCAGCTCCGCAACCCCTGCTGGCGTCTCCTGAGGCTCGCGCGCCCCTGGTGGGCGTGAGAGGAGGCGTCCCCGCGGCGGTCCGGCCTCAGGAAGCCCGTGGGAGGCAGAGTCAGTCCCGCGGATGACGCGCCCAGTGGGCTACGTTCAGGAAGTCATTTGATCATATGGGCAGAGCGAAGGTCAAGGCATAGTGGATAACAGAAACCAGAAATGAAAAAAATCTCTTTCACTCCAGCCTCCTAACTTTCATATTATGATCCTTACAGGGGAAAGGGTAGTCAGAAAGCCACGTAGGACTGTGGAGGGAGGGAAATCCCAGTCACGTCGTTTCAGTGTGTGAAAGGCAAAGGAAATTTCGGGCCCCCAATCACTATGCAAAAAGGAAAAAATTAAGATGGAAGCTGAGCCATGCAAGAAACAGCCTTTTCCTTCTATTGCTAAGCAAATAGCTAACAGATGAAAGGCCAGATATCTCCACAGAGAGCTACACTAGGTTCACCTTTTATGTAAAGTACCGATTTACTGAGATGAATACATCACTGACTATTTTCCTACCTGCTCCTTTTCTCCTGCAATGCATGGATTATGCCATGTTGCCATACCTTCCCTCTTTCGCCTCCACTTTTCCCCTTTAAATACTGAAACCTTCAAAATATCTTTGCGGAAAGACACAGACCACAGGCTGTCTCTGTGATTGTGTGTTCCATTATTCCAGGCATGTTCTTAACCTTGGTAAAATAAACTTCTAAGTTGATTGAGACCTGTCTCAGAGACTGGTTTACAAGTGTGCATAGCACATCTGCAGGCAGGCATACATTTCTGAGGCATACTCGCTGAGATAGCTCCTTCCTTTCTCTGTCCCCCTCTTACTGACTGAATCTCATTTATGGCACTAACAGCAAAGCTGAAAGCCCCAGAAAAGATCTGGTTCACCCATTCCAGATAGGCTGCTGGAAGGTCGTTTGAGGAAGAAAAATGGGTGCCTTCCATGTTTCATGTTAACCCAATACTTTTTCCATCAAGGCAGCTGCAAAAGGATTAACATAGGTGGTCCTATTCCCTTTCCTAATTCATCCATTGAAAGCCACTGCTGGCCTGGAGTTTCATTTTCAATCCATCATGAATCTGCAGATGAATCTGCAGCTATCCCAGGGCAATCTGACAGTCCAGCCAGCAGCTGAGGCTGGATGGCAAGTTCCTATCCTCTGAGCACACATTGCTAACGTGTGACCCGAGAAGACCCAGGAGAAGTCAACAGGGCCAACTGCCAGCAGGGTTGGTCCTTGGTGTAGAGGGACAAGCTGAACTGGCCTTCAGTAATGAGGCAGACAGCTTCCCAGTTTGGGGGGATGTCACGCACCTTGGCCTGTTGCTCCTATACCCTCGGAATAGCTCTCACACCTTCTTCTTCATGTTGGACATTCCTTTTACAAAAACAGAAATCTCAAAGACAGATAAAGTTAAGAAGGTTAATCTCAGGTTAATCTCAAGGAGAGAAAAGGTATGCAAATACACCTCTGGGTGAGAAACACAGTAACTTAAATTTACCCTCGAATGAAAATGGCTGGTAACTATATAACTATATTAACCAACATTTTTTGAGCCCTTTCTGTGTACCTGCTGCTGTTCTAAGATTTTTATGCGTATAATCTCATTTAAACTCTATAGCAAACCAAAAGTAACTAAATATTCTTTTTCTTTGCATTTTTAGAGGAAAAAGCTAAGCACAGAGAGGTAAATAACTTGCCCACAGTCACACAGCTGAGGACCAGTAGAATCAGGATCTAAATGCAGTGTCTGACCTAGAACATGGGCATGTATCCACCACCTTATATTGCTTCTCTATGCAACCTGATGCCAGTTACTTGCTTAAAAGTAGGCTTCCGTAGCAGGAAGAGTTTCAAATGCAAAAAATGAGAGGGAGAACAACAGTGACAGAGAGGTTGGAGGAGTTAAGGCTTCCCCAAGCTTCATCTCACTTTATAATTCTACCTTGGGGCAGCCCAGGACATAATGACCAATGTTCTGGGCAAACTTCAGAGTGCGCCTACTTCCTTTTTAAGTCTCTGGTGAAACATCAAAGAATTCCTGCTGTGCTGCTTTATTGAAAGTAGATCTCAACTTAGTTATCTAGTGGACCCCCCCAGCTTGAGTCTTCAGTCAAGTGAGCTTCTTGTAAGGTCTCAATCACCAGTGTTGTTTTTATTTTCGTCTCAGATCTATCAAGAATTCTCGGCGTGTTGGATGGCATTTAGACATGTAGGAAGGCAATATGGCTTCCCAGAAATGAAGCGTGATTCTGAGGCTATGTTTAAACATATCAAGTGGAGAATTGGGACATTTGTCCTAATACGTTTAGCTAAGTCATGATTTTCCTTCTGATATGCAGACTGAAACAGCAGCTGATTTGCTACTTGAATGCTTTGCATTCTCTGCTTCATTTTGCATGGACAGGGGTATTGGGCTGTTCTTCAGCATTGATTGACAGCCAGTTTGGCAAATGTGGTATGGTGGTTAACAGCATTGGTTCTAGAGCCAAACTGTGTGCTTTTCAGTTGTAGGTCCACCACTTCTTAGTTTGACTGTTGGTAAAATAACTCTTTCTGCCTCAATTTACACTATGTGAAAGGAAATAATAATGGTACATGCTCCATGGGTTGTTGTAAAATTCTTATAAAGCCTACAAAATCATATCTGGCTTGCAATTATTGCTGAATAAAGTTAGCCTTTATTATTTTGCATCTTACCGTGTGTGCATAAAAACTATAGTAGATATATATCATACACACATATATACATCATGCATCATGACTTAGCCAAATTTATTAGAGCAAATGTTTCAATTCTCCTCCTGATATATTTAAACACAGCCTCAGAATTACACTTCATTTCTGAGAAGTCATACTTTCTTCCTATGTGTCTAAATAATATCCAACACTCAGAATTCTTGATAGATCTTGACAGAACTCAGATTTAGATGCCAGTTCTATTCAGAATCAAACTACATATGCCTTTCACATTGTCACTTTTAATTCATGGTTAAGAGCTTTTGAGAGTAACGTCAAAGGTACGTGACATCCTAAATCATAACTTTATCAAGGTTTGAGTTTAAATCGTGCTCATTATGAAGCCAGAATGGGTGAGTAATTCACATAACAAGTGTGTGAGCCTGGTTAACTACCCCATGTCTGCATTTCAAATCAGTTTTGGTAATCTTACATATTACATAATTTTATTTAATCTTCAAACTAATTTCATTATTTCTTTTCTTTACAAATGAGCCAATTATGCACTATAACAGTGGTGTTAATTAAGGCTTTCTCAGTTACAGGTAACAGAACCACAATCAAATTAGTTTAAGCAAAAGTGGGCACTTACCACGTAACTGGGAAAGATAGTAGATTGGTACACCTTCAGGTACAGCTAGATTCAGGTGCCCAAACAGTGTTCTCAGAGTTCTGGCTCTTCCTTTTGTGTTGTTGCCTCTCTTTGTGTATTTATTTCATTCCAAGGTAGATCTTCAAGGAGAGGAATTTATGAGGTCCACAGACCGATAGATTGAGAAGACTAACCCTTTTCTTCTCCAAATGTTCAGGTATATGTGGCAGTACAGGGTATCATGATTGGCTTAGTCTGAGCCATGTGCTGGCCCCATAGAAATAATTATATCCATTAGGATCATGTTTTCTGTGAATGCCAGACATTCAAAATAATAGCGACTTAAAGTAGAAGTTTATTTCTCTAACACAGATAAGCAGCCCAAGACTGGTGTGGCAGCCTGGCTCGGTGCAGTCCTCAGAAATCCAGATACTTTCTATTTTTTTAATCTGCTTTTGCCAAGGTCACCACGTGGCCCCATTTGGCAGCTCTCACTCTGGCCATTACATCCCCTTATCAGTCATTAGGATAGAAGAAGGGACTACAGGTGTGCACCAAGACTCCTTTAGGAAAGGTTCCCAGAAGCTCACATGCAACATTCCTTCTTCCATTCCACTGGCCTGAATTTGATCACACTACCTCACTGTATCAGTCTGCTTTCACGCTGCTATAAAGAACTACCTGAGACTGGGTAATTTATAAAGGAAAGAGGTTTAATTGACTAGCAATTCTGCAAGGCTGGGGAAGCCTCAGGAAACTTACAATCATAGTGGAAAGCAAAGCGGAAGCAAGGCACGTCTTACATGGTAGCAAGACTTGAAAAGTGAGAGAACAAGGAGGTGTGCCACACTTTAAAACCATCAGCTTTCATGAGAACTCACTCACTATCACAAGAACAGCATGGGGGAAGCCACCCCCATGATCCAATAACCTCTCACCAGTTCCCTCCCTCCACACGTGGGGATTACAATTCAAGATGAGATTTGGGTGGGGACACAGAGACAAACCATATCACCCATCTACCTGCAAAGGAAGCAGGAGAAGGTAAACTAGACTCTGAGTAGCCATTTGACCAGTTGGAGTTTGGGGATTCTATTACTGAGAAAAGAAGAATGGATGTTGGTGACCATTTTTGTTGGGGGCTGATATCTGAACATCTCCTCTGCCTCCTGCTCTCTTCTCATACCTTTCTTATGACCCCATTTTTCTATTCTCCCTTTATTCTCTTGACCAGATAGGATCTTTAAATGTTTTTAATGATTTTCATTGAGCTGGTGAGCCACACATGGGTCAATTTGTCCTAAATTTGTCTAGGCCCTGAGGGATGCTGTGACCCAGATGAGGCCCATGTCTCAATCCATTCTGGGATTCCAGGACTAGTCCTTGGTAAAATTGTGGAAGGCAAAGAGAGATGGGTCTTGTCTTTACTCTGATATCACTGTTAGCTGCAACTCTTACACACACACACACACACACACACACACACACATCCTGTTAGGCTGCCTTACCCATATCAAATATTTCCTATCATATTTTTTCACATCAGTACTCATTAGAGGTCACTGGCACCTGACTCCATTATCTCCCATCCCCCATTCATTAGGGTTTTCAAGAGTCTGCTAAATGACACTCACAGCTACAGGATAACTATAAATCTTTTCAAACTTTTCTTTGCTTAGAGACTTTTGAAAAACATACTTATATTAAAATTGGCATAAGAAAGATGTTTTAGCCATATTTATAAACATATAGAAATTTGAGTAGGTGACAAATCATCCATAAACCTGATATCCCTAATAAGGGAAACCAAGTAAAAAAGACCTTTACATAGTGTTCAATATAGATTTGCCTATATTTTATAGCACCTTCCAAACCTCTAATCTTATTAAGGTTTTCTGTAGTCAAACAAGAATAATAGATTCTGCTATTAAGTGGCTCTGTGACCTGCCTAAGGCACTTAGCCTCTCCAGAATTGCCTCAGTTTACCCAAATACAAGAGGTGGACTTCAGAATCTCTAAAAATTTCATCAAGCCATAAAACAGATGATATAATTCATGAGAAAGGAGGAGCTCAAGAAGGGAAGGTGTGAGATCATCTGTAATTTGCTTGTAAATGTCTCCATATAGGTATTACACTGTATACAGCCTGCAGGGGGACTATAATCCACACCCTGGGGGAGGTTAAATAGTATGCAAAGTATTCTGAAAAGGAATACACACTCCAATAGCAGTTAGTTAGTATTTGAAAGATCCTAATCAAAAGTCTCTACTGGAGAAATATCTGTTGCAAAACTTTAAATATTTCTATAGCAAGCTATACCAGAGGGTTTGTTATTAGTATAAAGGATGCTTAAAATAATTTTTGCATTGGTTAAATACAATTATCAAGATAGCTATAGGTACAATACTTTGGCAGGCCCAGTGAACTAACTTTTGGGGTAGAACCTTTGACTAGAACTCTATTTGGTCCTAGTTTTCACTCACTTAATACAAGTTTTCATTGGCTCATCCAACTAGAGCAGTGATTCCCAATCAGTAATGATTTTGCCCCTTGGGGGACATTTGTCAATGTCTTAGAGATTTGGGATTGTCACTACTGGGGAAGTGTGCTATGAGCATAAAGTAAGTAGAGGCCAGGGATGCCACTAAACATATCACAATGCAGAGAACAGCCCTCACAGAAAAGAATATCCAGCTCAAAATATCACCAGGGCTGAGGTTCAGAAACCCTAGGGT
Organism: Homo sapiens; assembly: GCF_000001405.40. Lineage (NCBI taxonomy): Eukaryota > Metazoa > Chordata > Mammalia > Primates > Hominidae > Homo > Homo sapiens. The sequence continues at coordinate 66,192,554 of NC_000009.12, read as the reverse complement.
AGAGAGTTGACTGATCCTGGCCTTCAGATTATTTGAATGCATGTGTGTAGAATGAACCTTTAATCCAAGAGGCTTGGTGCTGGAGCACTTAAAAGGACAGAGCAGAGACTTCCCTACACATACAAAACAGGTTGGATGGCTATTTGTGGGTTTGTTGGTTTATCGGGGGAACCAGACTCCAATATTTCAATGCAAGTTCTTTCTATTTTCCCTAAGTGTTGGCTGGTCTGAGAAATAAAGAGAAAGAGCACAAAGGAGGAATTTTACAGCTGGGCCTCTGGGGGTAACATCACATATTGGGAGGTCCGTTATGTCCCCTGAGCCACAAAACCAGTAAGTTTTTATTAGGATTTTAAAAGCGGAGGGGGTGTACAAACAAAGAGAAGGTCACAAAGATCACATGCTTCAAAGGGCAATAAAGATCACAAGGCAAAGGCAAAATTAGAATTACTGATAAGGATCTATGTCCCACTGTGCACATACTGTCTTAATAAACATCTTAACAGAAAACAGGGTTCGAGAGCAGAGAACCAGTTTGACCAAAATTTACCAGGCTGGAATTTTCCAATCCTAGTAAGCCTGAGGGTACTGCAGGAGACCAGGGAATATTTCAGTCCTCATCTCAACCACATAAGACAGACACTTCCAGAGCGGCCATTTATAGACCTCCCCCCAGGAATGCATTCCTTCCCCAAGGTATTCCTTGCTGGGAAAAGAATTCAGCAATATCTCTCCTACTTGCACATCTGTTTATATGCTCTCTGCAAGAAGAAAAATACAGTTCTATTCTGCCTGACCCTGCAGGCAGTCAGACCTTATGGTTATCTTCCCTTGTTCCCTGAAAATCGCTGTTATTCTGTTCTTTTTCAAGGTGCACTGATTTCACATTGTTCAAACACACATGTTTTACAATCTATTTGTACAATAGTGGTCCTGAGGTGACATACATTCTCAGCTTATGAAGATAATGGGATTAAGAGAGTAAAGACAGACATAAGAAATTATAAGACTATTATTAGGGAAGTGATAAATGTCCATGAAATCTTCACAATTTATGTTCAGAGGCTGCAGTAAAGACAGGCGTAAGAAATTATAAAAGTAGCAATTTTGGGAACTGATACATGGCCATGAAATCTTCACAACTGATGTTCTTCTGCCGCAGCTCCAGCTGGTCCCTCCGTTCAGAGTCCCTGACTTCCCACAACAATGGTTAACAAATATGAATGTGTAGCAGAATTTAGTTCAAATCTTGATTCATTTTAACATAATCAGAGAGGGGGTTAGAGTTCCCATCCACTTCTAATTATCAGAGGCTCCAGATATTACTGAAAGAACCTGACATTTGTGAATGGCCAGATTGGCTCAGCTCAGTTCACAGAAGGAAAGGATGCAGATGGGGATGTATCAAGGATATGGTGTGGGAAGCATGAGACATTTTCAAAATTTCAAGCCACTATGACTTATTCCCACTATGTAAGATTAAAGAAGTCAGACACTCAGATTCAGGGAGGATTTCCCACATTTTTCATGTTGCTCATCTAAATCCCAAATTCCATACTGCCTAGAGATTATGAAATGCTTAATTTCTACCCACTCCCCATCCTACATGCCCACTTTGCCATCACCATCCCAACACCTCAAAAGAATAAAGTATCTGCTAGTCCTCCTGGAATGATTGAGGGTTTGGGCTCAAAGAAAAGCTGAATACCATGTCAGATTTATGGTGAGCCAGATCATTAATCAACTGAGGTGACCATTAATCACCAAAAGTGATAAAGATAGATAGTAGGCATGGTACTGGTTGAGAATCTAGAGAGAAATAAATATCAAAATGCTTTACCCTCATTCTGGTACCTCCTTATCATTATTTTGACCTAGCAGTTTTAATTTGCAGTACTAGATGAAAATACTAGGTTATCTTTGAAATTTGAGCTTCTGCTTCTTCCAGAGAGAAACTCATATATTTAAGAAATGTTGTCATTGGTTTGGGCTAGGGACCTTTCCATGTGAGACAGACCACAGCATGTTCCTTTTAATAAAACCAAAGGACAATAACAGCAGCAGCAGCAACAAAGCCTAGAGTTCACTTCTGAGGTCAGATACTCAGCAGAGTGTTAAGGGCATAGCTTTCTTTAGGCCTAACTATGAGGTTAGTGGAGGGTTTGCAGGACTGTGAAGCACAGCGAGAAACAAAGCTGGAATCCATTTCCAATCTGGACTTTGGAGATAATACAACTGGGCTGGTGACAGGATAGCTTCCTATCTAGTCTGAACATTGAATAGTAATATTTTCATACATATTAAACTCTAAGATAGGTTCATATTCATTATCCCATTGTATTACTCTGCTACTCTGTAAGTAGTAAAGTCATGTGGAAGGAGATAGTCAGCTATTATTTCCATTTGACAAGTTAGTAAACTAAGATCAAGAGCTTAAATGATTTCTTACTAAAATTACCCAGCCAGCTGGATGGGCAATCCAAGCCTGCAGCCAGGATGCTTGGCTTCCAGACTTGTTTTCTATCCACTAGAGCAGTGGTTCTCAAGGTGTCTGTGAGGTGGGGGTTGTGGGGGAGTCAGTAGCAGTAGCAGCATGGCCTGAGAACTTATTAGATTCTGGCACATTCTTATACCTTGTTAGATCCTGGCACATTTAAGAATGTACATTCTTAGATCTCACCCTAGATCTACTGACCCAGTTTCTACAGAGGACAGGAAGATGTCAAGGTGGGAAGCCCTCCACATGCCATCACATGCATGGTCTGGGAACATCTGCATGAGGGAATCTCCCTGGTCCTCTTGGGTTGTGGTGACTTACGGAAGCTCTTGGGAGGGACCTGGAGGCTCTACTGAAAGTGGAGGTTTGTAAAGTGTGGGGCCCTGTAATCTGTTTTAATCAGTCCTCCCTGGGATACAGATGCACCTCAAGTTTGAGAGGTATTGCCCTCAGGGGTGCTGTTTTCACTTGCTACAAATTGTTCTCATACCTTTGCATTAAAGAAACTCTTGTTAATCTCTCATTTTGTTTCCAGTGCATTTTAACTCTACAAAATTGTCATAAAGTCTCTACTTAGGAAACCTTATAACTTAAAGGACCACTCAGAATCCTTAAAATATTTTTGTTTGTTAAATTTCCTGAGCTGACTCATTGCTGATTGGGTATAGAAACTTTAGCTTTTTTTTTTTTTTTTTTTTTTTTTCACTTGATCTATCTTGGAACTTCCTTGCCCCAGCTAGATTTTTATCTCCTTAGGAACTATGGAAAGAAAGCATATCTAAAAATACTTCTTTAAAGTTCTCTGATACCTTCTGTTTGTTAATATGATAATGTTGTACATAAATAGCTATAAAATATACTGTTAAACTTAAAAGATCTGGGAAAGAGCTTTTGAACACCCCCAACCTTCAACACACACATGCACACCCACACGTACATACAATACCAGATACAAAGAAGGTGCTAACTCAATATTTATTAAATTTATTAAAGGGCTTCTCTTAGAATCTCAGAGGAAAGCAAATGCTGTGAAGCCAGCCTGCCTGGAAGTACCTTTATTTGAAATCTTTAACAAGATCTTAAAAGAGTAATGACAGTACTGTGTCTAATGAAAAATGAGTATTTGATTCTAACATATTCAACATAAGAATTTCATAATATATATTTGATCTGCAATATAAATGAGAGTTTCTATATCTTATTCATTCATTTATTGTTTTATTCATTCAACCATTGTTGAGTGCCCACAATGTGCCAGCCATGCATCTAGGCACGTGGCCAGCATGGTCAATAACAACATGTGCCTGCCCTCATGGGGCTTACAGTCTATAGGAAAGACAGTCAATCAAACAAGTGGTTTACAATGAAGTATGATGAATGTTGTCACAGGACACACTAGATACATTAGGAGCACATAGCAGAGTAACAGAATTATGTGGGGCAGAAAGATGACAAGGGTCACACATGGGGCTGGAGGCCTTAGACCTTGGAGATCCTATCCAAAGCAAGGCTGACAAAAAAGCTGCCCCAAACTGCACTGACCATTGGAAGGTAAGGCCTGCATGGAGGAGGTGCTGCTGTGGTCTGGCCAATGCCAACAGGCAGGTCACTTCCTTGGCCTTTGGGAAAGGATGGCAATGATGGAGAAGGTCAAGAAGATCACACCAGCCGTGCCTCCAATCACCATGCCCAGGACGCTGCCGTGCAACTGCATGGCCTGACAGCGCTCCCATTTAGAAGAAAGCATGTCCAGAGATGCACCTGAGGGAAAAGGACATGAAGAGAGTGTGGGAACTCCCAGGCCTCAGGTGCCTCCTAGCAACACTCATCTCCACAGCAATAAAAATGGCAAACGCTCACTGAGCAGGTCCACGTGGTGCCTGGTCCCATTTCAAGTGCTGTATATGGACCAACTAATTTAACCCTTCAACAACTTTTGAGGTGGAGGCTATTACTTGGCCATTCTCATCATCTTCATCTTACAGGAAGGTTAAATAATTTGCTCAAGGTCCCATTGTTAGTAAGCATTTCACACTTGAAATCTAATCCCAAGAGGTATGCCTCCAGATCCAGGCTTCTCAGCCACCTAGGATTCAGGAGGATGGTCTGAGACACTTAAAGGAATACATTGCCTGACACTGGCTAAGAATACAAGCTACAAAGGAAATTCCCCAGATACAGTCTGACTTAGAGCATCAGTGGTAGCTTGAAAACGTCTAAATAATATTAAATAAAATGTTACTGTAAGGTTAGTGTGTACTGTCACTATCTCACAAGGTTGCCCTGAAGTTCACCTGAGATAATGAGGACATTGTACCTATCAAGGTATTTGACACAGAGTAAGCACATAATGGCCAGCCCTTAGTTTTGTTTCTTAATGTTATCTGGTATAAAGACGAATTAATCTCATAACCAAGGCATATAACTTGTAGTGTCTCATCCATACCTTTGTAAAAATTCCAGCCTTTGTTTCAAACATTCCCACTAGAAGGTCTACTCAGCAGAATTCTACAAGGCAGAGTGAAACAATCAGAAGTCAGCATTTTCTGGCTGGGCATGGTGGCACACGCCTGTAATCCCAGCACTTTGGGAGGCCAGGTGGATCACCTGAGGTCAGGAGTTTGAGACCAGCCTGGCCAAAATGGCGAAACCAGACTGGCCAACATGGTCTCATCTCTATTAAAAATAACAACAACAACAAAAATAGCCAGACATGGTGGTGGGCACCTGTAATCCCAGCTACTCGGGAGGCTGAGGCAGGAGAATTGCTTGAACCCGGGAGGTCGAAGTTGCAGTGAGCTGAAATTGTGCCATTGCACTCCAGCCTGGGTGACAAGAGCAAAACTGTGTCTCAAAAAAAAAAAAAAAAAAAAAAAGAAGTCAGCATTTTCTTTTACTAATCCTGAATGATTTTACCTTCCAAGTCCTCATCTCTATCCTGAGAATTGACTTCTTAGAAATCAGTGAGTAATAGCAAGTTTATTTCATTTTTTTTCTGACCCAGTCCCCTCCAAACACAACTTCGTAATATCCCCTACTGTTATCTTAGAAAAACTTATTCTGCCAACTCTCAGCTGCAGGTTTCTAGGAGAGGAATAGTTTGGCTGAGTAGAGGCTGACATACAAGTGGCAACCCTGGCCTCCCTTAGCCTGGGAAGGATGAAGCGTGTTGGGGGCACACAATGGAATCTGGCATCTAAGGACCTGTCAGGCAAAGATATGAAGACCCATGGCTTTGGAGCCCAGAAACAGATGGGCCTTCCCCAGTAAAAGGAGCCAGAGGGCTTCTTGGAAGAGTGATTGATTCTATGGGTGGGGCAGGAAATATAAAAGATGAGCCTAGAGCATGCTATGGTGCCAGAAAGTAACATTGTGTTCATAAAATCTGATGTTGAAAGATCACAGGAGCCAACCTGGAAGAGCTCCCAAAGGCCAAAGCTGGGACAATAGAAGCAACAAAATAAATTATGAAATCATTGCAACAGAGCCCACTGAATAAAATAAATGTTTATGATTCCTTTGTGATATACATAAATAATCACATAAACAAATTAACGGGGTGAAGGGGCCATTCTTCTTTACAGAAGAATTCTAATTAATGAATGTGAAGGACATAGGAAATCAACATTAGAAGATCCCAGTGGTGAATATTGCAGCAGGTTGTATCAATAGATGCTGAAATTAGCATGTGAGGATTTGAGGAAAAGCAGGATGTCTCAATGGTCTTGAACTATCTCTCCCAAGATATGTATCAATTACCGAGGGAGAAATGGTAACTCTTCAGTGGAGAGGCCTGGTGGACATGCTGTTGGCCAGATGATGAAGGTTGACATCACCAGTAATGACATGTATCGGCATCATGTACCTGCTCACATGATGCAACAAGAAGGCACAGCACATATTTACTAATCTTGCCACAAATGTGAAACCTCAATTTAATCATGAGAGAACAAGATGAACCAAAAAAAAATCCCTAACCAGTAATCTTCAAAAGTGTCAAGGTAATGAAAGACAAGAAAGAACTGAGTAATTGTCCCAGATTGGAGGGGATTAGGAGACAGGAGACATAAAAACTAAATGTAACGTGAGATCCGGAATTGGATCCTGAAATAGAAAAAGAACATTAGTGGGAGAACTGAGAAGAGCCGAATAAGGCCTGTAATTTATTTACTAGCATTCTACCAATGTTCATTTCTTGGCTATGCTAATTGTACTACGGTTTGTGTAATATGCCAACATTACGGAAAGCAGGGTGAATGGTATAGAGAAAGCCTCTGTAGTATTTTCGCAAGGTATCTGTAAGTCTAAAATTATTTCAAAGCAAAAGCTACAAAAAGAAAAAAAAGGAGACTAAAAAGAACTCAGAAGTAATGTAAATTTTTGAGGTAGGCAGAATAGCTCCTACATCTGCTACTGTTCAAATGGAACTGTTGCTTCTGTCATCACATACCTCCTTTTGTGAAACAGTTTTTAGGGTTTTATGCAAGCAAACATTATAAAAAGAACTATTAAAGTTCTTTTTAAATATTCAAATTTAAATATAGCAAACTGTACTGCTTTTTAATATTTAAACATTAAATATAGCAAACTGTGCTGCCAGACAGACCTAGATGCAAGTCCCAGCTTCAGCATTTTCCATCTGGGTACATTTTAGATAAATTACTTAACCTTTCTAAGCCTCAACTTCTTGATACACCAAATGGGGATAAGGAGAGCCCTTATGTCACAGGTGGCAGTGAGAATGAATTTAGATCATGCGTGTAAGATGCTCAGGAGACCACATGATGCATAACAAGGGGTCAGAAATATCAGGTGTTCTTACTACTATTATTGAAAACATAACTTTAATAATAGTGCAGTGTAAATGACAGACTGTATAACTAATAATCATTAGGAGCTAATAATAACATCTGTGTAGTCAGCAAAGATTTAAGCTTGGTCTTGAGACCCACTGTCATGGAGTAGAAAGTCCCTAGGCTAGAAGCCATCTTGGATGTTGTTAGAGTTAGAAATTCCAACAACATCCAAGATGCTGTTGACAATACCCCAGAGGAGGAAAAGGGGTGAAAGTCAAGAGACAAGGAGACCTGGGACGCCTCTGTCCTGGCAGCGTAAGCCCATGAATCCAGGGCACACCTTTGTAGAGTCAAGGAAAACCGCATCCAGCTGACCATCTGAGGTAGTCTTCGCCCTACTCTGCAAACAGCAGCCTTTACCAGGCATAAGCATGCACACGGCCCAGGTCTGCTGGCCTGCCTGTCTCCCCGGCCACAGAGCCTACCTGCACCTCGCCACCCGCTTCAGGTTCACACAGATGCCATCATTTTGGCAAGGGTTTGGGTCACATGGGTCTCTGAAGTACTGTGGCCAGTTATGGTCCTCCAGGGGGCCTGTGTTCTTCACTGACGGCTTCTGTCAGCCGGGCTGCCCCTGGCTGAGGCTGACAGGTACAGCTTCCTCTAACATGGCCTTTCCTGAACCTTCTTTGGAGACCTGCTGCTCCTGGCCTTGGAGAATGAGGCCTTGGGGGCTCAGTCTTTTGCCTTTAGTGGGAACTTCAGTCTGGCTGAGGTGGGTGATATCTTCAGGAAATAGAGGGTCACGAGGAAGATCCAGGATTAGTAACTGACTACAGCGAACTCCCACTTCTGGTGAAAGTTCCCCAGCCTGCTTCTATCTCTAGTGATATGTCACCCCCAGTGACATGGAAAAGTGGCTTTGAATCCAGCTGATTCCCACGGTACTAGCTAGTTTTATTTTAAAGTAATCCAGTCACATTTTTATTTATTGAATTTGCAAAATGAAGCATAAAGTTAGCATGGATAGACTGATGGAAACTAAATTGAAATCAGTGAACTGTTACCTCTGATAAAATTTTCAAAAAGATGACACTAAAATTTCAGTTTCTTTCAGGGACAGTTAAAATAAAGATGTGAGTCCTTGACCAATTGAAGAAAATGTGGTTCTCCTACAACACATTTTTTTTAACCTCATCCCCACCCTCCATGTGTGCTTTAAAATCAGGATAAAATCAGTAGAGTGCCAAGAGCATAGGATTATTTACTCAGGAAGACCAAGAAAAGTACCTTCAAAGTCCACAAACATGATGAGGTCATCATTTTTCAGGAAACTCCTCCTTTTCAGCATTTGGTGGGAGATGAAACCACTCCAGCCAAAGTCAATGCTTCTAAAACAATTACAGTCAGCATGATAGGTTCCCACCCTGGACGGCCTGTCCCAGATGACAGTGTCATTTGTCGCTGCAAAATTGTAGGTAACATAAAATCACATTACCTCTTTAGACTTCACTTTCCAGTTTGTCTTTTATGAGGATACAGGGCTTTGTGAATCAGAAAAAAATAAATAAATAAAAATAAAAATAAAAAAAGTGTTGGAAAAAAATTAAGCTATTTACTCTTTCCAGGAGAATTGCAATTCAGAATTGAAAGATGGGAGAAGCAGAGAATCACAGCTCTGAGTGATCAGTTGTCTGCTACTGCGTGACTTTTTTAATGAAAAGAGAGGGACAGCTATGGCTTCTTTCTTCTGAGGCTTAGGTCTTCTCTTTTGAAAAAAAAAAATAGTGCCAGGTGTGGTGGTTCATGTCTGTAATCCTAGCACTTTGGAAGGCTGAGGCAAGTTGATTGCCTGAGCTCAGGAGTTCAAGACCAGCCTGGGCAACAGGGTGAAACCCCTTCTCTACTCGGGAGTCTGCAATAGGAGAATTGCTTGAACCTGGGAGGTGGAGGTTGCAGTGAGCCAAGATTGCGCCATTACATTCCAGCCTGGGTGACAGAGCGAGACTCCATCTCAAAAAAAAAAAAAAATAGTTTTCCCATTTCTTTACTGATGTAAGTTTATTTCATGAACATAGTGATATTGAGTGCTATTTTAGGAGTAAGTACATTAGCTCTGCACAGAGCCTAGCAAGTTCCGAGTATTTGATAAATGATTAGCAGTATCTGTTTCCTCAATCACAATGAGATCAATGAGGCAGGGATCACCTGATTCACTTGTATTGTAAGTACCTAGCACAGAGTTTGGCACATGGTAAGCCCTCAACAGATGTTTGATGAGTGAATTTAGGAAAGGGAAGGAGGATGTGATGGCATTGAAAATCTTAACTTGAAACTCCAACACGCCTATGTTATCGGTATTCCCAGGCGGAAAATGTGAGGAGAACGTTACTCTTTCTTGCACCACAGAATCACATCTGTGGGCCTCTCTGGTTCGAGGGGCAGTTCTTATTTATGCCAACACCACCCACCTGGAGATATGTGCAACTTGGAGGTAGTGAACACCAAACTTAAGGACATCCTGTTCCTGACATCAGGTCCTGGTCGAAGATGGTAATTATCACCTGTCTGTTTTCTACCGGCCACTCCAGGATAGCATCATTCTCCCCACTGCACATGTAAAAAGCAAGTCTCAAATAGCCAGAGCTTTCTCTGCCATGGGGGTATAAAGTTAACCCAAAACCGCATCCCTCTGAATTGTAGAATCGAGGGCTCTGAAGCTTGTCCCCTTCGCTGGTGTTCTCAAGGACCTGGGAGAAATTCTGGACTGTCCAGACCCCTGTGGGGCAGGGGGTTTCTGTCAAGAGTGATGTCATCCAGGTAAATTCCCCCAGTTGAGTTCCGAGGGTCGCCTTTTGTGCCCTGGAAAAGTTAGCGAAATTCCTGTTCCTCTTTGAGTACCACATGGGCAATTTTCCAATTATGGTCATCATCTCCTGAGGACAGAGAACAAGGCTGGTGAGAATTGTGGCCAACACTGAATGAGTACTTATTATGAGTGTGGCACAGTGCCATGTGCTTTCCATAAATGATCTCATTAAATCCCCACAGCAGCCCTATAAAATAGGTACTATTATGAACTGGTTAAGTAACTTTTCCAAAGTTACATATTTAATAAGGAAAAAATGGTTTTTTAAAATACTATGATTTATTTTAAAATTCACATTCAAATCTTAACCATGAATTTGTTTTCCACTATCACTATAAGAATCCAGGTTCTGAATTTCCTCCTGAGTTGGCTGGTTCAACTGTAACCCCTAATGTTAGCAATGAAAGCCCATTAGGCTGAATCGTATAAAATGAAACCGACTCCCTCTCCAACATCTAGACTTTTTTCTCTTCCTTATATTATCTGAAAGTTCAGCACGTAGGGCAGTGAAGTAAGCCAAAGAGAGTACTATTGTCTAGAAATTCACATTCTAATAAAGATTAGGTCTACTTGCTTTTTCTCTGAGCATGAACTGGAAGTGGGACTTTTGAATTAAGAGCTGAAGAAAGATGGTGAGAAGGCTGTCCTAGAGCATGGGATCCTGGGTTGAACAGCAGAAGAAGCCAGGCAGGAGCTTGGGGGCACTGGAGAGAGGAAACTGAAAGCAGAGCAACTCAGTTCCGCAAAGAGATGCGCCTACACTGATATTTTTGCACAGGACATTCCCTAGAGTTGGGCTTGAAGAGGAGAGGAAAAATGCTTCCAAGTGGAAGTCACATTGGCTAAACTGAGTTCCTACAGATGAGTGTCTTTTTTCCTTCTTCTGTGTCTTTTAACCAGAAATCCACTGACAGAACTATACTTTCCCTGAAACAGAAAAGACCTTTAATCTCCCTTTGTTTTCAGACCATTCTCTCTAAGGACAACTTCAAGGGACAGGTGTACCAATGTTATGTTTCCTAGGGTGGAGCTGATTATGGCCTGTGTGGTTAGGTTACATGGGAACATAGGAGAGAGGTAGAGAAGGCACACGACCACCTCTGTAACATACAAATCTAGGTAGCTGCCATCTCCTGGGGAGAGCACTGCAACCTACTGGAAGACACATGGACTTGAAGGGTAATAGGTGCCAGAAAGTCTAGGAATAGGAACAGAGATACAGCATTTGAACTATTTATCCAGCAGGTTATAGATCACGGGAATTCTGTCAAGAGAATAGGATTCCGTTCCTGCTGATGAGTACCTGCTTTGTTTTTTCTTAATATAGGATGTCCAAATGAGGTTGAGATGGGGGAATTTGGCACTGGGAAGGAGACCCAAGAGGGTCACATAAAGAACACTAAGTGATATTCAACTAACCTTTTTGAAAAGTTTCATTGACAAACCAGTATCAGAACAGACTACTTTAAAAATCCTTTCATACAGTGTTCCCAGGGACCGTACACAGGCATACTCTGAATTCAATGAAACACAAAGCACAGCAGTGTAAGAAACTAAATTAATCATGGGATGTTTGCTTGATTTTATGCTTTGAAGTAACACTGAGCTTTAGATGAAAGTGAGTGATAATAGGTCCCATCAATATTATTGAAACTCTAACTCATTTTCTCATTAAATATTTACAATCCTTGGTAACATAACACATCCTCAACTCTTAAAGAATATCTACCTGTCATCCTTTCATCATATAAACTATGATAAATTTCAACCAGAAAAGTGAACCCCTCAAAACTGTGATTTGTAGAGTTCCCAGGCAGCCCAGAGTGCCTTGGATATAGGGGATTTGGGAACCTGTTCTTACAAGTGACCTCTAAAGAAGGTTTCTCCTTCAAGAGCAGCAGATATATAAAAAATAATTCCTTTCTCTGGACTCATTTCAACTGATAAATGCCAAGGTAGGCAGTTGGATGCTAGGATAATCTGGCCATAAATCATGATTCAGGGTTATAAACAAAGTATATGCTTTATTTTGTTGTGGTGGTGGTTCCTTCATAACTAGGAAAAGGGAGACAAGCTTTCTTACTTTTCAACAAAAAGTTTCTCTATCTATACTCATTTACATGCTGACCTTCTTATATAAATACACAAAGTGACTCTTAGGAACATGTAAGTGATTATAGGAAGTTAACATATACCAATGACTTATTTGCCACCAACTTTATAAGTAGGCTTCTAGTTACTGCAGCATATTAAATAATGGTATCATTTGTTTTTCTGAAACATGCAAAACACTGGGTCAATTTTTTTTTTTTAAGATGGTGTCTTGCTCTGTCGCCAGGCTGCAGAGCAGTGATGCAATCTTGGCTCACTGCAACCACATTGCTACCACTGTAGCCGAGCTGTGGTCTCTGATGTCACCACCAACTGCAGCGAGGTAAGCCACGGAGGCGCAGGCTCTGGCTCCAGCCTCCAGCATGCAGCGGTGTCTCTTCCTTCTCCTCGTCTTCCAGCCCGGCAGGAGAAGCTCCTGCTGCTAGCCTCCCTCCTACCGCTCCGTCACCAACACCACCAACAGGGAGGCAGCGCCCCAGGCTCCAGGCTCCAGGCTCCAGGCGGTGAAAACTAATGGACCCTTCTAGTTCTCTAACCCAGGTACCTAGCAGCTGGACACACCGACACAGAAGACCCAAAAATGACGCACCACTTCCTCAGCATGCTTTATATACTGAAGTTACGGATCCTGGACTACATGTTCTGATTGGATGAGAGAAAAACCTCTAGGCCTACTCTGATTGGACTTTATTTTCATGCTGTGATTGGTTATCTTAAGACTTGCTCTTATGCAATCAGAACATGAAGTCTAGGAACCGGCATGCGCATAACCTCCGTATATAAATGATGCTGAAGAGCCGTTACGGTTTTTTTTTTTTTTTTTTTTTTTAGGGTTGGGTGTTTTACTGTTGAGCTGCTCAGTGCCCAGCTTAGAGGACCAGGAAAAGGAGTCACCGGCCGTATGCTGGAGGCTTGAGACACGGCACAGAGGCGCAGCTCGCCTCGCTATGGTTGGTGGTGGCAGTGGAGATTGCGATTGCAGCGCGGCTGGAAGGGTAGGAAGAGGAAAATAGTTTTGGGATAGATAGAGGGGTGGGTAAAGAGTTTGGTTATTGCCAAAGGGAAAAAAGGATAGCGAGGAGGAGAAGGCATTGCAAAAAGACGATGGGGAAAAGATGGTGGGGAAAAAAGGTTTTGGGTAGACGGAGGTGGAAAGACGGGTTGTGGAGCGGGAGTGAGGGAAGGTTTTGCAGAAAGACGGTGGATAGGAAGTTTATGGGTGGATGAAGGGGGAAAAGATGGTGGCAATTGGGGAGAGGAGAGAGTGGTGAGGTGGGGGAAATGGGCGAGCAGTAGGGAGAGAGGGTTTTGTGAAAAGACAGTGGGGAGAGAAGTTTTTGGGTAGATAGAGGAGCAGAAGAAGATAGCAAGTGGGAGAAGGAAAAAGAGGGTAACTAGCGGGAGGAAGACAAGGTTTTGCGAAAAAACAGTGGCAGAAAAGAAAGATGGTGGAGAAAAGATGGTAGGTAAAAAGTGTTTGGGTAGATGGAGGAGGGAAAGAGGGTGACAAGGAGGAGAAAGAGGGTGGCGAGAAGGGAGCAGGGAAAGAAGGTTGGGAAAAAGACGGGAAAATAGTTTGGGATAGATGCAGGGCAAAAAAAAGGGTGGCAAGCAGGATAGGGGAGAGAAGAGGACGAGTGGGAAGAGGGGGCAGACTTTGTGAAAATATGGGGAAATTTTGGGGGGTAGATGGGGGAAGAGGGAGGTGAGCAGGAGTGGGGAGAAGGCTTCGAGAAAAGATGGTGGGGAAATGTTTTTGGGTAGATGGAGAAGGGAAAGAGTGGCAAGGAGGAGCAGGAGGAAAGACAATGAGGAAAACAGTTTTTGGGTAGATAAAGGGGGAAAAGAGGGTGGTGAGCAGCAGGAGTGGGGAAAAGGCTTTGGGAAAAGACGGGGGGGAAATGTTTTTGCTTAGATGGAGGAGGAAAAGGGCATGATGACAGCAGGAGGGGGAAAAAAGAGGGTGGCCAGGGAGAAGGGGGAAAATACGGTGGGAAAAAACGGGAGAAAGTGTTTGGGTAGATGGTTGGGGAAAAGCGTGGTGAGCGGGAGAATAGAGAAGGCTTTGCGAAATGACGCGGGGTGGGGCGGGGAGAAAACGAAATGATGGTGGGGAGAAAACGGTGAAAACGTTTGGGGGTAGATGGAGGAAGAGAAAGGGTGGTGAGAGGGAGAGGGCGAAATGCGGTCGGGAAAAGAAGGTGGGGAAATGGTGGGGGACAAAAGTTTTGGGTGGATTTTTAAAAATAAGATTATTTGTATTTTCACTTTTGAGTAGTTTGAGTTCTTTAGATATTTTGTGTATTAACCTCTTGCCTGATGCATAGTTTGCAAAGACTTTCTTCCATTCTCGGGTTCTGTCTTCATTATACTGATTGCTTCCTCTGCTTTGGAAAAGGTTTTAAGTTTAATGTAATTACATCTTTGCTTTCGTTGCTTGTGCTTTTGATGTCTATTTGAAAATTCCTTGTCCTAACCAATTTCATGAAGCATTTATCCTATGTTTTCTTCTCTGGTAGTTTCATAGTTTCAGGTCCTGTATTTAAATCTTTATTTTGAGTAGATTTTTGTATATGGTAAGGTAATGGCCTAGATGTATCCTTGTACATGTGGGTGTTGGGTTTTCCTAGTACAGTTTATTGAAGAGATTGTCTTTCCCGAAGGTGTGTTCTTGGGGCCTTTGTTAAAAATGAATTGACCGTAAACGCGTGAATTTATTTATGATTTCTCTATTCTGTTTCACTTGTCTATGTCTGTCTGTCTCATTCGTTCATCTCTCTTGTCTCTCCCCCGCCCCTTTTATTGATAGTACCATGCTGTTTTGATAGTACCATCCTTACTATAAATTTGTAGTATATTTTGAAATCAGGTAGTGTGATGCCTCCAGCTTTTCTTTTTATTCCACATTCTTTTGTCTATCTGAGGTATTTTGAACTTCCATGTGAATTTTAAGATTCTTTTTCTATTTCAGTGAAGAATGTCTTGTAATTGAACATGGATTGCATTGATTCTGTAGATCACATTGGGTGATACACATATTTTAACATTCTTCTAGTGCATAGAGATGGGATATCTTTCCATTTACTTGTGTCTGCTTTAGTATCTTTCATCTATGTTTTATGAAGTTTTCATTTTGGGATCTCTTGCCTTTTTGGTTAAGTTTATTCCTAGATATCATTTTTTTTTTTGGTAATGAAATAGCTTTCTTGATTTCTTTCTTAGATATTTCACTATTGGTGCATGGGTGTAGTATTCATTTTTATATTTTGATACTGTATCTTGGAACTTGACTAATTTATTATTTCTAGTAGGTTTTTTGTGGAATCTTTAGGGTTCTCTCTATATATGTTCATGTCACCTGGAAACAGACAATTTGACTCCTTTTTTCCAATTTGGATGCCTTTTATTGCATTCTCCTAATTGCTCTAGCTAGGACTTCCAGTATTATGATGAACAAAAGTGGTGTAAAAGTAGCCACACTTGTTCCAGATCTTAGAGGAGAAGAGCTTTTAACTTTTCCTTATTGATTATGTTAGCTGTGGGTTTGTCATATATGGCCTTTATTGCACTGAGATATGTTCCTTCTGTACTCATGTTGTTGAGTTTTTATCATGAAGGAATGTTGACTTTTAATTTTTTCAGCGTCTACTGAAATGATTATATGGTTTTTGTTGTTGATTTGCTGAATGTGATGTTGCATATTTATTTATTTGTGTTTATTGAATCATCCTCATATTCCTGGGATGAATGAAATCCACTTGATCATGGCAGATGATCTTTTTATTGCGTTGTCAAATGCAATTTTCAAGTATTTTGCTGAGGATTTCTTACACCTCTGTTCATCAGGGATATTTGCCTGTGGTTTCCTTTTTGTGTTGTGTTCTGGTCTGGTTTTTGTACCAGGGTCATGCTGTCCTCATAGAACAAGTTTCGAAGCCTTTCTTCGTCTTCATTTTATGGGGAATATTTTGAGTAAAATACATATTAGCTCTTTTAAAAATGTTTGGTAATTCAGCAGGAAAACCATGATTCTTGTGTTTTTCTTTGCCAGGAGACTTTTTATGACTGCTTTAATTGCATTACTCATTATTGGTCTGTTCAGGTTTTTTATTTTTATTTTTTATCATTCTATCTTGGGAATTCGTTATGTGTCTAGAAATGTATTCACTTCCAGATTTTTCAATTTGTTTGTGATGTTTTTAGTAATCTCTTAATGCTTCGTATTTCTGGGTTACCAGTTGTAATGCCTTCTTTATGACTTTGTTTTCTTTTTCTTATCTAACTTCATCTAGTTAAAACTCGTCAATTTTGATTTTTTTTTAAAAACACCCCAGCTTTTGTTTCATTGACTTTTTGTATTTTTTGTTTCTATTTTTAAAATTTCTTCTCTAATCTTTATGGTATTTTTTCTGCGAATTCTAGCATTTGATTGTTCCTGTTTTTCTCATTACTGGAGGTGTACTGTCAGGCTATTTGAGATCTTCCTACTTTTCTGATGCAGGCATTTATAGCTATACACTTTTCCTCTTAGAATTGCCTTTGGTGCATCCCACAGGATTTGTTATGTTGTGTTTCTATTCTTACTTGTTTCAATAAATATTTAATTTCCCTTGTGTTTTCTTCGTTTCTTTTATTGGTTGTTCATGGGTGTGTATTTTAATTTCCATGTATTTGTACAGTTTTTAAAGTTCTATCTGTTATTGATTTTTAATACTATTCGACTGTGGTCACAAAAGATACTTGATATGAATTCAGTTTTTAAAAATGTGTTGGGTGACCGAGGCGGGATCACGAGGTCAGGAGATCGAGACCATCCTGGCTAACACGGTGAAACTCCGTCTCTACTAAAAATACAAAAAATTAGCCGGGCGTGGTGGCCGGCTCCTCCGGAGGCTGAAGCAGGAGAATGGCGTCAACCCGGGAGGCGGAGCTTGCAGTGAGCCGAGATAGTGCCACTGCACTCCAGCCTGGGAGACAGAGACTCCACCTCAAAAAAAAAAAAAAAGTGTTGTGACTTGTTTTTTGGCCTAACACAGTCTGTCCTGTAGAATAATCGATGTGCCACTCAGTAGAATGAGCATTGTGCAGTTGCAGAGTGAAAAGCTGTGTAAATGTCTGTTAGGTCCATTCTGTATAGAGTACAGTTTAACTGATGATGTTTTGTTGTCTGGATGATCTGTCCGTTCGCGATAGTGGGGTGTTGATTACGGTGGAGTGTTGAGGTACTCTATTATTGTATTGCAGTCCCTCTGTCCTTTAAAGCCTGTTAATATTTGCATCTATATTTAGGTGCTTGAGTGTTGGTTGCATATGCACTTAACGGCTGTTTACTTCTTTCTCATTATATAATTATCTTTATTTTTTCTTTTTTTGAGTTAAAGGCTATTTTATCTAAGTATAGCTACTCCTGCTTTTTTTGTTTCCGTTTGTATGGAATATCTCTTATCATCCCTTGACTTTGTCTGTGTATGTCTTTATAGGTGAACTGAGTTCCTTGTAGGCAGGACATAATTGGGTCTTTTAATCCATTCAGCCACTCTGTCTTAATTTAATTTACATTCAAGATTATTATAGATAAAAACATACTACTGCCATTTTTTACTTTCTTGATTGTTTTGCTACTTTTTCTTTTGTTCTTTCTCCCTTCCTCTTTTCTTTCTGATCTCTTTTTATTTCTTCTCTTTCCTCTTTGCCTTTCTTCCTGTCTTTATTTGTAGTGAAGTAATTTTTTCTGGTAGTGTTTTAATTCCTTGCTTTTTATGTTTAGAGTGTCTGTTGATTTTTGTTTTCTGGTTACCATGAGGCTAAACAACATAATTATAACAAGTTACTTTAAACCGAAGAAAACTTAACTTTGATTGGTCTCAGCTACTCAGGAGGCTCAGGTGGGAGGACCGCTTGAGCCTGGGAGGCCGAGGTTGCAGTGAGCTGAAATTGCGCCACTGCACTCTCTAGCCTGGGTGACAGAGTGAGACCATGTCTCACAAAATAAATAAATAAATAAAAATGCAATAGCTTTATAATGAATTCTGATTGTAAATTTGGAGATGATATATTAAGGTATAAAGAGGAAAGTGAAAATCATAATCTCATTACCCAAGGATAACTACTTCTAATGTTTTGGTACATACGCTTCCTTATTCATAATCCCCTCTCTTTTACACACACACAAATGTACACGTAAAATAGATAGACTTTACACACATAAAATTTTATTGTAACATTTTGAGAAACACGGTTTTGTAATTTTTTCTTTAAAAATATTGCAAATAAGTTCTGTGAATAACATATAATAACATACATCTTAGTTTTCAGATTTTGTTTTTTGCTCTTGGGGGTGGCAGGTTCGCTTTTGGCTAAAATGAATCGTCTCAGTATCTTTGATTTTCCTTCTCTCCTCTAAGCTGTTGCTTTTGGAAGGGGCGCCTGGATCTCCCTCCTATTTACTTGGGGGCAAACACATAGTATCATGGGGTTTTGAAGACACGTTGCCTGTGCCAGATAGCAACACTGGCTGTAGTTCTGAAAATATTAGCGTTTTTGTCCTGTGATTAATACTAAGATGTAAATGAAGTGGTTTAGATCACTGTAGCAAATGACCTAGCTATAACTGTGTGTGTGTTTTAGATCATTGTAGCCAATGATTTAGATACAACTCTGTGAGTACCTTTTAATTAAGGGCTCAAGATTTCTACACAGTATGTTCATTGTCTGCTTTATTTGTAGAAGCGTAAAAGCTGATACTTGGGTGATGTAAGAAAATGGATAGGTTTTACTATCACAAGGAAAAGGTAATATCCATACACTTTCGCCAAGGAGGCATGGGTTACTTAAATTGGCTTCTGGATATTGGAGTTTGGGTATGATAGCCTTACGTTGAATTTTTTGGTTACTGCTTGATAATATTTATTTCAGTAATTGTGTTTAGTAATTGATTGTGTGTGTTAATGAACAGTCCTGTCCTAAAAGCAAAAATGAAGTGGTTCAAGGGAGCATGAATTGTTAACATCTCCTTTAAACAAATAGGCTAGGTTAAAATTTTTTTACAGAGCTTTACAGTATTACATGTGAGTTTATTACACTATTACATGTCAATAAAAATGGCAGCAGAAGCTCTCTTAACTGACTTGCCAGATGGATTAGATCTCTCCATTCACTCAATAAAATGTCCATTTTATTGAGTTTTAATCCGTTCAGAATCCATTTAGAAATACTATCTTATTTAACCTGTATCCTGTTTCAACTAGCAACTGGATTATAAGAGTATGTGTATTAAATATTTTAGAAGACAGATTCTTTTAAATAAATAAAAATTATCACACAGGCTGTCTTAAACTTTTAAAAAAGAGATCTGATTTTAGATTTGGTTAAAATACTAGCCTACATTAGTATTCTTTCTAGGAAATAAATATTCACATAAATTGTTTTTCCAGAAATTGGCCTTGAATACAGATTTCAGATCGTTGAAAACGGAACCATTTGAAATCTGCATTTCCTTTCCTTTTCCTAATTTATTTCAGTCGCTCAATAGGATTTTCTCATGGAATTAACTTTTCCCTCTCAGCGTAGTTACATAAGCTTGCTGTTGTAATCATGAAAAATAATTACCCATTTCAGCACTTACTAACGTGGACTTTACTTGAAGGGTCTCTGGTTTTAAAGTCAGAGCACATGGCTAGAGGCAGATGAAGAGTACCTCATCATTCATAGCCACTGAGTCTCTATAATTTCTAAATGCCTTTGGAAAGCTAGATCTCATACTCAAAAGCATGCTTTTGTGTTACAAATTTTTTAGTGAACTACTTACTCAGGTCATAATGCTTTTAAAGCCCTGCTTTTCTTTCCTCAGAATAAACTGAATTACATGTTACCAATAACAATGCCACATCATTTCAAAGGAAACTGAATTAAGTAATCCAAGTCCGGGTTGCTGAAAACTAGATGACACAGGGTAGGCACTGTTTTGGTTACCGTGCAAAGGATCTCTATTAGTCAGCTTGGGCTGCCATAATAAAATACCATAGAACTGGGTGGCTTAATTTTCTCACGGTTCTGGAGGCTAGAAGCTGTAGATCAGGGTGCTGCTGCTTTGGTTCCTGATGAGGGCTTTCTTCCTGGCTTATAGGTTGGCTGGCATCTTGTCCTCACATGGCAAAGGGGAGAGTACTGTAGTCTCACCTTGTCTTAAAACGACACCAGTTCTATCAGATTAGAGTCCCACCCCATGACCTCATTTAACTGTTAGTACCTCCTCACAGGCCCTGTCTCCAAATTTAGCTATATTAGGGATTAAAGATTCAACATATACATTTTGAGAGGGCACAAACGTTCAGTCCGTAAAAGAAACTAGTTGTTTAATTAACAAGGATTGTTGAGCCCTGATATCTTGTTATACCTGCCTGTGTCCTTCCCCCATTCCCCTCCACTCTCATTTCCTCAAAAACACTCAGATAAGGATTTTTTTCAGATACTGTTATTGTTACTTATCAAACTACGTAGTAACATTATGAATTATAAATGTTATTAGCCATTGAGAAAGTAGCTGTGCACTGACTGACCCCAATTGACTGGGAGGGCTAGATGGTGCCTTCTCTGTGGTGGAAGATAGGTTGGAGAAATGTGGTTGGTAGCAAATGCTGTCTGATTTGAACAGCTTTAAAGAAGGCTGGTTCTAGTTGATTTCAGTTCTCTCCAGATGCCATTTGAATCTAAACCAATTTTCTAGTTCTTATCATTACAGAATTGTCTTCTGGAACAATTATTTCTTTTTGTTACTTGGTAGCAATATGGATGTAGCTTTCTGAATCATTAAGGCATTTTAACTCATCTTTCATTCTCTTATTTTTTAAGTCCTTTAGGTTGTTTGAGGGACATTGATCAAGGAAACCGGAGAAACTTAAAATGCTCTTCCGCTTCTTTGGAACAGTCACAGAGAAAAGTGAACTCCTTTCATTCTTGCAGTAATTTTTCTTGCTGATGGGAACAGTTCAAGTCAAGTGACATGTGAGGAACATTTTGTGTTTAACGTAAACCTTCCTATCCCAACTACATTGAAACAGTAATGATGCAACAAGGTAACTTCGGTTTTATGCTTGTGTTGTGTATAAGCATAAATGTGTGCTATAAATGTAGGGGGGCGGGGTTTACATACTCTGAAATCGGACACATATTCTATACATCAAAACATTTTCATGAATAAAAATCAGAGAAAGTATATTGACCAGGAAATAAATTTTGGATGCTCTTTATTTAAAGAAGCATTCACTAGTTTATTTGTATAAGTCAACTAACGCATTGCTTTTCTACCCATTCCTCTCTTTTGTGCCCCCCTAAGCCCTTTGTGGAGTTCTCATAAAACTGTTTTGTACTGAGTTTTATATCCATCTTCCTCTATTGAACCTTAACATTCTTGCTTCCCCAAAACCTGATAGCAGCTGAGGCAGTAATAGTAAATGTCCAACAAATACTGGTAATGACCAGCTGATAATAGATTGGTATTGCCACTCTTATCTCAGAAGCTGAATGACTGTGGTCAAGTTTCTTGACACCTCTAAGCTTCAGTTTTATCACCTATGAAATAATATAATGTTATTATCTTACAGGGTAGTTATAGATATTAAACAAGGAGATACATGCTTAATAAATGTAAGCTATTATCAATGGGTCGCCTTTCCTACAAGTGGATGTAAACCAGAACACCTTAAAAGTTTCTTTGTGCTAAGTAGGTAATGTCAACCTGGTCAAGTGAAATGGCTTTTTTTCAGTTCTGGGTTGTAGGATTGTCTTAAAACATGTCTTTGAATAATTTTAAGGTCATTTTTCTCATATCCTTCTTTTACTCTTGCATTACAGTGTACTTGGCATCTTCCCCCTTGAATGTATTGCTATTGGACATTGTTAAATTTTTAGAATGAAATCAATTATCAGGATTTTAATATTTAAGGGAAAATTATATGCTTCTCTGATACGGAATTATTTATCTCATAGCTTATTGAATTTCAGTTTTGTGCCCTGTACTGAATGAAATATTAAAATGCAGAATCATTTGGACCTATGAGACACAAAATCAAATTAGAATTTGTAATGACTTGTTAAAAAGATGACTACGTAAGGCCAGGCGTGGTGGATCACGAGGTCAGGAGTTCCAGACCAGCTTGGTCAAGATGGTGAAACCCCGTCTCTAATAAAAAATAAAAAAATTAGCCAGGTGTGGTGGCAGGAGCCTGTAATCCCAGCTACTTGGGAGGCTGAGGCACAAGAATCACTTGAACCCAGGAAGTGGAGGTTGCAGTGAGCTGAGATTGTGCCACTGCACTCTAGCCTGGGTGACAGAGCAAGATTATGTCTAAAAAAAAAAATGACTACTTTTTTTTGGCTATTCTAGGTCTAAGTAGAATTATTACTGTTGGTCTTTTTTGTTTTGTTTTTACAGTACTTTGAGTTGCCGTTTTAAGTAGAATTGTTATAACTAAGTAGTACAGAGTTTACTTTTTTGTCCTGGGAGTCAAATCATGTATGTCTTCTCTAAAAACTAACTTGGCTTTCTACATTTTAGGATTTCAGATACTTTGAGGAAAAAGCTAAAAGTTTGTTTTTTAAACTAGAAATGTATATGCCATTATAAGTATTTGGAATTTGAAGAAATAAATTATAACTAGACATTTTATTTTCTGACTTTTTTACTGTACATGTTAATTAAGTTCTTTGTAGAAATACAGTACAACATTGCTCTTGGTCTGCAGTATGTAAAGCTAACGGTTTAAAGAGGAAATCCTAAAGAGAATAAAAGAGGTTGCAGTATAATGAGTCGTTGTGTAGAAGTTCTGGAGCCTACTCAATAGACTTGAGAAGCTTATTTAAGGTACCATATTTCATCGAATCTAAGATGTCATAGATTATTTTTAAAAAGTGCTATTACATTATATACCTCTAAGAAGGAAAAAACACTCAGGACAGGGAGTTTAGTAGGAGACCTAACCCACAAGGCTGGTACACCTAGGGATAAATGAGAAATTAACTTGACCATCCAGAAAAGGGACCATAAAGAAGCATGCAAGTCTCAACCTTGACACTAAATAGAGAAAGAAAGAAACATTTCTCTGAGAATTTGAACCACAAACCCTAAGCTTTGGGTGTGCAGCCTTACCACCAGTGTGGTCCACAAAGGCCTGCCACAAAGGATTAATTCAGATGGTGTTGGGCTGATAGTGTTCCCAGATGACAGCAGAAGCAGATGCACATCTTCTCTGGGAAAATTCTCCTCTAGTCTAGACCTATGGTAAGATACCTCCATTATAAAAGATGTATTCCAGTTTCAGAAATGTAGTATGTGGAAAAACCCGCCTTTTAGAATTGATAAAATAGAATTCCATCAGGACCAACTTTTCAGGATTGTTAAACGTGTATTTTATATTTGATGAGGATCTTGAGACTGAAATGTTTTAAAAAGCCTTCTGAATTAAATTACTTTTTATATAGTTTTAGATAAAGTATCTTATAGATCAGATTTTTGAAAATTTATGACCTGTATGTAGTATATATTGTGATTTTATTATGGGAAGTATTTGATTAATCAGAGTATCCTATTCTGAGATGAAAGTTGCCTTGTTATGAAAAAGAAAGCTAACAGACATGCTCTCAAGGCATTTTTTGTTAATCTGAGAAACCATGTTCTTCTGCCTTTTCTTGCTTTGCCAGCAGTGTTTACGAATTTCTCTTAGCATCTCTTAGTATATATGAAGGACATTTGGTGTTCTTACTTCTCTGCTAAGTTACCGAATGACAAGAGAGATGTTTTCTATTATATTCATGGAATTGCATCTCTAGTGTTAGAGTTGTTTGACCACTTACTCGTGAGTTTTAAATATGTTATCCGTTTATCTTAAAGTTAGATATCTAAAGAATGTAAGACCTATGTTAACAAAAAATTTTGTTTTCTTCTGCAACTGCTCCGTATGGTTTTTGAGTGGTTCCTGCTTTTGACTGAGAACAAGGAAATGTGGAATTGTGCATAGGAATGAAATGATGGCCAGGCTTTCACTGGGTTATACACTGTCATCAGTAATAGTTCCTGACATCTCTCTCTTTCCTTAAGAGCTTTTTTCTATTCAAGAAAACAGAAATGGCATAGCCTTTTTAGTTTGCTCTTTGATTTGAGTCAGACAAATTACTTCTGGCCAGCTGATATATTTGTTTCTTTTGCTACTAGCTTTAAAAAATAAATAAATCTGACTAGAAAAGGATCTCATCCTCTTAAAATTATTGACTACATTAATACTACTCCATTTTGATCCTCCCAAATGTATTGCTTCTTGAAAAATATGTCATCTTTATTCTGTAAACTCTTAGAACCAGTAATTTCTTCTCTGGCTAAGACTGCTACTAACAAGTAGAGTGATTGCCCACTATCTAAGCCTGAAACTTAGCTTTACTAACTTCAGAGGATGTGCAAATGATTTTCTTTTTAAAGCTGTGGCATTTCACTTTACTACAAAGTACATAAATGTGTCTTTATTCACCAGTCTTTGAATGTAGGGTTAAGTCCTTTCTTTGTAAAGGAGTCTACAAATTTGAATTCAGTTTTGTCTTTACTGCATAAGCTGTACCAGTTATACATCCTTTTTTTCAATGGTTTTATTTTTAAAAGTGTATTCAGCTTCAAAACTTTACCAAAAAGTACCAGCACTCAAATCCTACTGTTGTGCTGTTATTTGTATAGTTTCGTTTAGTGAAGTCTTACTGTTTTATAGGAGTTTCTACTGTAAGGATAATATTTTCAATCAATATTCTGTTATTTTCCAATGCTAGGCTTTGTATTTCCTGGTTAGTTTTATAGTCAATGTTAGACCTATTCTTTTATCGAGTGTGTGTGCGCGCGCGTGCACGTGTGTGTGTATAATGTTTTCAAAATTGAAACTTATTTTGGGTATGTTTTTCTTTTATTGCTTCTGTAGAACCTACTGGGTTGGTGACATTTACAAGACAGAGTCTTGAGGGTTTTCCAGAACGGGAAAGGTAACAATAATAATAAAAATAATCCTAGACCCCTAGAATTAGAAGGACTCTTGCACTATGAGAGGATTCTATTTTAGAGCACCTGGAAAGATGGTTTTCCAACCTCTATCCTAGTGCCAGGGAATTTCTTCTCAGAAGTGTTCCATCGATAGCTCTCATTTTTGAAAAGGTTATGCCTTTTAAATCAAAGTCTGTAACCCTTTGATTTCTACCATTTTGTCTTGGTTTTGTCTTCTGAAAGAAAGCGGTGTTTAAAATTGAGGAGTGTTGTATGTGAAGACACTAATAAAAGGAACGCCAATATATAAACGTTTCTCCTTACCCTTTTTTTGGTTAGTGTTTGAACTTTATGGCTTTTCTTTCTGGAGGACAAGATTGAGAAAAGTCTTTTTATTATTTACATTTTAGTAAATAGTAACCGTCTAGAGTTTGAGTGGCAAGAATTTTGAAGTTTGGCTGCCCTTGTGTACTACTGGTAGATTTTCTGCAAGTTGCTATTTACTGTTTGTTTCTTATTTATCAGAAAATAATTGAGGAGATAGCAGCCAATCTGAGCTAATTCAGATTTGTAAGGTCCTTAGTGTCCTGAAATAGTTAACATATTTCTTAATCTAAAGCAAGTCCCCCAATGCACTTAAAGAAGTGTGGATTAACTTTTTAAATATGTTTGAGGACATGGTGAAGCATACTAAACACATATTTAACCAATGCTTCCCATTTTCACTTTCTAATAATTTTATGATAGTTTGTAATTGTTTTGTTTGGAATTAGTGATGAATGGAAATCACTTAAAAAAAAAAGTTGAGAAGTCATATCTGCTTAGGTGGCTTTCCTGCGGTGTTTTCATCCATCAAAGATGTTTATTTGTGAAGTGAAAGATAAAGAAATTTACTTCAGAAGACTGAGTGTATGGTTTAGGTGATTATTAATAGAGGGAAGTAGATAAAAGGTTAAGAAACCTGAAGAGAGAAAAAAAATGAGCCATAAAAAGATGAGAACATGTACAGCATTTTGGCATCATGCCATGTCAGATCTGAAAGGAACCCCAGCCGCCTACTAAAACTCTTGATAGCTCTGTAATACCTGCAACAGTTGGAAACTGGATAGCTTCAGTGACGGCAAATCCGCTGTTGCACATCAGTTTGTTCCATTGGTGGCTGCTTGTGTTATCATCTCATGCTTTCATTCACTAAAAATGTTTTCTACATTCATTCTCCACTATTCCTGGTTCTTCCTTCTAGAGCTATGTAAATAAATCTGAATTTCTAGTTTTCTTTAAGATTTGACCTTCCTTCATGTATCTTAATGGCTTCTTGACCTACTTTCCTCTCCAAAAGTGCATACAAGTTCATACTAAACTGATTCATTTCTTCTATTTCACATGTAATATGGAGTCTAAACCCTTTATCTCTGCTCTTAACAGAGTAGATTGGTTGCAGTTTCTTGGGTGCAGGAATGAAAAAATGAGTACATTTGCCTCAGCCTCCCATATAGCTGGGACTGTATAGGTGCATGCCACTACACCTGGTTAATTTTTGTATTTTTTGGTAGAGACGGTGTATCACCCTGTTGGGCCAGGTTTGTCTTGAACTCCAGACCTCACTGCCTGCCTTGGCCTCCCAAATTACTGGGATTACAGGCATAAGTCACTGCGTCTGGCTTGGGGGAGTTACTGTTGAAGTATTGTCTTTGTATCCCAAAGCAGGCCCTTCTGAAACTGATGATGTTGATGAAAAACTCCTTCTACTGAAGTCTTTGCAATGTATAATCTTTTCACTTCCATTTTCCTACATACTGTTTCTATTGGTTCCTTGTATTCCACAGACTGTGTTTTAGTATTTATAAGTATAGTGTTCCTTTTCTATGTGGAAAAGGGAAAATGTATTGGCCTTTTTTTAACATATAAATGAACTTCACAAGCAACAATTTTTCAAATCAGTTTTCCCTGTTGTGAATCTCGAAGTGGGTACATGATGCACTTTCCCATTTAAGGTAAAGTACACATTTATCCCTTATCTCAGAACAGTCAGAAGTCAGGTTCTTATTGTATGGTTAGTAATGCAAATATTGATAAGGTCATGTCAATACTTAGTATTTAGAAGAATTCTGAAATAGCACTTGTTACTCTGTAAGTTTTATGCATTTATTACTTTTTTTGAATTTTTTATAATGTTCCCAAACTTGACTGCCTTACTTCTATCTCTTCTGGCCTCAAGTACAACAAGATGTATTTTCTTTAGATTTAGCATATAATATAAATTCAATTGTTTATTTCAGATTTTGAAAGAACAAAGAGGAACTACAGAATCATTGCTTACATTGACACCGGCCCTGTTGTCCCAATGGATGGGTTTTTTTTGGATGAACGTCAAAATTGACCCTGCTGTTAAAGCTTGAAACTTGGATCTGTTGTATCTGAGTTCTCTCCTCAAAAAAAGACCTTCAGGAAGTATCAGATAACTGAAACATACCAGATCACAGCACCACATGCCTCCTGCCCCTCCCTAATTTCTGTTCTCTTATACATTGTTAAATTTTTTTCCTGCCCCTATTAGTCAAGCCCATGGATTTGAGACTGAGCTTCCAGCTCCTGGGCCGCAGCACCAGGTTAAAGCTTTCTTCCTTGGCAGTACTTGTCACCTCAGTGACTGGCTTTTTCTCCGATGAGCAGGAGGACCTGGACGAAACCCCTAGTGTTTGGGTAATAACATGAACGACCATCTTAACTGTTATTCTTTATTGAAATTTTACTTTTTAACTACTGGCCTCTTGTTCATTATCTCCCATTCTTTTGACTTCATATCTCTTTTTTCGTTGACTTTACAGTCAAGGAACTTGATGCTCCCTAAATCCAAATATTACGGTTAAAAGAAGAGAGAGGAAATGTGTGCAGAGAAAGTGTATTTTACAAATGAATTAAAGGTGGATTCTGAGATACAGGTTTATAGATTTACCTAGAGTTTTGAGTTCAGGTGAGTTTTCACAATATGCAGTAAGTGGAAAAGAATCCCAAAATAATTGTGACATGAAAAAGCTAGATGTTGAAAACCAAAAAGATTTCACTTTGGTATGGCACTTTTAATTCAAGAATACTAGCCACCAAATGAGTTTTTCTGACTGTAATCATTGCTCTTTAAAAATTGAGATGTATTTATAACTTTTGTTTGACTTTTAGTACAGCTTCTGAATTTAGTTATCAACAGATAGGACAAAATAGATGAGCATCTGCTTCCCTTCCCCCTAAACAATGTATTCTTACCGAAATGTAATATATTTTTATTTATACTTGAAGACAGTGTTTTTCAATCTTTTCCATGTTAGTAGCTCAGATCTTTAAGGACAGAGGATGTGTACTGGGGGCAGTTTGTGGTCTTAATCCTAAGTGGCACTCTGATATTTTAGATTATTTCTTTCATATTTGTGAGTAAAACTTCTGCTCCAGTAGGATGAGCCTGTTTACCTTGTGACTGCCTAACAGATCTGTTGCTTTATATGCCAGTTTTTAGAAGCAGGCAGATTACGTTACTTGGATTAAAATGTTTTTGACACTAAAGGTAGTATCTTAAATTTTTACATATGAGTTACTTTAAGTACAACTTTGCTTAAATTATGGGGATCGAGTTTCCATAACTTTCACCATAGTGAAAATGGAAAGCAGGGAACATTCCACAGCAAATCCTGAACTTATTTACAGAGTTAATTGAGCAAAGCAGGCATTCACACTTGTGTGTGTGTGTCAGTGACAGATGAGCATGGTACTTGTAGCATAATTGTGCTGCTTCAGATTCCAATATCCAGTAATTTTATCATGTAGCTAGAGTAACTAATATTAAGTCCCCAAGCCTACTTGGGTCTACTGTATTTGTATTTTAAAAGAATGTTTTTAAGCTACCAAATAGACATGTTATATATTTCTTCTGAATTAGAAAACGTTATTTGGATTAATAGAGTTAATAGAATCATATTTTATGTTTATTATGTCTTTTTTTTTTTTTCCTGAGATGGAGTTTCACTCTCGTCACCCAGGCTGGAGTGCAGCGGCGCGATCTCAGCTCACTGCAACCTCCGTCTCCTGGGTTCAAGTGATTCTCCTGCCTCAGCCTCCCGAGTAGGTGGGATTACAGGCCCCTGCCACCACACCTGGCTGATTTCTTGTATTTTAGTAGATATGAGGTTTCACCATGTTGGCCCAGGCTGGTCTCGAACTCCTGAACTCAGGTGATCCGCCCTCCTCAGCCTCCCAAACTGCTGGGTTTACAGGTGTGAGCCACTGCACCTGGCCTATTATGTCTTAAAAGTGCTTGCATCGTCACCTAGAT
Organism: Homo sapiens; assembly: GCF_000001405.40. Classification (NCBI taxonomy): domain Eukaryota; kingdom Metazoa; phylum Chordata; class Mammalia; order Primates; family Hominidae; genus Homo; species Homo sapiens. The sequence continues at coordinate 66,162,947 of NC_000009.12, read as the reverse complement.
TATTTTTTATCTTTCAATGTGAGTTTTTATTGGTTTATATGTTGTTTGTTTTCTTTTTAGGAAGCCATCATTCTTTAGAGGGCAATGACCAAACAGTACCAGCAGAAATTGAAGTACCAGCAGAAGGCTAAGAAGGTTAGGAGAAAAAGACATTTTGTATTTTACTGTTTTTTTCTTTTTTTTTTTTTAGACGAAGTCTTGCTCTGTCACCAGGCTAGAGTGCAGTGGCACGATCTCGGCTCACTGCAACCTCTGATTCCCTGGTTCAAGTGATTCTCCTGCCTCAGCCTCCTAAGTAGCTGGGATTATAGGCACAGACCACCACATCCAGCTATTTTTTGTATTTTTGGTAGAGACCAGGGTTTCACCATGTTGGCCAGGATGGTCTCAATCTTTTGACCTCCTGATCCACCCACCTCGGCCTCCCAACATGCTGGGATTACAGATGTGGGCGCTTGGCCACCTCCTCTTGGGAGAAATGCATTGATTCTGGTTGCCACGTGGATTTATTTTGGGAGTGATATTCATCTAACTTCATGGAAATAATACTAGATAGAAAGTTAGCGGATGAATTCTCTATCTGATGAGAGTTTTGGGCAAATCGAATACCAAGTTACCAAGTTTTGTTTTTTTCTCTGATGCAAAGAAACAATTTGCCAGCCAGTGAAAAACTCTCACAGCTCTGGATGTGAGTTTAGGATACTGGATTTCTACCATTCAATTTCTTACTACTTTTCTTGCACAGGGATCATGGCACAAGCTGCAGTTTCCACCCTGCCCATTGAAGATGAGGAGTCCGTGGAAGATGAGGAGTCCGTTGAAGATGAGTCTGTTGAAGATGAGTCCGCAGAGAACAGGATGGTGGTGACATTGCTCATATCAGCTCTTGAGTCCATGGTGAGACCTTCTGTTCTAACATTCTGTAATTGGGTAGTACTGGGTGGTAGATAAGGTTGATTTGTTTTTGTAGAATTTATAATTTTATGATTTATAGTTCTAATGAGTAGATCTTTTTCTTGAATAGTAATTATGGTCAAACACTTCTGACCAAATGTGCCATGTTGTCCAGCCTGGTCTCAAAATTCGGGGCTCAAGAGACCTGCCCACCTTGGCCTCCCAAAATACTGGGATTACAGGTGTAAGCCCCTGAATCTGGCCAGATATTTTTCTTTTTATGGCTGAATAATACTCTGTGTATGTATATATTACATTTTCTTTATCCATTCACCTACTGATGGGCATTAGGGTTGGTTCTACCTTTTGGCCACTGTGAATAATGCTGCTGTTAAACGGGTGTACAAATACCTGTTTGAGTCCCTGCTCTCAGTTATTTTGGGTATATACACTTAAAGGGTGTTGGTGGATCATATAATTCTGTGCTTAATATTTTTAAGGAGCTGCTAAACCATTTTCCACAGTGGGCTGTACCATTTTACATTCCAAAAGGCAATGCATACAGCTTCCAATTTCTCTATAGCATTGCTGACAGTTAATATTTTCTGTTTATGTATTGTATTTTTATAGTGTTTGAAATTAATCTGAGGGTTTTTGCTGATACCAAAATATTAGGAAAGGTTTTCCAAAAATAATACTGCTTATTATAAAGAATTTTATGTGTTACTTGATGCCCTGTGATCCATTTTCTCAGTAAGAAGAGGAACTTCTTGGCTGGGCGCAGCAGCTCATGCCTGTAATCCCAGCACTTTGGGAGGCCGAGGCAGGTGGATCACAAGGTCAGGAGTTCAAGACCAGCCTGGCCAACATAGTGAAACCCAGTCTCTACTAAACAAACAAACAAACAAAAATTAGCTGGGTGTGGTGGCGGGCACCTCTAATCCCAGCTACTCGGAAGGCTGAGGCAGAGAATTGGTTGAACCTGGGAGGCGGAGGTTGCAGTGACCGAGATTGCGCCACTGCACCCAGCCTGTGTGATAGAGTGAGACTCCATCTCAAAAAAAAAAAAAAAAAAAAATGGAAAGAAGAGGAACTTCTCTCCATTCAACCTCATTCCACTGCACCAACTCTTCTGTGTCGGGTTGTGCAGGGGAGAAAGGGAGCTTGGCACCTCTTTGCTGTGTTGAGTTGTGGTAGCCCATCACTGGGTTGTAAAGTGCATTGCCTCCTCCCCCCCCTTTTTTTTTTTGAGACAGAGTCTCACTCTGTCACCCAGGCTCAGGTGCAGTGCTGAGATCTCTGCTCACTGCAACCTCAGCCTCCTGGGTTCAAGCGATTCTCCTGCCTCAGCCTCCCAAGAAGCTGGGACTATAGGCACGTGCCACCACACCTGGCTAATTTTTTTTATTTTTAGTAGAGACGGTATCACCATGTTGGCCAGGCTGGTGTTGAACTCCTGACCTCAAGTGATCCACCCACCTTGGCCTCCGAAAGTGCTGGGGTTACAGGCATGAGACACTGCGCCCATCCACCTCCTCTTTTACTTGGGAGAAATGCGCAGATTCTGGGTGCCATGTGCATTTGTTTTGGGAGTGATACTGATCTAACTTATGGAAATAATACTAGACAGAAAGTTAGTGGATGGATTCTCTATCTGATGAGAGTTTTGGGCAAAACGAATTCCTAGTTTCTGAGTCTTATTTTTCCCCTGATTCAAGAAAACTGTGAATTATCCAGCCGGTGGAAAAGCTCTCACAGCTCTGGATGTGAGTTTAGGACACTGGATTTCTACCACTCACTTTCTTACTACTTTTCTTGTGCAAGGATCATGGCACAAGTTGCAGTTTCCACTCTGCCCATTGAAGATGAGGAGTTTGTTGAAGATGAGGAGTCCTTGGAGAGCAGGATGGTGGTGACATTCCTAATGTCAGCTCTCGAGTCCACGGTCAGACCTTCTGTTCTCACATTCTGTAGTTTGGTAGGACTGGGCAGTAGATAAGGTTGACTTATTTTTGTAGAACTTACAATTTTATGATTTTCAGTTGTAATGAGTAGACCTTTTTCGTGAATAGTAGTTATGGTTAAACACCTCTAACCAAATGTGCATGTGGAGTTTCTACACTGATTTTCAGACAATCTGGATCCCAACTGGGTATCCCACAATTCCATCCTGACACTCCCTGGAGTTAGTGCAGACCCCGCAGGATGGGGGCTCAGTCCCAGGAGTGTACCCTCACTCCACATGCCAATTGCAAGTCTTGGGTTGTTACATGTAGTTTTGACCGACCAGTTAGAAAACAGGGTTTCATGACCCCGTTGCTGGGTGGAATCATTTGCTCGGACAGCTTGCAGAACTCAGAAAAACAGATTGTTTTTTTTTTTTTTTCTGAGATACAGGGTCTCAGTCTGTTGCCAGACTGGAATGCAGTGGTGTGATCAAAGCTCACTGTAGCATGGGACTCCTGGGCTCAAGTGATCCTCCCACCTCAGCCTCCCAAATAGCTGAGACTACAGGCCCGCACCAGCATATCTGGCTAAGTTTTTTTATTTTTTGTAGAGAAGGGGTCTTGTTATGTTGCCCAGGCTGGTCTCAAATTTCTGGGCTCACATGATCCTCCCACCTCAACTTCACAAAATGCTGGGATTATGGGTGTGAGCCACTGCATCTCACCAATTTACTTTCTTTTACTGGTTCATTTTAAAGGCTATATCTCAGAAACAGCCGGTGAAAGAGATGTACATGCTGGGCACAGTGGCTCATGCCTGTAATTTCAGCTCTTTGGGAGACTGAGGCGGGAGCATCGCTTAAGTGCTCAGGAGATTAAGACCAGCCTGGGTAACACGGTGAAAACGCATCTCTACAAAAAGGTTTTTCTAAAAATTAGCCAGGTGCAGTGATCTATAGTTCTGGCTACTCAGTGCCTATAATTCTAGTTACTCAGGAGGCTGAGGTGAGAGGATGAGAGATGGGGCTTGAGCTAGGGAGGCATAGGTCGCAGTGAGCCACGATTGTGCCACGGCACTCTAGGCTGGGGGACAGAGCCAGACCCTGTTTCAAAAAAAAAAAAACCACAGGGCAAGGTGTGTCGGGAGGTCGGGAGGGGTGCAGAACTTCCATGCTCTCTATTGCGCGTGTTACCTTCCTGTTATCTCCCTTGTGTTCAGCAACCCCGGCATTCTCCAAATCTGGTTGTTGAGGTCATTTATGAAGGCTTCTTTAGGCAGGCATGATAGATGAAATCATTGACTATTGGTGATTAAGTCAGTCTTCGGCCACTATTTCTTCCTGGAGCCCAGTGGGTGAGGCTGACAGTTCCAAGCCTCTAATCACATGGTTTGTTCTTCTGGCAACCAGCCCTTTTTCTTAAGCTGTCTAGGAGCTTTCAGTCACCCAGTCATCTCAGTAACATCACCAAATGCATTCTTACTATGGTGATCCCAAAGGTCTTAGAGGCTCTTGTGTTAGAAACCTGGGACTAAGACCAAATATTCAAACAAAAGATGGTCCTATCACCTTTATCACCAAGGCCTTTATAAGAACTTGAGAAGCTCTGTGCCAGGACGAGGGGCAGAAACCAAATGTGTATTTTTTTTCTTTTTCTTTTGAACACAGAGTCTCTGTTTCACCCAATCTGGAGTGCAATGATGCAGTCGTAGCTAACTGCAGCCTCAACCACCTGGGCTCAAGCAATTCTCCCGCCTCAGCCTTCCAAGCATCTGGGACTACAGGTGCACACCATCCATGCCCAGCTGATTTTTGTATTTTTTTGTAGAGATGGGATCTTGTTATATTGCCGAGGCTGGTCTTGAACTCTGGGGCTAAAGCAATCCTTTCACGACAGCCTCTCAAGTAGCTGAAACTACAGATGCATACCACCATGCCCAGCTAATTTTCTCTTATTTCTTTTTGTTGTTTAATTGAGGGGGGGGGTCTCACTGTGTTTCCCAGGCTGGTCCCGAACTTCTGGCCTCAAGCATTTCTCCTGCTTTGACCTCCTAAACTGTTGGGATTATGGTTGTGAGCCCCGGCCTCTGTGTCCAGCAATCACAAGAGGTCTTTATAAGTGAAAGAGGGGGTAAGAGAGTCAGAATTGAAGGAGATTTGATGATGGAAGCACAGGTCACAGAGGGAGATTTGAATATGCTTTGCTTCTGGCTTTGAAGATGCATTTAGGGTCCATGAGGCAAAGAATAGGGGTGGCTTTTGGAACTGGGAAAGGCAAGGGAACATCTTCTCTCTGGAACCTCCAGAAGGGATGCAGTCCTGCTGACACCTTGACTTTAGCCTTAATAGACCTATTTTGGACTTCTGGCCCCCAGACCTGTTAGGTAGTAGATTTGTGGTGTATTAAGCCACTCAACGTAGGGTAGTTTGTAACAGCAGCAAGAAGAAATGAACATGAAGCCAGGGGTAGTGGCCCACACCTATAATTCCAGCTATTTAGGAGGCTGAGGCAGGATGGTTGCTCTGGCCCAGGAGTTCAAGATAAGCCTGGGCAACAAAGTGATACCCTGTCTACATGGGAAAAAAAAATTAGCGGGTGTAGTGGCATGCACTTGTAGTCTTAGCTACTAGAGGCGCTGAGGCAGGACGATTTCTTGACCTAGGAGTTCCAGGTCTCAGTGTGTTGTGATCGTGCCATGGTGCCCCAGCCTGAGTGACACAGCGAGATTATATCTTAAAAAAAAAGTAAAAAGAAATGAGTGAGCATGGCAGGAATGGGGACACATAGCAATATTAAATAGAGTGGTCAGGGTTGGCCTCCTAAGTGAAAATTGAGCAAAGACTTGAAGGAGGGGAAGGAGCTGGCCAAGGTACTGAGGGAAGAGCATTATAGGCAGAAACAACAGAATAAAGATGCTAAGAGGGAACTCCGTGGTGTGTCTGAAGCTCAGGAAAGAGGATTGTCGAGCAGAGAGGGGGAGAGAAGGTAGGGGAGGAGGCCAGGGAGTTGTGGGACTCAGATCAGTACAGATTGTGCAAGCCCTGGGAGGCTATTGCTGGGGCTTTGGCTTTTATGCTGTCTGAGATGGGAGATGCAGAAGGGTTCTGAGCAGAGAGGTGACACGAACTGTCTATTGATTTAAAAGCATCCCATGGTGGCTGAGTTGAGAAAGATTGTGGGAAGATTTGGGTAGAAGCACGGAGGCCAAGCTGTGGCAACATCCAGGTAGGAGATGATAGTGGTTCTGACCAGGGTCCTGGCAATGGTGAGAGATGGTTGATTCTTGTTGAGATACTAAGTAATTAAAAAAAAAAAAACACTACTGCTTTTCCTGATTATATGAAGTATGGGATGCTAGATTAAAGACATCTTAAGTCGGGCCAGGTGCAGTGGCTTATGCCTGTGGCGTCAGCACTTTGGGAGCACTTTGGGAGGCACAGATGGCACAGATGGGAGAATTGTTCAAGTCCAGGAGTCTGAGACCACCCTGGGCAACATAGCAAGACCTCCTGTCTATGCAAATAAAACTTAATAAAATATAATTATCATGGGATAGTGGTATTTTCCTGTAGAACCAGTTACTCTGGTTGTCGAGATGGGCAGATCTCTTGAGGGTGGGAGTTTGAGGCCAGCTTGGGCAACATAGCAAGGCTTCTCTTTCTACAAAAAAAAAAAATTATCTGGGTGTTGTGGTCCCAATGAGGGACAGCATTCCTGAGACTTTTTAAGTACTTTGTGTGATGGTCTAATAATCATAGCCTTAAAACTTTCTGGCTGGGCATGGTGGCTCACACCTGTAATTCCAGCACTTCGAGAGGCCGAGGCGGGTAGATCATCTGAGGTGAGGAGTTCGAGACCAGCCTGGCCAATATGTGAAACCCTGTCTCTACTAAAAATACAAAAATTAGCCAGGCATGGTTGCAGCACCTGTAATCCCAGCTACTCGGGAGGCCAAGACAGGAGAATTGCTTGAATCCGGGAGGCAGAGGTTGCAGTGAGCTGAGATGGGCCACTGCACTCCAGCTTGGGCAGCAGAGTGAGACTTGGTCTCAAAGAAAAGTTATTGTGATATGCTGTACACATTCACAAATTCAGTGTCTCCCAGAAGTGTGAGATTCTTTTTTTTTTTTTTTTTTTTTTTTGAGACAGAATTTCACTCTTGTTGCCCAGGCTGGAGTGCAATGGTGTGATCTTGGCTAACTGCAACCTCCACTTCATGGGTTCAAGCAATTCTCCTGCATCAGCCCAAGTAGCTCCTGCCTCCCAAGTAGCTGGGATTACAGGCATGTGCCACCATGCTCAGCTAATTTTTTATTTTTAGTAGAGTTGGGGTTTCTCCACGTTGGTCAGGCTGGTCTCGAACTCCCGACCTCAGGTGATCCACCCGCTTCGGCCTCTTGAAGTGCTGGGATTACAGGTGTGAGCCACCATGCCCAGCCAGAAAGTTTTAAGGCTATGATTATTAGACCATCACACACACACAAAGTACTTAAAAAGTCTCAGGAATGCTGTCCCTCATTGGCCTGGTATGACAAAGATAAGAAGTCGGTCGTGAAAATTTCTGAATGTGGTTTAGGACAAGGAACCCCAGTAAGATTCAGAGACAACCTAGAAAATTGAAAGAAAATTTTACTACTGAAATCATCCTTCTATAAAAAATAATAGAAGATGTCAAATATGAAAATAAAACTGTCCTCTGGGCCCTCAATTTTCTGTGTTATGGGAGAAGGCAGACAGCTACTCAGCAGTTATATCCCATAAGAATGGATAATACTAAAACAACTGACAGCATCAAGTATTGGTTGGAAAGTGGAACTGATTCTCTCATTTTCATTGTAGTTTAAGATGGCATAACCACTTAGGAAAATGTCTCCCCATTTCATACAATGCCAAATATATACTTATTTTATAACCCAGAAAATCCACTCTTATGTACTTAAACTCAAGAAAAGTGAAAATATTATTACAGAAAAAAATATGTATATCTGATTTGTTCGTAGCAGGTTTATTCATGATAGCCTCAAATCAGAAACTGCTTTTGTGTCTATCAATAGTGGAATGGATTAAAAACAAAACAAGCAAAGGCCTCAAACCTGTGGTATAGTCATAAAATTGAATATTACAAAATAATGAATAATCAATAGGAGCAAAATGATGTGTCACAAGCATGTTTAGTGAGTGAACATAAAAATTATATAATTTATAGTTTCACTTACATAAATGGTGAAAACAGACAAAACTAACCTTTTGTGGAAAGAATCAAAACCGTGGAAGCCTCTGTGTTCAAATACTGACTGGAAATGAGCAGGAGAAAACATGTTTCTGCCAGATCTTCTATATGCCTGATGTGCATTCACTCGATGTATTTTGCGTATACTATTTTTGCAAATAAAACTGAGATAAAGGCAAAATAACTCAAGAGAAAATAGGTAGAAATAGGTAGAGTTGGGATAGAAGCCTTGGAAGCTACCCCTGTACCTTGCCCACCTGGCACAGGCCGAGGAAGTCCTGGGACAATGCTGTGAGCGACCTGAGGGCCGTCCAGGGGAGCCCCGCCAGCCCATGCTGGCGCCCGAGCTGCCCGCCGCCATCTGAATATGTTGCAAAGACAGTGCTGGCTTGGCAACCGGTGACGCTCCACGCCCCACCCCGACCCCCACTTCTACCCAAGTAGTGGCAACGCTAGAGACAGATGCCTGGGCGGCAGCGGTTAAGTCTGGCAGTTGGCCAGGCGGCCAAAGGACGGGAACTGGCTGTTCACCCCATCCCAGTTCCACAGAGAACTCAACCACTATGGCCCCTGAGCGGACCTTCAGGCCTGGTGGGCTGTGCTCTGTGCCCGCAAACCTGACGCCATCCAGGGGAGCTCCGCCTTCCCGCGCCAGCGCCTCAGCTGCTGCAGAAAACTGCAAAACTGCAAGTTGCACACGGGCAGAGATGACGGAGCAACCCCCAACCCTCCGCGCCACTCACCCTACCTGCACACCTGCCGCGCGGACCCTGGGGCGGGTGCCTGGGCGCCCAAGTCAGGCAGTCCGCACAGCAGTGGCACCAGGGTGAAAACCTGCTGCTCGGTACCATCCCGGTTACCACGAAGAGCCAGTCCCGGCGGCCCCTGCGTTCTTGGAGGAGGCCAAGTCAGAGCAACCTCTCAAGTGGGAGGGCGATGCACTTGACCCTGAGGACATCAGGTACCAGGCCCGCCAGCTCACGCCGGCATCGGAGCCGCAGCTGCAGTCTAGACGTGGTGCACCGGCAGCAAGTGACTGGACACTCCAGACCAGGCCCGCCCCGCAGTAGCGTGGATCCTGAGGCCAGACCCCCAGGCGGCAAAATCAGGCAACCGGCCCCGCCAGCAGCCGCTGTTTCATCCGTGTGGACACAGAGTGCCCAGCGCCAGGGCCCAGGATCCAGAAAGATGTCCAAGAGGAGCGGACCTTGAGGCCAGGTGGGCTGTGCGCTCTGCGGCCCTGAGGCCATCCAAAGGAAGCTCCGCCAACCTGCGCCAGTGCCAGATCTGCAGCTGCAAACCGCGCGTGTGGCACTGGCAGCAGTGAGGGCGGGTGGGGGAAGGAGCAGCCCCTGACTCTGCCTCCATCCCTCTCCAGCTACCTGACACTAGCCACACAGATTTCAGGGCCAGAGCCTCAGCGTTCAGCCAATCCGCGAAGCCACTCAGGTGGCCGCGGAGTGCCCTTGCCAGCACCGTATCTCCCTTCCGAGGAGGAGCGGGGCGGGCTGCAAGGCCAGACAGGCCCTCCTTCTCAGGCCGGGCTGGCTGCGCGCCTGCGATCCTGGGGCCGCCCGGGCGATCCCAGGAGAACCGGCGAGCCCATCGGCGCACGCCCGGAGCTGCAGCCCCACCTGCTGGCGCGCGCCTCTAGGGAGCGTCTTCCGGGAGCCCGGCAGCAACCGCGGTGCAGGCGCGCGCCGCCAGGGAGCGTCTTCTGGGAGCCCGGCAGCAACTGCCGTGCAGGCGCGCGCCCAACGGCTTTGCGAGGCTCACTCGGTCTGAGAGGTCGGAGGCTGCGAGTGTCGCTGCTGAAGGCTGTGGTGGACCGGGCTGGATCGCGGATTGTGGAGTAGATTATAGATTTGAAATAGCGGAGTTGGGGTTGGATCGGGGCTTTGGGGTTGGATAGGGGATTTGGGGCTGGGTCGGCCGGGGTCGGGGAGGGGGGTGGTGAAAAGGTGACAGGGAGCTGCCCTCGCTCAAGAGCCGGTGGTTGGGGGTCTGAGAAGAAGTCACCAATATGAAGTTATTCGGCTTCGGGAGCCGCAGGGGCCAGACGGCCCAGGGCTCCATAGACCACGTCTACACGGGTTCCGGATACCGAATCCGGGACTCCGAACTGCAGAAGATCCACAGGGCAGCTGTCAAAGGCGACGCCGCGGAGGTGGAGCGCTGCCTGGCGCGCAGGAGCGGAGACCTGGACGCCCTGGACAAGCAGCACAGGTAGCGGGGGCTCAGCCGGGGGTGGGAGGGGGCCCCCAGGCCCGGCTTCCCCGCAGACCCTGGGACGGGGCCGTGCAGGGCGCCGGGCACCCTCGGAGCGGCGGAGCCAAACGGACTCTCATCTGTTTTCCATCCCTCATAATTCCCTGGCTGGAGCAGTTGGAGAATTTGAGTGATTTAACTCACAAAGTTAAGCATATACAGCGTTGTTATTTTTAACGTACACGTTTAAAACATGGTTTATATACATTATAGGAGGTGCCTAATGAGAGTACTTGTTCCCCTATCAAAAATAACCGTGAGTTGTTTCAGTGGGCGAAAAGTTCTCAGATAAGAGAGCTTACTTGAAAAATATTTACTATATTATATATATATATTTTTTCAGATGAAAAGTATGTTTTCATTTTATAGGGAATTCATTATATTCTTTTTTTTTTTTTTTGAGTCGGAGTCTCGCTTCTTTGCCCAGGCTGGTGTCCAATGGCACAATCTTGGCTCACTGCAACCTCTGCCTGCCGGGTTCAAGCAATTTTCCTACCTCAGCCTCCCAAGTAGCTGGGATTGCAGGCAGGTGCCAGCATGCCTGGCTAATTTTTGTATATTTAGTTTCACCACGTTGGCCAGGCTGGTCTCGAACTCCTGACCTCAAGTCATCTGCCCGCCTCCGCCTCCCAAAGCGCTAGGATTACAGGTGTGAGCCACCGCGCCTGGCCTATGTTGTTTATTATATATCATAAGATATATATATATTACTGATATGTATACATATATAACACATATAATATGTTATATATATCAGTTATATATACACATTAGATGAAAAGTACCTCTTCATTTTACAGGAAATTCTTTCAAATCAAATCATCAAACACTCTAAAAGTGGGCAAAGTACCTTTTTCCAGATCTACAAGTTACTTATATACATAGGAAAAAATCCTTCGCATTTCTGGTATAAGAATTTAAACTAAAAGAGGAATGAAACAGTTTTCTATCCACAATATTTGTGAGGATGTTTTATACTGCTGCTTGAAGTTGCTGATTACTTTTCAAAGTACTCATTTGAAAATGGTAAGTACTACATTTAAAAAATGTGTATGCCCTTTACCCACCAATTCCATTATACTAAAATACCCTTAGGAAATAAAGATACATGCACTTTATTTTTCACAGTACTTACTTTAAAGAGAACCCATAGAATGGATCCTATAAATAAATTTCAGTTGCATCCATAGGATGGAATAATATGTGACCACTGAAGGTGGCAGTAGATACAGAAGTACGTTGATGTGCAAAGATGTATTTTGTTATAGCTAGCAAGGAGAAAAAATTAGTTAAATTATACATACACAAACATACTATGGTCTTGTTTTAGCAAAAATATGTACAAAATATAAAATTTGTAATTTCTGAGCATTTGTATTTTAAGTAAAGTTTTTTTCCTTTTTCTTATCTGTGATTGCTGCAGTGAGTACAAAACTTCTAGTAAAAGTTTATTATTAATGGACTAATCCTTGGGAAGAGAGGAATATGAATCTTGCGCTGATGAAAATAATTTCTCACTTTCTATTTTTTATCATTATTGTGTGTGTTGTTATCTTCTTTGAGCTTTTAGCCTCTTCAGAAGTAAAAAAGGAATGTTTTTATCTGTTTCCAGATTTTATTATCTATATATTTTATTATGTACATATGTTTTGCTTATATACTCATTCCATTTATGCAAACATAATCATTTCATTTTAATTGTGTTCTTTAAAAATAAAACAACACATATAAATAATTACTATTGCAAAAATATTGCTTTATAGGAGTTTATTTAAAAATAATGAACTCCCCAACTGTATTTATCCATTCTTTCATTCCATTTATGGATCAAGCATAACCTGAGTACCTGCTATGTAGCAGACATATTCTATCATCTCTCAGGACCCGTCCATCCTTAAACACTTCATGTTTACCTGCCCCGCCTGCACAAGCTGAGAGATTTAAAATAGGAATATTGGGACTTAATCTCCTTGAAACTTTATCTCCCACCTTTCAAACAAAAGCATTTCTGAAGTTAGAAAATAGTAGAAGATAACCTTTAACTGCTCTTTCGAAAGTTTATCAGTCTTAAATACTAATATTAATCATTGGAAAGTCGTATTTGCATATATTTTCTAAGTATAAATATTGAATACAATGAGCCATATGTATTCATTTGAATCATGAGTTTCCTTTGGTTTCAAGTTGTTTGAAAATCAAAGAATTAATTTGTTTAAAAAATGCATTATTGTTATTTCAGTGCTCTTTCCCCATAGTACCTTTAAGAACTAAAATGTATTTAAGTTTCAGTTACATGCCTAGAACTGCCCTAGACCTGCTGAGTATACCATATTCTACTTAATGTAAGGTCTCATGGATTGCGTGATGCCCCGATATTTTATATATCAATAAGATAATTTTTAAAATGCTACCAATTATAGTTATAACAAATCATGAATTATAAGTGGCATTCCAATGTCAGAGGTGTTAAAATGTGACCTACTCGTTAAGTCATCTTGCAAAGTAGGTATAATTGTATCATTCTACCTAATTAAAATGGTTTTGTTAAGTAGTAGTAATAGTAATAATTATAATATCTGGCTGGGTGCAGTGGCTCACACCTGTAATCCCAGAACTTTGGGAGGCTGGGGTGAGAGGATTGCTTGATGCCAGGAGTTTGAGACCAGCCTGGGCAACAAAGTGAGATTCTTACTCTACAAAAATTTTTAAATAAATAGCTGGGCATGCTGGTGCTCATCTGTAGTCCCAGCTACTCAGGAGGCTGGGGATGGAGGATCATTTGACCCAGGAGTTCCAGGTATAGTTACACCATTGCACTCCAGCCTGGGCAAAAGAGTGAGACTTTGTCTCAAAAAACAAAAATCTTACAATTATTGAGTTGTCGTAGGAACTGTTCTACATACTTTACATAGCTTCTCATTTAAGCATCACGATGGTGTCCTATGAGATAGCTACTATTGTCATCTTTATTAATGAGGAAGTTGAGGTACAGAAAGGCTAAGCAATAGTTGGTAAGTGTCAAGGCTTAAAGTAGGACTCAAGCCCTAGTTGAACCGAATCCAAAGACTGAGCTCTTTCTACTCAAATAGGCTGCTGTTTTCATTAAGGCAGTGAGCAATAAGAGCTAGTAAGTATTGTACTTTCTTCAAAAAATTTATTTGTTTTGAAGGCAGAGGAAAAACATGCTATTCAGTTTTTACATTACATGAATGATTGTATGTTTTGAGATATTGTACTACAGTTTCTTAAAAAATCCTCTTACTCTCATAGAACTGCTCTACACTTGGCCTGTGCCAGTGGCCATGTGCAAGTGGTCACTCTCCTGGTTAACAGAAAATGCCAGATTGATGTCTGTGACAAAGAAAACAGAACGCCTTTGATACAGGTATATTAGAGCCAACTCTTTTAGCATGACATGGATTTGATTTACATATATAGAATTAAAATAAATTGATCTCATTTACATATAACTAGTTGGTGAAACCTGTGGAATGTGTATTTTGAATTCTTGGAATTTACAATCTGTTTCTTGGTCTAACACGGACAGGCTGTCCATTGCCAGGAAGAGGCTTGTGCCGTTATTCTGCTGGAACATGGCGCCAATCCAAACCTTAAGGATATCTACGGCAACACTGCTCTCCATTATGCCGTGTATAGTGAGAGCACCTCACTGGCAGAAAAACTGCTTTCCCATGGTGCACATATTGAAGCACTGGACAAGGTATAGGTCAATCAACTTTCTTTCCAAAATATTTGTTTTAACATTGACATAGGTAAGGGTCAATTTTTTATATTTGGAAGCTCAACCATTCCCTGAATGCAAATACAAATTAAGTTATTTTGAAATAACTTAATTGTCTAAGATTTTATTTTAAATATTGATATTTTTAAAGAAGCATTAAAGGGCACAGCTTTATAAAATGCACTTTGGAAAATATTTGTGAATTTGTTAAAGGTAAAACCTTTTCAACTTTTTTTCTACACAGGCTTATTCTTTTTTTTTTTTTTTTCTTAATTAGTGTAAAACAACACAGGAAAGAAAATATTCCCCGGAATTAGGCTTTATCTTAAAACTCAAACAAAACTAAAGCAACTTACAATAAAGGGACATGTTGCTGTTGCTGCTAATTTTCTGAAAAACTGATGTATCATCTTTCAGTGGCAAGGCTTAAGAGGGAAAAATGGGAGGGGAGAAAGAGAGCAATCAGAAATATGCAGGTCACTTGGATATTAGATAATGAGGGAAAATGCCAGGAAGAGGTTTTTTTTTGTTTTTAAGTTTGTTTTATGTGTTGAGACAAGGTGCTGTTTAGCTTTGGGTCTAATAATTTTTGGTTTGAAAAAGAATGAATTGCAACTTGCCTAGAGATGAATTTTAGGAGGACTCTGAGGAAACCAGATTGGCAGTGAATATGTGGTGACGAAGTGAGAAACACTTCAGCAGAAGGTGGAACAAATTATTAACTGACTTATTGCTCATCCTGGCAGAAACAGCCACTTAGATAAGAACCTAAAGCCTCCTCTCAAATCTAGAATGTCTTAGTGGGAAGGTGGGAGATAAGGAGCTTGTAAATAGCAAAATCAAGTGGGATTTTGAGTTTACTTGTCCCTGTTCTACCCGTAGCCAGGAAACTTAACTGGAGTTTTAATAAATGACACTATCTCTTACTCTTTTCTCTTTTTGGCCACATCTCCAACTGATAAAGGAATTAGCCATGTGGGTGAGAGGTGAGACTGAAGTGATTGTCTGCTGCACTGATTCTCAGAATTGTGCATTACAGTGACCTGAGGACATTTTGTTAAAAATCTACAATTGTAGGCTTTCCCCTGAAGATTTTGATGTAATAGACCTATTAAGGCCTGAACGTGTTTAAAAATGTTTTCTTGAAGCTGGGCACAGTGGTGTATTCCTGTAGTCCCAGCTTGAGCCTAAGAGTTTGAATCCAGCTTGAGCAACATAGTGAGACTCTTGTCTCTAACAACAATAATAGCCAAAAAAAAACCCCACAAAAAAACAAAAAACCTTCAAGGTTGGGATACACTCTTGATTAAAAACCCCAGAATAGATAAGTGCAATATATAAATTTCTGTATCTCAAAAATGTAAGAAATCTCTAGAAGAGTTGGCATTTGATAGTTGCCACTTCCTTCAAAGTTCTCCTTTTCAATTATATTAGCCTGACTTATCTGTCTTTCTCTACATCTGTGACTGGGAAGTGAAAGGTAATATCATTGGCAATATCTCTCAGCTTACAGAATAACATGTTTTGCTTCCCACCATGAATCATTCACTACCATTCAGAGAGTCTTCAGAAATTTGCTTATGAGTAATCTTTCAATAGGTAGAGGCTGACCCTTTCATGATTTCATGTCCCTTTGTCACCACGCAGGTGATTATGTGTCAACAAATGTTCATTACAAGTTTGGCTTTCTCAATTAGAATAGTAGCAAATCCTAAACTATTTTTTTTAGTTGAAGTTTTGTTATGAACTATCTCAGTATGTTTGTTAAGTTTATAGAACTTTAGCATACCCAAAATGTCAGTTTTAAACACTGAAATCCATGAAGTTAATAAGAATATAGATAGGAATTCTTTTAATAATTTAGTTTTAGCAGTCTTGTGAACCAATTATCTATTTGGTTAACAATCTGGGAAAATTATATACAAACATATTTTAAATGAATACATGTTGGAAAAATTCTTGAAGCAGGTATTGTGAGTCTTTTTAGCAATTTTTATTATATATGAGAGCCTGATTTTTTGGTAGAACATATGATACCAGAGAAAGAAAATATTTTACATGAAAATACTTGGATTATACACAACCATTTAGTAACACATTAATAGCGAATATAAAAAAAACAAGGGCTGTATTCTAATGTGGTACACAGATTTGTTTGTTTGCCTCTATAAGTTGAATCAACATGTAAAATTTAGAAGACTCGTGAAGAAATGTGGACTTCAGGCATATCCTAAAAAATCAAATCTGGTGTCCCCTGAGTTTCTATCATTCTTTGGTCTGCTGTGCAGAAGTTGCCCCTTTATAGAAGGCAGGTATTCTCCAGTTTGCTACTGTGCCCACCTTAGTACTTCCCTTACTCAGGCAACCTTCCTTTGTCCTTGTAAGTATCTGAGTTTACAACTCCTATGTTATAGTATATTTTGATAAAAATTTCAAGGTTTTTAAGTCAGCATGTATTTGTTTATAATATATAGTCTATAGAGTATATAAATCCCTCAGTTATGGAGTTGAATTTTAGAGTTTAGAAGTTTTTAACTCTTTTCTTTATATATACCACAAATAATTCTCTGCCCATAAGAATGCCTAGAAGCCTTTTTAGGTTATTCCTGGTTATAGTTGGATAATTTATGAATATTGCAGACAGTACATCCTTCTCCTCAGTGCTCTTCCTTAAGGATGCAAGTGACTTATTGGCTTGTATTATGCCAGAAATAATCCATGTGGATCAGTATGAGAACTTCTATTGATAAGCCATTATGTTTTTATTTCTGATTTATATTTTGTCTAAAATAAAAAATAATTTTAAGTAGCCATTTAAGTGGAAGCCAGTAAAAATGGATTTAAAAAGTAGAGCTGCACTAGGGTCCCGGGATTACCATTATAATTGAGAATAGTATTTCTTACTGAGTTTTGGTTTTTAAAATATTTGTTCTTAAGTTTTTTAAACCTATCTCTCTTACACAGAATATACTGAGCTTTCTAACAGTAAAGATAAAAATCTCTTCTCTTGTATTAGGGGAAAAACCCATGGACTATTTAATAATAAGGAAAATAAATGCATTTGAAGCCAATCTCTCTTAATTCAAAGCTCATTTCCATGGTGACCCATTTGGAGCAGGAGTGCCTGACATTGGCATCTGGGATCCTGACACCATTGATAAAAGTGAATCAAGCAAGTTTGTACCACCCAGAGGGAACTGCCACCTGTATTGGGAAGCTCTGGCAACTGTATCTCTGAAACTCTTAATTCCTCAAATGTTAATGTTTGCCACAAATAGTATTGTGAAAGGGGATTAGGTGAAATTAAAGAGATTTCTTGATTATTGGACATAAAATACAGTTTTGTAATACTTCTCAAATACAGATGGTCATGGAGTCTTTCTCTTGCGGTATAATACTTCTGATAAAGCAAATATTCTTTGGAATATAGTTTAAGAGACACTGCTTTAGAGATAGTAATTTAGATCATTAATTAATGTAAAAAACTTAAAATATTTGCTACTGTGTCTTAGGGTTTTAGGCCCTTGCCTCAAGAAGCTCTTGGTTTCAGTGGGAAACAATGAAATGACTACAATGTACCATGATAAGTGCTGTGATCAAAGCAAGGATTCTTGGGACTAGTAAATGTTTAAAGTGAGTTTTGGCAATGACCACAGTTAATCCAGGGAGACAGAGGAGGGTTGTTTGCAAGGCAAAGCACAGCACATCAGAAAGCACAGAGGAGTGAGAATGAAGGGACTGCTTTTCATTTACTTCCTTTCTATATTGTATGTTGAAGTTCAAAGCATCCTGGAGAAGATTTTCAGTTCAGTTGAGAAATATGTAATTTTGTGAATTATTAATTTTTTCTGCTGTTTTATAGGACAATAATACCCCACTTTTATTTGCTATAATTTGCAAGAAAGAGAAAATGGTGGAATTTTTATTGAAAAGGAAAGCAAGTTCACATGCCGTTGATAGGCTGAGACGGTACAGTAGTTCTTTTTTTAAAAATAAAACCTGAGTATTCTAGAGTGGTCACTCAAGTCAGAAATATTAATAAGAAGATTAACATAATTATTGGCATATAATGAAAAATATCACCATGAATAATCAGGTAGACAAGCAAATATTTGGACTGAGTAACATAAAGAATAGTATATAGTAGGATTCATCTTCTCTTATAATATACAGAGTTTGGTATTTATAATCAGATGTTTTTCGTACTGTAATCTTTTATTAGCTAAAGGGTTTTGTATTAGTTTTATTAATTTTTTTTTTTTTTGAGATGGAGTCTTGCTCTGTTGCCAGGCTGGAGTGCAGTGGTGTGATCTCAGCTCACTGCATTCTCCACCTCCCAGGTTCAAGCGATTCTCCTGCCTCGACCTCCCAAGTAGCTGGGACTACAGGTGCACGCCACCATGCCCAGCTAATTTTTGTATTTTTAGTAGAGATGGGATTTCACCATGTTGGCCAGGATGGTCTTGATCTCTTGACCTCGTGATCTGCTCTCCTTGGCTTCCCAAAGTGCTGGGATTACAGGCATGAGACACTGCACCTGACAAGTTTTATTCATTTTCAAAGTGTGGACTTTTAGTTTATGACTACTAGCATTGTCATTATTATTATTGTTGTTGTTGTTGTTTTCAGCCTGCAGATAACTCTTATCTGACCCCTAGCTGATTTGACTAGGAAAGCAATGGGGAAATCTTCATCTAAATCTTTGCCTACTTTAGATAAGTGACCTCAGCACAGTTTCTTGGCCATCAAAGGACTATAAGTTAGCAACTTGTATTATGTCTTACCCCAGTGGGACAAGAGGCTTCCCTGTTGTCCCTTTCTTTTAGCCTTGGTGACAATTTACAAAGATGAACACTTGAGCACCCTAGATGCTTATAGACCCAAGCTAGTACATGCAAATAGTTATTACATCTATACTGACAGGCGGATATTAAACTGGTAAAGTGTATCAAACTAGCTTTTTAAAAAAGTCTTTATTAAAGTTCTTGAGTGGAGTTATTTCTTTGTTGTTTTAGGTCAGCTCTCATGCTTGCTGTATACTATGACTCACCAGGTATTGTCAATATCCTTCTTAAGCAAAATATTGATGTCTTCGCTCAAGACATGTGTGGACGAGATGCAGAAGATTATGCTATTTCTCATCATTTGACAAAGTAAGTGTTTATGTTAAAAGGCCAGTTAATGCTAAATTGAAGTTTAAAATAATTGCAACTACTCCATCTTATGCATTAGGTGAGAGTTCATAGTTTGGTTCAGATAGTTTGAAATAGCGAAGAGTTAGTCTACCTTTTAGCCAGAAATCAAGCAGAAGTCTAGATTAGTTAGAAGTAGAGTGCGAGATTTTTTCTGGATTTTTGAGACATTTATCCCTAGGGATCTCAATGTTATTCATTTTATTCTAAGTATAATCCCCATGCATGGGATAAAAAGAGCCATGTCTTTGATTTCTTTTCCTTTCCTTTCCTTTTTTTTTTTTTTTTTTTTTTTTGTAGAGACAAGGTCTCACTCTGTTGCCCTGGCTGGTCTTGAACTTTTGAGGTCAAGTAATCCCCCTGCCTCGGCCTCTGAAAGTGCTAGCCACCATGCCTGGCCTGACTTTTCTAATTAGTTATTGAGTCTTGTAATGTCCAGTTTAACAGAAAATCATGTATTGTCCCCTGGGGCTCTCTCCTGTGTCTTCCTTCTTTGAATTTTCCAAGAAGCTAAGGGGTTTCCTAAGTCCAAGGAAGGCAATCTTTCTTTACAAGTCAGAAGAAGGGGAAAAAAGGCCATTCTAATCATTCTGTTGTTTCCATGGACTCACTTGCTGTATTATTGCCATTATAACTGGTCCTGCAATCTGATAATGATTGACCTTTGCCACCAGGATGCCTTCACTGATTCAGACCCCTCAGTTTTCATGGTGATTCATATATAGAGGTCAAAGCTACGGTGTTTATTAGTTTATGTACTTGTGCTCAGTCATTGTTCCCAGCACCCTGCTCTGGCAGCTAGGCCTCCTAGCTTTATCCACACAAATATTGAGCAAGTTGATGCTCACCCTACACTAAAAACCTTATTTGGAGCCCACGTCTTAGCTAGACTTTGCCTAGGCCTTCGTGGTATGTTATCCTTTGAGAGCCATGTTTGTCTTTCCTTTAACCAATATTAGTTGGGATTGTTCTCAATAGTCAGGGATGTTCAAATAATGTTGCAGGAAGAGATCAGAGTTCCCTGTCTCTTTTGCTATCAGATCTGTACCTTGAGGCTTTTTTATATCCTGTGCAGCAGCTTTGGTTAGATAGCGGAATGTTCCATGTTATCTTTCCACTGAGTAGTGGGAACCAGCTTGCAGTTGGCCCCTCAAGTAATGTGTCTCTATAATCATGAAAATCTCCTGGGCTACTTGCAGCTCTTCCTCAAGTTTTCAATATATTTTAAAATTCTACCTCACAGGAAGCCATTCAATAAAATTCTCTGAATCTGAAGTAAGTGAGTTGGATTTAATAGAGCTAAGCCTCATCCATGACTCATGAATATCCATGTATCAAACAGGGCTTTGTACTTATTTCAACAGCACATATTTTAAAATTGGATCAATACAGAGCAGATAAGCATGGCTACTGCCTAGGGATGGCACACAAATTCAGAAAACATTCCATATTTTGCCTAGTCCCAGGTAGGCCATTTGACTATTTGTTGAGTAGCTCCAAGGAAGCAGTGTGAGCAAAACCAAAACAGGTGACACGCAATATTGAAATTGTGATTATCGCTATGAAACTATTGATGTATGGTGATCTCTGAAATGGGAACAGAGCTGAGTAATAAGGGGATGTTACATGTTGTTAGTACATGTCTTGGAAATGAGAAAATGTCAACTTGTATTTCCTTCATGGAACTGAAAAACAATCAAAGCAGGGTTTTGTCTTGTCTGTTAGTTGGAGAGGACCATGGAGATCCAGCAGCCAAGCACAGATCTGCTGGCTCAGAGTTTGAGGAGGTAGAGAAGGAGTGGTAGTTGTCCAAGCCAGGTTTTGACACCTATTAGTTTTCTGCCCTTGGTGTGATTGATGAGCTCAGTGATGAGCTCACTAAATTTATATATATAGAAATTTAGTAATAAGTTATGAATTAGGTAAAATGCCCTGAATTACAAGCCACAATGAATACAAGTAATAACCAAAATTAGCACTTAATAACATTTTCTGAAAACTGCAACATTTGAGTATTAGAACTTACAGAAAAACACACACCGAGCATTATTTGGGATTCCAAAATGGTTTCAGCAATAAAGTTCAAGAATAAATTATTCCATTGCTTTACTATTTCTCTGAACATATAAACATGTAATCTCATTACATCTTCCAAACAACCTAGTGAAGTAAGGTAGCAGAATCCTTGTTTTTTAGAAGAAACCATGGAGCCTAAGAGAAGCAACTTGTCTGAAGACAAAATACCTACAGAGCGAGGTATTTTGGTTACAGAGCAAGGACTTACTCTGAGTGCAGGACACTTTGCATGATATCCAGCTAACTAGAGTTCATTTACTGAGCTGTGCTTCCTCCATTTATGAGTACTTCACTTTCTTTTCTTCTTTAATTATAAGCTTAATAAGCTTGTAAGGTTTACAAATTTGAAGTGTATGGGACATTAAAATTCTGATATTAGGTCTGATATTGCTTGAAAGTGTTTTGGAATTTAATATGTTTGGTGAATATTTTTTATTTCATTATAAAAATGGCAATTTTATTTATTACTTTTGTATACATAGAATTCAACAACAAATTTTGGAACATAAAAAGAAGATACTTAAAAAGGAGAAATCAGGTAAGACTTCTGATTGTGAATTTCTTACTTGTCTTGGTGGTCCTACTCTTGATAAGAAAATACAAAGTAAGATGTAAGATTAAGGTAGTTTCAGTCAAAAAAGACCAGTTTAAAAATATGTGTAAATTGAATGTGTATATATGTATATACATATGTAAATTAATTTTTAAAATTTAACTTCTTTAGTTTGAAATTCAGATTTATTTAAGAAGGTAGTTGTAGCTAATTTACAATCTCAAACATTATTGTCTGAAAACATTCATTTATTTAATTATGATCCCTAAAATCCTATATAATATTTTTGCATAAATAAGAAAAAAGATTTTTAAGTTAGTATGTTGTATGTTTCCTCTATAGTCACATTATAACAAATTGGACTTGTTATACAAATGGATCTTCGATTTCATTTTTATAATAAATTGTTTATATTTAGTAAACAAATAACTACAGTTGACCCATGAATAATGTGGGGGTGAGGGACTCTGATCCCTGTGCAGTTGAAAATCTGAGTATAACTTTTGATTCCTTCACCTTAGCTACTAATAGCCCACAATTGACTGGAAGCCTTCCTGATAACATAAACAGTTGATGAACACCTATTTTGTTTTTGCTGCATTATTATATACTGTGTTCGCACAATAAAATAAGCTAGAGAAATGAAGCTGTTAGAAAGGAAATCATCAGGAGAAACATATTGACTTTTCATAAAGCATAAGTAGTCCTGACAAAGGTCTTCATGATCTTCAGGTTGATTAGGCTGAGGAGGAAGAGGAGAGGTGGATCTTGCTGTCTCTCTGTTGCAGAGGCAGAAGAAAATCTGCATATAAGTGAATCCCTGCAGTTGAAACCCTTGCTGTTCAAGGGTGAACTGTATTACATATTGATTTGTGTCACTAAGAAAGTAACTATCTTTAGAACCAGGAACTCAGCAATCCCTTTCTGGTACCATAAATAAATGGCAATAAGAACTGTAGAACTGAACCAGTGTGCACCCATACAAATAGGAGATTATTTTTTGAAGACAGCTACTGAGCACAGGAGACGGAAAAGCAATTCCTTTGTGAGAAGCACAAGTTATATTACATATTCGTACACAAGCAAAATGATTTTATCTGTCATAGTTTACATACATACACATACACACGTGCACATGTGCACACACCTGTGCACACAGACACAAAGTTAAAAGTCCTGCTGATTCTTAATGACCAAATCCAACTGTTCACAGAGAGCGGTGGATAACGCATCCTACTGTTTGGATGCAATTCTTTTGACTTTTTGACTTGTTTTGTGATGAACTGCCTTTAATGGGTTTAAATCATGTTTTCAGTTTTATGAGAAATGAAGAAAAAGATTAGAAGCAAGTAAACAGGAACTCTATGGTCAGTAGTAGACTATAATAGTATATTCAATAGTCATATGTTTTTCTCCAGTTACACAATTTACTTGAATGATGCACAATTAATCAATTATTATTATCATAGGAGATGGGGTCTCTCTATGTTGCCTAGGCTAGAATACAGTGTCTATTCATTGGTGCAATCATAGCTCACTGTAGCCTTGAACTCCTGGGCTCAAGCAGTCCTCCTACTTCATCCTCCTGAGTAGCTGGGACTACAGTTTTGTGTGGTTACATCTGGCCTGATACACAATTATTTATTTGTTTATTTATTTTTAATACAGGGTCTCCCTCTGTTGTCAGTACTGGTGTGCAGTGGTGTCATCTTGGCTCACTGCAACTTCTGCTTGCTGGCCTTAAATGATCCTTTCACCTTAGCCTCCCAAGTAGCTTGGACTACAGGCATGCACTACCACACTTGGCTAATTTTCTTTTTAAGGGATTTTTGTTTGTTTGTTTGTTTAATAGATGAGGTCTCACTATATTGCCGAGGCCGGTCTGGAACTTCCGGGCTCAAGTGATCCTCCTGCCTCAACCTCCCAAAATGCTCGGATTTACAAGTGTGAGCCACTGCACCTGGCCTTCAAAATTATTATAAAAAGGAATGAAGCCCAGTTGAGTTGCAGAAAATTGACCACTTTTTCATTTTTTTTCTAGAAACATTCATATTGTAGAACATATTGTCAATCACCCAGATTCTCTATTTTTTATTCAGATAAAAGAGGATTGCTGCTCATTTCACATTATTTTCTGACATTATTTTTTCATTTATTCCTTCTATGGCTTTATTCAATTGGATAGATATAGAAATACGAGAATCTCCAAGTCAAATATCAAGGCAAAAAAAGAAAAGAAAAACAGATTAGGTAAAGTTATTCTGTGAAATAACCATCTGATTACAGTTACACGTATCATATCAACTTAATACAAATCTTACACAATGAATTTGTGTCAAGGTTTCCCAAGACCACCCCAGGTTTGGTGGTTCATTAGAAGGACTCACAGGACTCAACAAATAGTCATACTCAGATCTTTAATTGATAACAAGGAAGGGGACAAGCAAAATTAGTAGAGGAAAAAGGTGCATGTGGTCAATTCTGGAGGAAACAAGGCACAAGCCTCCAGGAGTTCTGTCCTGTGGAGTTCCCGGGATCTGCTTAATTCTCCCAGGCTCACATTTTGACAACATATGTGCAGTGATGTCTACCAGTACCAGAGTTTCATTAGAGACTAAGTGCCCAAGTTTTTCTATGGAGGTTACTCTCCCTCACATGTACCCAAATTCCAGACTCTTACAAGGAAAGCAGCTGTTTAGAGTAAATACACTGTTTCTATAAGCACTTTAGACACAGTGAGCCACTCTTCTCAGGGAATGGTGGAAACCCTCCCATTTCCAATTTCCTAAACACCAGCCAAGGGCCAGCCTTGCATGCAGGCCTTTCTAAGGATGGCAGCCTCTTGCCTGCTATATGAAATCTTTTCTGCACAACACTTGTAACCCCAACTTAATTTTTGGTGTTGTTTTAAAATTTCATTTTAATAACATAATATTATAAGATAAGGTAACTTGGTACTAATTTCTGTTGTATAATCCATCTTAAGTTGCAGTGCTTGTTACTTTTTTGACTTTTGGTGATGAACAGCTATTTGTATATAAGTTACCATAGCAATGTTAGGTAATTATAATCTGTCCTATTTATCTCATTAACCTTTCAGTAAAATTGTTAAATTAAATAAGCAAAATAATTTCTGAGTTAACATTAGAATAAAAATTGTCTTTTATTTTGATTACATGAATAGTCTAGTTTTCATATTGTGCTAAATCCCTGTTTAGAATTATGAAATAAGATAAAATATTCAATTATTTTTATCAATATTTTCTTACCTAAGCATGCAATTAAATTTATTTATTTTATATATTTTATATAGTTCAATTTGAGAAGTAATGACCACATGTTGTTACTTTGGTCTTCAATGATCTCTAATTTTTAGGGTCACCGTGTCTTGCTTAAATATATCATAGTAACAGGTTCAGTGAATATCTTTATTTTTTATTTTATTTACTTATTTTTTTGAGACGGAGTTTTGCTCTTGTTGCCCAGGCTGCAGTACAATGACATAATCTTGGCTCATTGCAACCTCCACCTCCCAGTTTCAAATGATTCTCCTGCCTCAGCCTCCTAGGTACCTGGAACTACAGGCATGCACAATCATGCCTGGCTAATTTTTTGTATTTAGTAGAGATGGGGTTTCACCATGTTAGTCAGGCTGGTCTCGAACTCCTGACCTCAGGTGATCCACCTACCTCGGCCTCTCAAAGTGCTGGGATTACAGGCATGAGCCACTGCCCCCAGCCATTTATTTATTTATTTATTTATTTATTTATTTATTGTAATTGTTCTGGAGATCCTGGGATGCATAGACAGTGAATATCTTTTTGTTTTTTGAGATGGAGTCTCACTCTGTCTCCCAGGCTGCAGTGCAGTGGTGCGATCTCAGTTAACTGCAACCTCCACCTTCTAGGCTCAAGCGATTCTCCTGCCTCAGCCTCCTGAGTAGCTGAAATTACAGGTGCCAGCCACCATGCCCAGCTAATTTTTGTATTTTTATTAGAGACGAGGTTTTGCCATGTTGGCCAGGCCGGTCTTGAACTCCTGACCTCAGGTGATCCACCCATCTTTGCCTCCCAAAGTGCTGAGATGACAGGCATGAGCCACTGAGCCCAGCTGAATATCTTTTTTTAAATCAATAACCTTATTTCTTAGAGCAGTTTTAGGTTCACAGCAAAATTGAGAGGAAGGTACAGAGATTTCTCATATATCCCATGCCTCCCACACATGCATAGCCTCCCCCATTATTACTATTTTCCACCAGAGAGTGGTACATTTGTTACAACTGATGAACTTACATTGACACATTATAATCATTCAAAGTTCATAGTTTACATCAGGCTTCACTCTTGATGCTGTACGTTCTGTGAATTTGGACAAGTGTATAATGACATGACATGTATCTATTACTGTAATATTATCGACAGAACAGTTTCACAGCCCTAAAAATTCTCTGTGCTATGCCTGTTCATCTTTCCCTTTCTCCCTAGTAACTCGTGGCAACCATTGATGTTTACTCTGTCTTCATAGTTTTACTTTTTTCAGAAGAGTCACATAGTTGGAATAATACAGTGGATATCTTTTTGAATAGTTAAAAAATTAAAGCTCCATGGCAGTTGAATGTAGTCATTTAAGATGTTCTTTGTCCTTTTGTTTTTCTTTTGCTTCTTTATCATTGTAAAGAATGATATATTCTGATGACATATGCTTTACATACTTAGAAAACATGATTTGTATAGATATGTGCACATAATAGAAAGGGTTGAGGAAAAGGACACCATGCTGTACCACACAGCACAAACTGGAGCATCTTGCTCTGTGAGGTGGGTCCAGATAGATTCTCTAGCAATGGAAGGGGACAAGTGCAAGGGGTTGTACTTTATAAAACTGGAATCACAAAGTCTTTCATACTTACCTTCGGTTGGAAATAAGACCAGACAGTGAATGCTATAGGTAAGTACATAGGTTCCTCACTGATCCTCTTCCTTTGAGGGATGAGGTTGACAACAGCCTGTATTATGATGATGTGACTCACCTACAACTAGATTCTGTCATGAGGGATAGCAAGAGAGTTTTGCTTTCTGTGAGGTGAAAAAGAATTTTTTTCCCCTACTAGGGAGAAGGGCAAGCACTGGAACATTCTGGTAGTAAAAGGGCATTGATGGTTTTCTTTCTATATATTTTTCACATCATATAGTACTGTCCAGCAGCCTGCCACACCTCCCTGGTGTTTCTTCAGCTTCTCTCTGAATGTGAGGTGTGGTTCCTAGCGTATAAGCTCTTAAAGGAGTGATCTTTCCAGTGGTTTTTCTGTGGGAGGTAAAATGGCAGGTGAATTTGGGCCTTGCTATATGTAGGGCAGAGCAAATAGCTACAACTAAGTAAACCACCCAGCACCTTCCCCAAAGAGTAGTAGCCAGAGTAATACATTGATCTCTTTTGAGCTCTTTTCCACTAGCGGCTGGAAAGTCTTTGCAAGGATTCCTGTTTCTGGTCGGATTCCTATGTTTTGCTGACATCTGGTGTTAGGGTGTTTTATTCTAAACTGAGCAGTTTGAACTGAAGAGCTAGAGAGGCTGTGTTGTGTTATAACAAAATAAGTGCAGTAGCTCCCCCTTAACTGTGGGAGATACATTCCAAGACCCCCAAGTGGATGCATGAAACCATGAATAGTACTGAATCACAAACTGTTTTTCCCTATACATACATATCTATGCTAAAGTTTAATTTATAAATTAAATTGAATCTGATGTTACCAGCAGATAAGGTGTGAGAATTGAATTGTGTCATCAGCAGGAATGATTGCTTGCTTGTTGGTGGGGAAAAACCCTCCACACATTTGGTCACAGAAGCCTTCTTTGTTGATGATTGTTGCTGTGGTGTGACAGTAGAGAAAAATGTGTCAAGTATGTCTTTCTGCACGTATAGTGGATAAGGGGTACTACTGTGTACTCTGTTTTAATGGCGCCTCATATTTTGGTCCAGAAATCATGCTCTTTGACACTGGTGACTCATCACACCTGTTCTGCTAACAATACCATTTTTACTCAACCTCATAGGGTTTGGCTAAGATGACTTGCATACTGCAGTTCACTTGTAGATACCAAATTTTAATAAATTTATTCTTCTTTGCATCTAATAAATACAAAGGGAAGAGTTCTTACTGCATTAATTACCTACCAATATGTATAACGAATGTTAATTCTAATAAGGTCCCAGGCATGCTCTCAAAGGAATGCTTTGTAACAAAGCATCAGTCTTATGCTTTAAAAAACCAAACCAAAACAAAACAAAAACAACAACAACAAAAAACAGGATCTAAAGCATACATACAAGTGTGCACAATTTTTTTATGAAGGTAGAGTCTTACTATGTTTCCCAAGCTGGTCTCAAACTTCTGGGCTCCTCAAGTGATCCTCCTGCCTCAGCCTCCCAAGTAGTTTGGATTAGAGGGATGCATCACTGTGCATTCTTATGCTTTTAATATTCTGTACATTTGTTATTGATTTAAAATGCATTTTACCTTTTTCTTTAATAGATGTTGGAAGTTCTGATGAATCTGCAGTCAGGTAGGATTTTATAGATTTAAAAAATTATGTTAACTAAGAAAATATAGATGGAAGAAACGAATATCTGTTGAGTGTTGTATTCTGGGCTAGACATCCTAATATGTTCTATGCGTTTATCATCTCATAAAGCCATCACAACATCTGTGTTCCTATAACCTACTGTTTATTAAATAAACAACTATGGATTAGAGCTGATTAATTGCCTCATGATCCCATAGTTAACAAAGTAGCTGGCCTACAGTTTGACCATCAGCCTGCCTGCCTTCCAAATCCTGTCTCTTGCTCCTCAGCATAGATTGACAGATATCTGTGCAGCCCTTGGATCAAGGTATAGGTCTGAATCAGATTAGTCAGATTGATTAATTTGATTAATGTCTAAATTAATGAGAGTTTAAATACCTTGAACTCTCATTTAAGTTTATCATTAGAATGTGGTTAGTCCAAGAGTTTGTCCTAATAAATTTGACAATTTCAGTGGTAACCAGTATCTTATTTTTACCATCAAAGGCTCTAGGGCAGATCTTACTTAGCTTTGCCATAGGGGTGTAAGTTTTACAAAAGCAAGTTTAGGCAAGTCTTAGAGACAAATTATTTGACTTCCCAGTTTGGTTTTCCATTTAGGCAAGTATTTCTGCTTACTTCCATAATACATTTTTTAGTCTTGTTGCTTTTTCCGTGACTTTTCTATAATCTTGCCTTCATTTTTTAAAACTTTCTTCTCTGCTTTTCTTGGTATTTCTTTTGTTCTATTATTTTTTCAAACTCTGCTGGCTATGTATTCTAAGTTTTTCTATAGACAGAATCAAGAGGACATAGAATTACAGAATTTTAAGGAATCTTGGAATGAATTAAAATACCTTCTAGTATTTTTACCTGTGTTGAACATTCTGGTCAAATGATTCTCTAGATAGAGAATGTGAGGCTCAAAGAGTTTAGGATGCTTTTTTTTAGACATAGGAATTGGCAGAAATGAGATTTGAACTCATGTTAAAGCCCAGTACTCTTGCTTCTTTTTATATCCTATTGGCGTGTGTTTTAATAATACAAACGGGAGTGAGTCTGTGGGTAGAATGAGAATGGAATTAGCTGGGGAACCCAATGGAAGTAGATAAGAATGGAATGAGCAGGGGAAGTCCAAGTTTGAAGATAAACAACACTGGATTGGATAGGAGTACAGACTCTTCTATAAGAGATCAAAATATTGGGGTTTATGACAAGTTTGATAAAGATAAATTATAAAAATGAAGGACACAAGATGTTGGGAATTATCTACGAAGGCACATTAAAATAGAAGGTTCAAGGGAGCTCTAAAAAGTTTGCTGCTTTTTTTTAAATCAAGGACTGACAAACTTGAAGATTTTTACTGAAAGATGCTAAAACATTTTGAGACACTGGGAGGAGCGTCTGCAGCAGATAGAAATGTGGTGTCATCTACTTCCATCCTGACTTAGAAAGGGGTGGCTTAGAGCCCCTGGAGTACTAAGGGGCTGGAGATTGCTGAACTACATAGATCTGTGGCCCAGTACAGGTGTCTCCTCACCTCTGCCTCTTTTCCCGATTCACTGATGTCCTTCCCATGTCCATGTGGGCTGGTTCAGGGGCATGATTGGCTGGCAAATCAGTCATGGAGTTCAGTTGGGTAGTTGGTAGTGTGTCTAGCTGGGGGCAGGTGATGGAGACTCCAGTTAGCTTGTTTTTCAGGAGCAGGGATATAGAGAGCTCCTAGTCCTGGTCATTTGAGGCCATCCTTTCAGGAATCTGTGCTTTCATAGACTGAAGATTTAAAGATTGGAGACTTCTGTGGAGCCCTGCAGAAGTGGAATCTGGAAGTGGGAGCCCATAGGAAGACAGATACTTAGAGAGTACTTAGGGAAATAGAGGTACACCTACCAGGACTCTGTTTTTTTCTGACAGTCTCTCTCCTTGGGTGTCTGAGTGCCTATGAAAAGTTTTAAGGGCTTGCTAGTTTATGTGGACCTGAATAAGGTAGGACCTATAGGGTGAAAATAATGGGATTTTATAATTGTTAATATTTCAATCTTTCTGGGAAAAGTATTCTCAATAAGAACATACACCTTTGTTATTTGACTTCTGTACATTTAGCTTTCATACATTTCAAATATTGTAGGGGCTTTCCTGTACTGATTTAGGGCAAAGGAAAGCAATAGGACCTTCCTAAGTGGGTTCCATGCTGAGGAATCAAGACTGCCATATTGAAGTGATGCAGATTAGTCTTTTATCCAGAGACAGATCATGGAAAAGAGACAGTGGATCTTTCTACCTTGTTTTAGGTTGTTAGTTTTCTTCCAGTTTAGGTAACAAAATTTATGTCATCCATTAATTGAATTTTAAGTTCAGCTTCAGGACAGATAATTTGTGAGGGCAAATCATTGTCAGGCTCTGCCAATTTATTGACTGTCACTATTTGTTATAAAGCTCAAGGTTAGTTTTCATTGAATATTTTATAGATTTAGACAAGTGGAGGCAGAAATAGGTAACTAAAATCTATTTTTAGAAGAGGACATATTTTAATTATATCAAGAATCACTATTTAATATATAGATTGCTGACCTTTCCCTAGATTATGGTTTCCTTTTTTGAGGGGGAAGCTGGATATAAACTGGCAGTTAAAAAAATTGTAAAGAAATCAACTTGCTCATTTTCGTTGTGTGTTTTTGCTCTCAAGCATTTTCCATGAACTGCGTGTGGATTCATTGCCTGCATCGGATGACAAAGACTTGAATGTTGCTACTAAGGTAAAGTGGTCTCTTGTAAAATTAATTTTCTCACTCTGAATGTACTTTTGCATAGTATTTACTTTTCAAATTTAGCAGTGGTTTACCTATCATTGTTTTATGGTGGTAATGGAAAGTTGGTCAGAGAAAAACATACATATGGCTAGTTGATTCAAAAAATGTGTTTAACTTTGGTAACTAACAAAGATTGATAAGTACTGTGACAGGGTGGGAGCTGAAAAAAAATGAACTGGAAAATTAGTAGTGACAGGAAAATCACATTAGGAAATGCTTTCTCCAATAGAGGAAATATGAAATTTGCTTAAGGTTTATTTGGATAAATACTAATACTTTGACTTTTAAATCATACGAGTGTGACTTTCTTAATATTTATGCCTGTATAAATCTTCAGTGGATCAAATTATTTGCAGTAATCATGGGATCCTCCTGGTGATTTTTAGTGGCAAGAATATTCAGCACATAGCATATAGCTTTTGTTCTTGGAAACTTATTATTTTGGTATCATATTGTTTTTACGAGAGATTGTTTTTCTACTTATATTATTGGTTCTGTAGTGAGACAAAAAAAAATAAAAATTGTAGAAAAATAACTGAGTGTGGTGGTGTACACCTGTAGTCCCTGCTACTTGGGAATTTGAGGCAGGAAGATTGCTTGAACCCAGGAGTTTGAGAACAGCCTGGGCAACATCGTATCTGATTTAAAAATATAAATTGTGGAAATATAGAAATTTAAATTTATGTTCTCAAAATGTGTATTGCAAAGGAATTTTTGTGTGGTTTATGAGTTGTCCATGAAGAGTTTATATAAGGCACTTCATCTAATTGAATAACATGTATTTTGCTGCAAATAACCAGTTCTAGAAGCAGAGACTCTTAATACCAATGGATGGTAAGACTTTATCCTCATAATTTTGTCATTGTAGTTTATTTAAAATATTTACTTCACCAGGTGTGGAGACTCACCTGTAATCCCAGCAGTTTTGGAGGCCGAGGTCGGTAGATCACCTGAGGTCAGGAGTTCAAGATCAGCCTGGCCAACGTGGTGAAACCCTGTCTCTAAAAAAAACCAAAACCAAAACAAAACAAAACAAAACAAAAGCAGAAAAATTAACCAGGCGTGATGGTGCATGCCTGTAACCCCAGCTGCTCAGGAGGCCAAGGTGGGAGAATCGCTTGAACCCGGGAGGCGGAGGTTGCAGTGAGCCAAGATCGCACCATTGCACTCCAGCCTGGGTGACAGAGCAAGACTACATCTTAAAAAATAAAATAGCCACTCAAAGTCCTCATATCATATTCTGAAATTTTGAATTTCAGAAGGTTTTCTATTTAGTTGTTTAAATAATCATTGGAAGCTCCTGCATACCGTAAGCTACTGGAGGTCAGTAAACATATTTGTGTGTATCCTGGAGTACCTAGAATACAGTCTTCCATGTAAGAAGCATTTTAGTTGTTGTTTTTTGAGATGGGGTTTCACTCTGTCCCCCAGGCTGGAGGGCACTGGTGAGATCTTGGCTCACTCCAATCTCCATTTCCTGGGCTCAGGTGATCCTCACACCTCAGCCATCCAAGTAGTTTAAACAATAGAGCTATGTCACCATAGACCTGTGTCACCATGCTCAGCTGAGTTTTGTAGAGACAGGGTTTTGCCTTGTTGCCCAGGCTGGTCTTTAACTGTTGGGCTCAAGTGTTCTGCCTGCCTCAGCCTCTCAAAGTGCTGGGTTACAGGCATAAGACATTCAGCCTTAATAGTTGTTTAATCTGAATAAATAGACAAATGAATTTTTATATAATGGAATGTTATAAGTAATATAATAAACCTAATGTATCTAATAATTAAATATTGTATTTAAAATATTGCTTACATTGTATTTTTTAATATTTAAGGGTGTATAAGTTTTGATATGTTATGTTGAGAAATTATGCCATAATTAAAAAGGAAATAAAATAGAAATAGGTCATCAGTAGCAAATAGGGTTACAATATATTTTCTAGTATCATTCAACTGGAATCTTAACATTGAGATTTTAGATTAACATTTCTTAAGCTTTTTATTAGCTCTAACTCATGTTCTATTAAATATACGTTTTCAAGCCATACATTACTCTTTATTATTCTTATACTGTAAGTTCTAGGGTACATGTGCACAATGTGTGGGTTTGTTACATGTGTATACACGTGCCATGTTGGTGTGCTGCACCCATTAACTCATCATTTACATTAGGTATATCTCCTAATGCTATCCCTCCCCCCTTGTCCGCCCCACGACAGGCCCCAGTGTGTGATGTTCCCCATCCTGTGTCCAAGTGTTCTCATTGTTCAATTTCCACCTATGAGTGAGAACATGCAGTGTTTGGTTTTTTGTCCTTGCGATAGTTTGCTCAGAATGATGGTTTCCAGCTTCATCCATGTCCCTACAAAGGACATGAACTCATCCTTTTTTATGGCTGCATAGTATTCCATGGTGTATATGTGCCACATTGTCTTAATCCAGTCTATCATTGATGGACATTTGGGTTGGTTCCAAGTCTTTGCTATTGTAAATAGTGCCGCAATAAACATACGTGTGCATGTGTCTTTATAGCAGCATGACTTATAATCCTTTGGGTATATACCCAGTAATGGGATGGCTGGGTCAAATGGTATTTCTAGTTCTAGATCCTTGAGGAATCACCATACTGTCTTCCTCAAAGGATGAACTAGTTTACAGTCCCACCAACAGTGTAAAAGTACTCCTATTTCTCCACATCCTCTCCAGCACCTGTGGGTTCCTGACTTTTTAATGATCGTCATTGTAACTGGTGTGAGATGGTATCTCATTGTGGTTTTGATTTGCATTTCTCTGATGGCCAGTGATGATGAGCATTTTTTCATGTGTCTGCCATACGTTACTCTTTAGAATTCTGGTGACCAATTTTTTTCTGGGTGGAAAGTTGATTGAAAGTTCTAGTTTTCTCTCTGTGTTATAATAATGTTCTTTCAGGTAGTGGTCGATGACCATATTTAGCTAATTGAATGTCTTATAGTAATAAGCTATATCACAGAAGTACTTACAAAAAACTAATTGTAGCATAAATATTAATTAGTATTATCAGGGATATGAAAGAGCAAAAGGCTCTGTTATAGATCTATTTCCCCATGTACTTTATTGTACTTCATGTTGTCTCTTTTCTTTCTTGGCTTAAGCTCATATTTCATTGACCAATTAGGCTTGTTTTTTGTTTGTATCTCTCTTCATTCTCATATTTTAAATTGAAATTTTTGGGGAGTCAGGGTCTTGCTCTGTTGCCCATGCTGCAGTGTAGTGGCATGATCTTGGCTCACTGCAGTATCCACCTCTCAGGCTCAAGTGATCCTCCCACATCAGCTTCCCAAGCAGCTGGGACTACAGGCGCACACCATCATGCCTGACTCCTTTTGGTATTTTTTGAGTAGAGATGTGTTCTCATTATGTTGCCCAGGCTGGTCTCAAACTCCTGAACTCAAGCAATCCACCCACCTTGGCCTTGCAAAGGGCTGAGATTACAGGTGTGAGCCACCATGCCTGGGCAACATTGAGATTGATTTAAAGAAATTGATTAGGGCTGGGTGTGGTGGTGCACACTGCTTATCTCAACACTTTGGGGGGCAGAAGTGGAAGATTTACTTGAGCTCAGGAGTTTGAGACCAGCCTGGGCAGTATAATGAGGCCTTGTCTCTGCAAAGATAACAATAAAAACATTAGCATGGCATGAAGGGACACACCTGTAGTTCCAGCTATTCAGGAAGTTGAGGTGGGAAGATTGCTTGAGGTCAGGAGTTTGAGACAACAGTGAGCCATAATCAGGCCCCTGCATTCTAGCCCTGGGTTGACAGAGTGAGACCCAGTTTCATAAAAAGAGATTGATAAGAAACTCTTGATGCAACTCATTATAATTTTAAAATGGAAACTAATTCTTGATATTACCTTAGCAGTGTGTCCCCGAGAAAGTGTCAGAGCCTTTACCTGGATCTTCGCATGAAAAAGGAAACAGAATAGTCAATGGACAAGGAGAAGGTGAGAACCGTATTTTATTTAAAAAGTCTTTTGATGGAGGCCGGGTGCGGTGGCTCACGCCTGTAATCCCAGCACTTTGGGAGGCCGAGGCGGGCGGATCACGAGGTCAGGAGATCCAGACCATCCTGGATAACATGGTGAAACCCCATCTCTACTAAAAATACAAAAAACTAGCCAGGTGGTGTTGTGGGCGCCTGTAGTCCCAGCTACTCAGGAGGCTGAGGCAGGAGAATGGCTTGAACCCGGGAGGCGGAGCTTGCAGTGAGCGGAGATACCACCACTGCATTCCACCCTGGGCGACAGAGCGAGACTCCGTCTCAGAAAAAACAAAACAAAAAAAGTCATTTGATGGAATGTTTCTTTGAAAATATGAGCACTAATAGAGTGTAATAGCTAAAGAAAGTGTCCTATTAACTGTATAATAAGTAAAGGAGAAGTGAAATGGTGATAAGTTGTGTCTCTAACCAAGGGTCAGCAGTTGATTCTATTGGGAGTACCACTAAAGGAGCTGAATTGTGAGTTCCATTTTAAGATACTCTAAGACCTGAGGCAAGTCAGGAGAGAGGGAAGAGGAAATGAATAAAGAGAAAGAAAGAATGAGGAGAGCGGATTGTACATGGAATAAATAAAAAAGCATATGCAGAGGTAAGTAAGAGAGGATAGTAAAGGCAAATTGATCTGTAGAAGAAGGAAGAACATGGTGTTAGAAACAGGAAAGAAGATAAAGTGAGCTTCCAGTACCAAAATGTGTCAGAGAATTACAGTAACATTTTCCTTCTCTTGCTGTCATCCTCGCTACTGGGGAGGCATTAAGGATTGAGGCACCTCACCACACAGACCTGTGTTTTATCTACCATAGATGAACATCACCAAAGATGGTCAGCCATGTATGGCTATAATTTGTTTTTATAGAAAATGTTGTAACCTCATAGGATAGTATCATATAGGCCAAATTAACATAATTGAATAGTGTTGGGTGATTTATGGAGAAGAAATTAATTCAAGAAGTTATTGCCTGATTAAAAGTTCATTAGAAACATTATGGCTTATAATGTAGTATTAAATTGAGGGACATAATAGGGAAGAAATTGAGGCTAGGCCAAAAGGGCAATTAGGGGAAACCAATATGGAAGCACATCAGTGTAGAACAGGGCATTCAAATTGTCATGAATGAGTTGAAGAGCTTCTGGAAGGTGCACATTCTGATTCAGCAGGTATGGGAGTCTGCATTTCTCATGAGTACTCAGGTGATTTTTGGTGCTGGTCCTTGGACACAGCTCTGAATAGCAAGGGAATAGCCTTCCTTTAGAGAACTCTGGAAAAAGAACCATTGGAGAGCAATTTAAAAAATAACAGAATCCAGGGAAAGCATTAATTTCCTTTTATTTCTGAGCATGATTCTAGCCACAGGGGAAGGAGAATGAGATGAAAACAGAGAGATTACAGGTGTATACTACTGCTGAATACAGATGAAAAAAGTGGTCACAATTATCCATAAAAAGCAGTTAGGAAGGGAAGCATCAGGATGACAGTTCTAAAAATCACTTTTTCAAAGGAAGAGGGATTGTGAAAGGACACGGAGGGAGGAAAGAAAGACATTTGCTGGGGTCTTGGGAGTTGAAGCCAAGTAAACTTGAGACAACTCACTTCCAGTTGCTTCAGCATATGCCCAGTCTCACAAAAGAGGTTATTGCTGTGGAGAGTACTGGAGGCAGGAGGGAGTGCTAGAGTTGGGGTAAACCACAGCAGCTCATTTCACTTGATAACTGTCAGGCCTCAGAGAGAGAAGTTTCACTGACATGAGTGAATAAGATGTGATTAAGTTGCATATAGATGCTTTGGCTAATTTTTTTTGATATTACAAAATTCATTCTGTGAATACCAAAATTCTCTTTTTCAATAAATACTGCACTGATTTTGAAATATAAATATGTATTCATATCCAGCAAGTCTGTGGTAATTCAGTGTTTTCTTTTTTGATAAATATTTTGATATCGGAAGCTTATTCGACATGGTTTATTTTATGTGATCCTTGCATGAGTGGATCAAGGAGCT
Organism: Homo sapiens; assembly: GCF_000001405.40. Classification (NCBI taxonomy): domain Eukaryota; kingdom Metazoa; phylum Chordata; class Mammalia; order Primates; family Hominidae; genus Homo; species Homo sapiens. The sequence goes on along the minus strand of NC_000009.12, from coordinate 66,125,640 downwards.
CTAACTCAAGGCCAAATGAGGGGATAGGAGAAATGTAGGTGCTGCAGTAGCCCATGTGATCATGGGAAAAATGAGTAGTTTGATTAGCTGTCATTTCATAAGTGTGTATACTAGCTGATCAATGTAGAACACTTTCTTTGATGAGAGGTGAATCACACATTCACCTGAACTGTCATCCCAACTGTGTATTTCCTCAGTGACAAGACAAGGGGAATTTGTTTGTGGCATGCTGGCAGCAATGCCTCTGCTGTGTTGAGTTAAAATACTCTGTACATTCACCATCAGCTTTGACGTCGATTCCCTCAGGTTTGATTTGCTCCTCTGTTTAATGGTCCCTTTTCTCCTCATCAGTCCACATGTTCACGGTGATATCCATGCTTTTCTATTTTAGGTATAGGCATTTGAAACATAATCTCACTACTGAAATGTAAACTGTGCATTTTAGGAATCCTATATTCCTATTTTCCTCATTATGTTTCTGTCATGTTGCCGTCCTAGGCAATGAAAAGATGCCAAGAAGAACCCTCAAAACCTTAAGTAATTATTTTTATAGCCAGGCATGAGAATTCAGCTCGATAGTACCACTGCATGAATGTTTGGTTGGCCCTGTCATACTTACATATAATTGATGACATATCCCCTTTGCTTTGTAGGGCCTCCTGCAAAACATCCTTCCTTGAAGGTAATTAATTATGTATATTTTTGAATCACTAACTCCATGTTGTATAAAATATATATGATTTATGAATCATTTTCTTTTAAAACCCATTCAGCCTAGCACTGAAGTAGAAGATCCTGCTGTGAAAGGAGCAGTACAAAGAAAGAATGTACAGACATTGAGAGCAGGTACATTTAATGGAATACTGGAAATAAGTACATTCAATGATTGGAAGTACTCACATTATTCTTATTCCTAATTCTATTTGTTCAAAATTGAATGGAAGGCATTGACATAAATGTTATTGTTGGTATCCATATTTGAATAAAAATAAATTTAGAAGCATAAAAAAGATTTTAAAAATGTAAGCTTTAACTCAGATGTTTCTCTTTTAATGTTTTGAATAGCATGAAGTTTTCAGTATAAAATTTTTATACCTGTCAGGGATTCAAAGCAGTGAATTTTGAGACTCTAAGATATTTCCAATGAGTTAAGTGCTACTTGGAGTTCTGAACTTTACCTAGAGGAAAGCTTTACTTATTAACATGTCAGATTCTGTTTTAACTTTAGAGGCTTGCTGCTAGTGTTATTACACTGATGATCTGAAGCCAATCAGATGTTCTAATGAGCAAGACTGTGTGTGTAGGTGTATATATAGCTGTGTGTATGTGTGTGTTTGTGGCATCTTTGACTATTAAAAATGAGGAAAGTAATGATTCATTTATAACTGGTAGACACAGTCTTTTAAAATGGTGATTTTGAGACTTTTTGGTGTTAAGGTTTTTAAAACATGATTGCATAGAGGCTACCGACATCATAAGTTGGTTGTTTTTCATTTCAATGCCCTTTTGAAATCTTTAACTATATTGTGATGCTCAGAAATAATATGCAGAATTTTTTATTTGTGTCCCAAAATGGTATGTGAGTGGTTATACACTTTACATACCTTTCTGCCACTTTCTTTGGTGTATTTTGTATTATATTTTCCAGATGTATCCACATTGATATGATTATCTCTGGTTTAATTCATTTTACACTTTTCATTGTATTCCCTTATACCACTTTACCACATTTAGTTAGACTCTCCTGTTGCTGATAAATGAAGAAAGAAAGAAAAATAAAAATAATGTCAGATTAAGTGGGCTTTTCTTTAATCAGTTTGTATCTATTAATATTTACTATATGAGAGTTTAAAGTTGAAAAGTTCAGAATACAAGCATGCACCACCATATTTTATAAATGCCCTTAGAACTGTGACTCATGAGCCTTTAGCCTATGAAGTTAGGACAATTCATTTCTCTGAAGAAGTTTGTTGTGCTGTTCTCAGAAAAGAAAACTGAAAATAGCAAATGATATTGTCTTATTTGACCTCTTGGACATCTTTGAATGAAACTGCAACTCCAGGGATACTCAGATCAAAATTCAGAACTAATGTTTTGAACAATATAGTTTGTGAATGTCCAGTGGATCATGAGCCCTTGATGGGAAAATGACCTTTCAAGTTTCACTTTTGCATTTTTTGCTCTTTTCCTTGACTTGTCTTAAAAGCTTAAATTCAACCGTTTTATTTTTACAGAAACTGGGAATATAACTTTTAAAATTTATGTCTGTCCTGTCTCACGGTGTTGTGTACTCTTCAGATCTTGTGTGAATATAGACTTATGTGGGAACAATTAGGTGTTTTGTTTGTTTGTTTGTGTTTTTGAGACAGAGTCTTGCTCTGTCACCAAGGCTGCAGTGCAGTGGCTCGGTCTTGACTCATTACCACCTCTGCCTCTCGGGTTCAAGCAATTCTCCTGCCTCAGGCCCTCGAGTAGCTGATACTACCTGCATGTGCTACCATACCCTGCTAAATTCTCTATTTTTAGTAGAGATGGGGTTTCACCATGTTGGCCAGGCTGCTCTCAAACTCCTGATCTCAGGTGATCTGCCTGCCTCAGCTTGCCAGTATGCTGGGATTACAGGCAGGAGCCACTGTGCCAGGTACAAATAAGATTTTTAAGGCTATTATATTTTATACAATTCTTTGGTCTATGTGAATTCTGAAGGTATTCATGCATTGAGGGAAGATCATCTCAGTTTAATGAAAGCAGTTTTTAATGTATATTCATTAAAAATTTTTTTGAAGTTTTTGTCTCTAGTACAGAGAAACACACAATATTGTCATGGGTATTTGACCTTAATGTGTTTATGCACAAACTTAGTTATTCAAATATTTTCTTATCCCTGAAGAATCCTAATTATTAATAAAAAAATTTCTCATGGAAAACAACATATATAATAGAGATTGTTGAGTGATAAAGTAAATTGTAGTAAATAACAGAAGCTTAGAACAAGTTAAGTAAACTTGTCTGAGTTAATAGCAATTACAGGACTTTTAAGATACATTAGACCATGAGGGAGTAGTGTGTTTGTGGGGTAGAGGACATCATGGTCCTGCTTCAGTGAAGAAAGAACTTTTACACCTTATTACAATTTGTATTACTATTTACATTCTAATAAAAACTTTATTTTCAGATATTTTAGATTATGTTTCTACTAGTTGAACCATCAATAGTAAGACTTTTCAAAGATTTGGGAAGTTGTGAGTTGATGATAAATATCTGTATCACCATTCGTGATCAAAAATCAGCAACTACAAGACTTTGGACACACGAACTTCATAGTTAAAGAAAGGATTAATCTTGGAGCTGTGTTTTTATCAGGGAATTATACTCTTCATTACCTCTGTGAATCGCAGTTATTAGAGTAGAAAGAGAGCAAAGAAGGGAAACAAACATAGAAAATTTTATTCTAGATTACCTCAGTTGGCTTCATGCTACCATAGTTCTGGCTTTTAAAAAGTCATTCTGTGGTCAAATGTACTTTGTGTTTACTCCCTTTATGCAGCCTACAACCAAACAAAATGCTTCTTAGCAAGGCATTTGTATTCTTCCCTTAAGGAAAGCAACATATAAATAACAAAGAGAATGAGGAGAAAGAGTAATTTCATTGAAGTTGGTATTTAACATAAATTTGTGTGCGGGTACCATGATTATATTTAGAATTTTGGGCCTGGAATAGAAAACCAGCTAGACGTCTACAGATTTCCTACTCAAACACAATGTGCCTTTGTTTTATTTTTACATCTGTAATTTTGCAATTATTAGGTACAACTCTATGCAGTGTCACTAAAAATACCTTCCAAAACCAAATATTAAATAATGCCTATGGTTTTCTGTATTATAATGTTGATTTCCCCAATATTAATGGGAACCATTGAGCATTTGCCTTGTGGTGTCTCCTGAGCTGTATTCACACATTCCATCACCTTGTCTTAATGGATAATCATGCACTATGAGTATGGGTTTTCAGAAGAGCTGTATCATTTAAAGATAACACAGGAGCATCAAATTTAATTCTGCTAGAATACCTGGTCTATTGATTAACTGCAGCTAATATGGGGTCTACTTCACATACAAGTTAAATTCAGTGCCCTTAATCAGTCATATGGTCAGGTCAACAGTAATAAATTATGCAATATTTTTTCACCCCTATAGTTTTAATTTCTCTTTCCCCTTATGTCTAGAATTAACATTTTATTTTACAAAACATGATGATAATCTTCTAGAGTAGTGATGACAAAGTATAAATCCAAAGTTTCTTACCTATGCAAATGACTTGTTTGCTTCTATTTTCTCATGAGCTTGGTAGATCCAGGAAACAGAACTTTTAAAACAAAATCCCCATATGTGGCTGGGCGCGGTGGCTCGTGCCTGTAATCCCAGCACTTTGGGAGGCTGAGGCGGGCAGATAACCTGAGGTTGGGAGTTTGAGACCAGCCTGACCAACATGGAGAAACACATCTCTACTAAAAACACAAAATTAGCTGGGCATGGTGGCACATACCTGTAATTCCAGCTACTCGGGAGGCTGAGGCAGGAGAATCACTTGAACCTGGGAGGCAGCAGTTGCGGTGAGCTGAGATTGCACCACTGCACTTCAGCCTGGGCAGCAAGAGTGAAACTCCATCTCAACAACAACAACAACAACAACAACAACAACAACAGCAACAGCAACAACCACCACAAAACCCAAATGCATTTCCTTGGCACAGTAAAACTGAAACAGAAAAAGTGTAAAGTAAATACAAGTAACTGAAACAGTTTATGTATATTATTCTACTTCTCATTTGATAAAATTTGTAAAGTAATGAGCAGAGTGTATTTCTCCAGGGACCCAGATATATACATTTATTCATTCAATAAAAATTCATGCTTACAATGGCCACTGATACTTATGTCCTAAATATTTCTGAAAACATCTCCTCAGGCCTGCATCATCTTTGCAACACTGCCTTATATTTTATCTTTGTTCATTGATTTATATGCCTCAGAATTTTATGCTCCTCACAATAATTAGAGTTAATTATCTCTAATGCAAATAGATCTGTGAACCACTCCTGAATACCTATGTCCAAGCATCTTAAAGTTTTATATAAGGATTTCAGAAACTGATTTCTGGGTTGGGCATGGTGGCTCGTGTCTATAATCCCAGCACTTTGGGACGCTGAGGCAGGTGGATCATTTGAGGTCAGGAGTTCAAGACCAGCCTGGCCAACAAGGTGAAACCCCATCTCTAATAGAATACAAAAATTAGCAGGTGGTAATGGCACATGCCTGTAATCTCAGCTACTTGGGAGGCTGAGGCAGGAGAATTACTTGAACCTGGGAGGCCGGGTTGCAGTGAGCCAAGATCATGCCACTGCACTCCAGTCTGGGAGACAGAGTAAGACCTTGTCCCAAAAAAAGAAAAGAAAAGGAAACTGATTTCTGCCCAAATCTCCATCTGTAGCCCTTTCCCCATCTGCCTTTTTCTCTGGAATTACTGAGCTGCTGGTAATGGCCCCCTCACCATTCCTCTTTTGCAGAGAAATACATACTCTCTTGGAGGCTTCTCTCCCTCTCTTGTTGCTGCCTGGCATGTGCTCACCCTTTCCTGCCCTCTGCCTCACTTAATCTGGCTAACCTTACTCTCTAAGTCTCAGCTCATGCATGATCTTTAGGAAAGCCATCCCTGACAGCTTTTATTTTCCTTCCTTATACCCCAGTGCCTAACACTTAGCAGGAACTCAATAAGTAATTATTTAGCAAAATTAAGACTGTTTATACAAAGATGATTCAAAAGATTGTCCTCTACAGTCTAACAGCAAAGGGGATCAACATGTAAAGACATGATGTGCAGTTCAGGTGGTAAAGTGACGCTGGAAAAGTTGACAAAGTACTAAGGAACTCCAATGAAGCAGACACCTGTGTGTGTGGAGAAAGACAGCTAGAATCAAGGAAGACTTCACACAGCATTCTGAGCCTTTTTTTTTCTTTTTCTGTTGTTGGAGACAAGTTCTTACTCTATTACCCAGGGTGGAGTGCAATGGTGTGATCGAGACTCACTGCAACCTCAAACTCCTGGGCTCGAGGGATCTTCTCACCTAAGCTTCTTGAGTAGCTGGGACTACAAGCACATATCACCATACCTGTCCAATTTTTTGTAGAGTCAAGGTTATCTATGGTTCCCAGGCTGGTCTTAAACTCCTGGCCTTGAGCAGTTCCCCCATTTTGGCCTTCCAAAGTGCTGGGATTACAGATGTGAGCTATTATGCCCAGCCTACTTTCTGAGTCTTAAAAGATGAAAATAAATTTTTCAGAATAGTAGGGGAAAACATTTGCGATGTAAAAAATGGGGTGCACACTAATTAAGGTATAAACAACAATAATTTTGCAAATTATTAGTAACTGCCAACTCAATTAGTGTCTTGTTAAAAAGATACTGTTATGAAGTATAGTAAAGTGTTACATTGTATATTTTGACTGTATTTCAAAATTTTGTTTTGTTTCTAACAGTTTTGTTGATTTATGTTGGGTGGAACAATTTGTGAGTGACCCTGAGATTTCATATGGCTTGAACCTGGTGATATCTAATGTCTCCCCAAGTGGTTTGTTGAAATTTTGGATGATTAGAAGTATTTCTTAAAGAACTAAATATTTCAGTAAACATTAAGCTTCATTGAAACTCTCAAAATATAAAATACAAAGAAATGTTATTCTCTATTTATTTTTATATAGATTATAGTCTTTATCTAACTGTTCTTAGTTCATTTGAACTAAACCAATGAATTTGTCAACAGAACAAGCCTTACCAGTGGCTTCAGAGGAAGAGCAAGAAAGGCATGAAAGAAGTGAAAAGAAGCAACCACAGGTATATGAAAATTCAAGTTTCTTGTTTAATATTGGGTTTTGTTTTTTTGCTTCAGTAACAAAGCATAGTCCAAATGACATGACCTTTTAGACTATACCTTTAGAATCCGATAGATCATAATTTTATATTTAATTTTTAAAACATCTTAACCAGTTATGAAACTTAAGATATTCTTACTATCTCTAGTAACTATTAGTTATTCTGGTAATTCTTACTATCTCTAGTAACTCATAGCTGTCTTTACCCTTGGAATTGAGGCAAGACATTTTCAGAATTATCTTGCTCTTTTATTGTTATAACCTTACTCATAATACAGAAGGTAACATGAAATATTGGGTCATATTATTAAGGAATAGAAATTGTGAACAATTTAACAATGATGGCCACTGAGTTAAACTAGTGTTAAAGGAGTCATCATTGCCAATGGTTCAAATGTTGCAGTTTTATATTGCTGGTCACCAGTGCCGAGGTTAAAGATTTATTCTGTTTTGTGGTCACCATTTGACTTCTGTGTCTGTGTTCAGGGAGTGAGTGGGGTCATAAAAGTCAACCCAGTTGCCTATTAAGAGAATCCTACCTTGTGGAATGGGACCTTTGGTGTCAGGGTACAAACAATAACTTTATTTTGACATAAATACATAGTAAATGTTACTAAAATTTAAAAAATCCATCCACTATCACTAGTGGAACTTAAAATATATTAGAAGTGGATATAAGCAGATAATCCATCTAGATACATAACACTATCATAGTATATTATTTGAATTAGAATTTAAAATTTTGCTTCCCTTTCTTATTGGTGTTCAGTTTGGCTCTTAATAATTCAGTGTTTGCCTAGTCTGTAGTTAATCTTCAGAAATATACACGTACTGTAGGGGCTCACTTTTTCTGGTATGCTGAGGTAAAATCTTTGTAAGAGAGGAAGATTTTATAATACTACCTATCAGCTTTGAATTCATTTCTGGTAGATTTTACACATAATGCATTAAGTTTAATCCAAACAAATGCTAAGCGTTCAGCTTGCCAGTTCATATTTCTGTCCTATGTTAAGCCAAGGCAAATTATTTTTCACTTTTTAGTTACAATCCCATAATTTAAGAGTGGCAACACATAGATTAAGTTTCACAGTTAAATTTTAATTATTTTCTAGTATTTTTGTTTATACTTGATTAAAGCTAATTTTAAAACATGCACTCTGACAGAAAAGGCATCTGAGAAACAAAACAAGCAAATTTGTTTTCCATTTTGCACCTGCCAAAAAAAAAAAAAAGTCTCAAGAACCAGAACTGGGTAAGAATTGTGATAAAGGGAATAATCTGTCTGTATATTCACGACTTTCTTTAAAATTCATTACAAACAAGTTCAAGCTGAATATTGGTGAAAGTTTTGAAAACTCCAGAATTACTGCTTGCCCTGAGGAAGAGCTCCTACATAGTAACTCTAAAGAGGGACGAACAAAAAAGGAGTGCCCTCTAATCTGATGAATCAGGTCCCTGATTGTGAGGAGGAAGATGCATCTGGAGGGTCTAACTCTGTGGCATTCCAGGCAGCGCCTGAACAGAGGAAGCCCATGTCAAATGTCTTTTTATTCCATTCATACTCCAGGTCCCTGAAATACAGTTACCAGTCATCTTCTAAGCTTCATTTAAATGAAAATAAATCAGACTATAAAAATGATAGCAAACCAGACACATAGCTTGTTTCTAACACAGATGATGAAAATTTTTGTAATGATACTGAAACCAAAAAATTAAGGAACCCAGTAATTATGATTGAAATGAAAGATGATTAAGAGTTTGACATGCAAATGGCAAAAAATGTAAACCCAGATACCACTAATTGGAAATTGGACATTAGGCATTGGCCTCAGTCTAGAGATCCAGAAAGTCTTTTTGATTTGTTGTTTACCCACCCCAAAGAAATGAAGCATATGATTCAGATAGAAAGCCACAGTATTTCTGCTGCTACAGATACTTATAAAAACAGAAAACCAATACAGCGTTTATTCCAGCAGCCACTATATGGCAATCCCAGTGCTAACAACTACAGAAGCATGAATCTTGAATTATAAAATGTGAGTTATTCTTTACCACATAGTGAGAGAACATCAAAAATATAGCTAGAAGACTTATGGGAAGATATTCCAAGGTCACCAACATGGCACATGAATAGATATGTAACAAACCTGCATGTTGTGCACATGTACCAGAACTTAAAGTATAATAATAATTAAAAAAAGAATGAGGTAGGCATGTTACAAGTTGAGTTCCTGGCTTTGGAGAAAAGCAAGTCCAACTTCAAAAAGACAGAGGTTCACTTGCTGCTTCTTTTTCCTCTTTATCAATTATTTGATTTAGTCAAATTTTCTATTCAAGAAAATCTCATGTGTACAGTTACAGTGGGGTTATCTAAATGTGTAATTATGTGTCAAAGTAGATTAGTTCTGCTATCTAAATAATGGTTCTGGAGAATGTTCTCATAATGTTTGTTCATTAATCAACCTATGTCTCACTATCAGTCTTCCAAGTGGCGTATGAGCTGGGAAACTAATTAAGCCACATACCATGTGACCTTCTGAACCAGATCAACATAAAGAAATTGCTAAAGAAACAAGCTCTAGATTCTAGATTCTTTTTTCTTGTATTCATTTAGAGATAATTTACATTTATTTAATGATAGAATGGGAATACAATGGGAGGGAAGCAATGACTGAGACAAGCCACAAAAACACGTCTAGCCTTGAGAGTTGCAACGAATATTCCCAGCCAAATGAGTCTGTTTAATGTGTTTTCATGCATGCAAGTTTATCTGCTTAGCTCAAACTGTTTGAACTTACAGTCCCATCATGGTTATTTCCAATATTTTTGAAAACAAACATATACTTACACATATTTTAAAAAATCACCACTCTGCAATATTTCTGTTGAATCAGACCTTACGTTATGTTGTTTAATAAAGTATGGTAAGTTTTGGCATGTATGATTTTTATCATATAAGAAGCATAATTTCTTAGCCAAAAATTTAGCCTTTGACTCTTTAGTAGAAAGTTGAGTTCTGTACATTGTGTTCTAAAGATAGACAAAAATCTAGAGATTTTCTTCTTTCAAAGTAAAAGCAGATGAGGCCTTTTTCCACCCTCTGAGGCATTAAATTGCTTTGCTCAAGTTAGACTTTTAATATATCTAATTTGATAAATTTATCTGGTAATTTATGTAATTCAGCAATATGGAATTGTATCATGTTATATGGTGCCATGAAATGCTAGTGAATGCCACCTCAAGAGCTCTGGATGAAACATTTAATATGTCTTGGTTGGTTTGACTCCCATTATCAGTAGATAATGGGGTTAAAGTAGGTAACTGTACCATATGTTTTCCACCTATAAACTTTTGTGGTAATTGAATGTGAAATCTGGGAAGCATCTCATTTTCCAGAATTCTGCACTAGAAACTCAGCAGTTTCACTCTGCTTCTTTTGTTGTGGCAAACGTTGGTTCCCATAATTCAAAGAGAACCTTTACTTTTTTGATATCACAGGATTCAAAAAAAAAAAAAAGAGAGATAAAAGGCAGTGGGGAAAAGAGTAGCTCAGTACAGAAAAGGGAAAACTTCTTTACTGTTCCTGAAGGCCTACAAGGTCACATCTTCTTAATCTGGCTATTTCATGTAAAATCCAGGTAGTAAAGACAGAAGACATATATTATGCCTGTGTCTTTTTATTTCTCTGTTTCTGCCAGCCAGATAGCATAAAAATTTATACCAGATAGCAAAGAGTGGATGGGAATAAAAGCACAAAATGGAGAAGAGCCCTTTTTGAAATTTTGGAAAATTCTTCTATTCCCTCAAACAGAAATGAGCAGATTTGACAAAAATTTCGATGATAAAATAAGAGTATCTTATAATTATAATAATTATGTATAATGATAAAATTAAAGTAAGCACAAAATACTTTTATCATTAAAGTGGTGATAGTTAACCTGAATCAAGTAATAAAAATCAGGGAAAAAGTTCTTTTTATTGAATAAAATAATAACAATTATTATTCATCTTTTATTAAAGGTCAAAGAAGGAAATAATACAAACAAAAGTGAAAAAATACAACTTTCAGAAAATATATGTGATAGTACATCTTCTGCTGCTGCTGGCAGATTAACCCAACAAAGAAAGATTGGGAAAACGTATCCTCAGCAATTTCCCAAGAAGCTGAAGGAAGAGCATGATAGGTAAGCCTATAGCAGTGTTTTTTTGTTTGTTTGTTTGGTTTTGGGTTTTTTTTGTTTGTTTTTGTTTTTTTGAGATGGAGTTTCTCTCTTGCTGCCCAAGCTGGAGTTCAATGGTGTGATCTCAGCTCACTGCAGCCTCTGCCTCCTGGGTTCAAGCGATTCTTCTGACTCAGTCTCCCTAGTAGCTGGGATTACAGGCATGTGCCACCATGCCCGGCTAATTTTTTGTATTTTTAGTAAAAATAGGATTTCACCATGTTAGCCAAGCTCGTCTCGAACTCCTGACTTCACGTGTTCTGCCCACCTCGGCCTCCCAAAGTGCTGGGTTTACAGGAGCGAGCCACCGTGCCTGGCCGCCTATAGCAGTATTTCACAGGAGATAATTGTCATTGTGCTATAAACTAATTGAAAATTGGACTAATATTCCTTATGATTAACAAGTTTTATATTTTTACCAGGGGTATTTAGCCCTGCCTGGTATTCAGAAAAAAGCAAATTAACATAAAATAAGATATATTTTGTAAAGTCATGCTGATATTTAAAAAGTAATTATTAGTGTTGGCAAATGTGAGGAAAAAGGCATTCTCATACACTGTTGGTATAGGAAATTAGTAAATTATTTCTGAAGGGTAACTTAGTGCTGTGTATCAAAATTTCAAATAGCCTGACATCCCTTTAACTCAACAACTCCACTTCTGGGACTAGATTTCACAGGAAAACATAACTGGTGTAAACATACACACACTTATTAATATATAATTAACATGCATTAATTATATATTACACATAATGAACAATAGGTTAATGAATATATAAAATATATGTAATAAGAAGGTGAATTGAAAGTATTAAGAAAGAAATATAAAAAGTGTGGGGAAACAGATGTTAGACTTTTCAGCCTAGTTTTGGATGACAGTCATCTGCAGATATAGTTTGTGTGAGAGACATCTGAAGGTGTCATCTCACTCTGTAAATCATTTGGAGAAACACCTGCAATATTTCATAAAGATGAAAATTTATTTCTAGTGAACTTATACGCTTGTCAATAAATAGTAACTTTAAAAATTTAGTTGATTGTAAATGATCTTTTCTAATTAGGGAGTAATTATGACTGTGTGATTTAAAAAGGTAATTTTGAACCTGTAACTTTACTGAATTATCTCTGGTATCCTTTTTTATAATATATATTAGAGTGACTAGTAACAAAAACTTTAGCAGAATATTCTTTCCTTACTACTTTTCAAGTATATGCATTCATTTGAAGATGTTGAAGTGAGAAATTAAATATCTGAGAACTGCAAAGGAAAAATAATCCAGAACATAGAAATTTTATTAGGATAATAAACAACATCTGCAGAGGTAGATAACAGGATGAACTCCTTATTTTTTAACAAAATGAATTTTAAGACAAATGTCTTTATCTGCAGATGCACCTTAAAACAAGAAAATGAAGAAAAAACAAATGTTAATATGCTGTACAAAAAAAATAGAGAAGAATTAGAAAGGAAAGAGAAACAATATAAGAAAGAAGTTGAAGCAAAACAACTTGAACCAACTGTTCAGTCACTAGAGATGAAATCAAAGACTGCAAGAAATACTCCAAATCGGGTAAATCAATCTTTGGTAAAAATTCTATATTTTAAACTTTATCTTATCACTGTTACTTATAATATCCACTTGATTTAATATATATTGTTTAGGTCTAAAACCATAAATGTTATCTCATTTTTAAAAATGAATGATGACACTTACAGGTACAATTATTAATATTTATTATAAATCTTGGCATCCACATAGGATATTATTTTATTACAAAGAGCTTTTGAAAACAATAATATGCCATAATTTATACTTAGTGATAACCTATTGATAAAAATTTTGTTCCAGGTAAAATTTTTCCTTGTACTTTCCCCTATTTCATATTGATTACTGCACCTAATATTATAAAGAGGAAGCAGAAATTATTGCAATCGCAAATAATCTCATGATATTCTAAGAAGAGCTCTATAAATTTTATCTTATTTACTATTGGCATTTTGAAATAAAAGTTTTCTTTCGTATTGATGTATTTACACCACAGAAGTAACTGTGATCTGTTGGAGAACTAGAAGTAGAGTCAGAAGTCCTGGGGAAAATCCTGTAGCTTGCTTATATTTTTAACATTTCTTTTTCAAAATTATGGTAACTAGATGAGTTCATCAATGAATGTATATAGGAGTGACTAGTATAATGTCTAGTTTATGATTTAGTGAATGTAATTCTTATAACTGACTATAAAAGTGTTAAAAGAGTCAAACTGAAATAGAATGTTATCAGTGAAACAGAACTGTAATAACTCTGGGAAATTTTATCTGTCCAAATATGTGTGAACAAAAGTTCTTACTATAGGGTGGTGTATGGGTTAGGTATCAAAGTGTAAATGCAATTTTTTGATATATCTTAATTTAGTCAAATTTGTTAATGCTTTAATTTATGCTTTTGAGTTTGTTGTAATTCAGGGAAAGGCTTTTCCAATTCTGATATTCTTAAAAATTCTCTGGTGTGTGTGTGTGTGTGTTTACTTTTATAAATTCATTGACTCTAAATACATTTCTGAACTTTCTGGAATTTATGCTCTATAAGGTTCAAAGTTTTGCTTCAACTTTTTCTCCAGGTGGATATCCACTTATGGTAAACTTTTTAGTGGTACGGATGTGCAGGTTATTCTTTAACTTCAGAGGTAATCATGATATGTTATTTTATTGAGTACTAGCTAAAACTTTCTTTTGTTTTATTTAGGATTTTCATAATCATGAAGAAATGAAAGGTCTGATGGATGAAAATTGCATTTTGAAGGCAGATATTGCTATACTCAGACAGGAAATATGTACAATGAAAAATGACAACTTGGAAAAAGAAAATAAATATCTTAAGGACATTAAAATTGTTAAAGAAACAAATGCTGCCCTTGAAAAGTATATAAAACTCAATGAGGAAATGATAACAGAAACAGCATTCCGGTATCAACAAGAGCTTAATTATCTCAAGGCTGAGAATACAAGGCTCAATGCCGAACTGTTGAAGGAAAAAGAAAGCAAGAAAAGACTGGAAGCTGACATTGAATCTTATCAGTCTAGACTGGCTGCTGCTATAAGCAAACACAGTGAAAGTGTGAAAACAGAAAGAAACCTAAAACTTGCTTTAGAGAGAACACGAGATGTTTCTGTACAAGTAGAAATGAGTTCTGCTATTTCCAAAGTAAAAGATGAGAATGAGTTTCTTACTGAACAACTTTCTGAAACACAAATTAAATTCAATGCCTTAAAAGATAAGTTCCGTAAGACAAGAGATAGTCTCAGAAAAAAGTCATTGGCTTTAGAAACTGTACAAAACGACCTAAGCCAAACACAGCAGCAAACACAGGAAATGAAAGAGATGTATCAAAATGCAGAAGCTAAAGTGAATAATTCCACTGGAAAGTGGAACTGTGTAGAAGAGAGGATATGTCACCTCCAACGTGAAAATGCGTGGCTTGTACAGCAACTAGATGACGTTCATCAGAAAGAGGATCATAAAGAGATAGTAACTAATATCCAAAGAGGCTTTATTGAGAGTGGAAAGAAAGACCTCGTGCTAGAAGAGAAAAGTAAGAAGCTAATGAATGAATGTGATCATTTAAAAGAAAGTCTCTTTCAGTATGAGAGAGAGAAAACAGAAGGAGTAGTAAGTATCAAGGAAGATAAATATTTTCAAACTTCTAGAAAGACAATTTAAACATTTGGTTCTGGATACATGTTGAACTTAGTTGAATATAAAAATCTAGATTAAAAGTGTGTTTACCATACTGTATAATTCCATTTACATGAAGCATCCAGAAAAGATAAATGTATAGGGACAAAAAGTAGATTCATGTTTGCAAGGGGCTGGGGCTGGAAGCTGGTAGTGACTGCTAATGGGCATGAGGAATCTTACAGTGATGGAAATGCTCTAAAGTTGGATTGTAGAGATGGCTGCACAACTCAGTAAATGTACTAAAAATCTTTTAACTTAAAACAGATACATTCTATAGTATGTAAATTATATTTCAACAAAGCTGTTTTAATAAAAAAAGGAAAAATGTGTTTACTATATCGGCTTAGAAACATGCCTCATTTCTAGGAAATAAAAGATAGAGGTGAGAGATGATTTACTTTGAGAAAAGACATTGTGTCACCTATGAAATTTTATTAGGCACAGAGTCATATTTTAAGGTAGATAGTTCTGTATTGCTGAAATAGTAATTTTAATGTCTTTATGTTGCCACATGTTAAGACCATAATGTAGTTATAAATGGAAATGTTTACACCTGAAGTGAGTATTTTCAAATTAAAATTTAATTAAGTGATTTTCTTCGACACTTAATTCTAGATTCCCCAGATGAATTGAAGTGTATTGCTGTGTCTTGTAATACCTTGCTTTAACTAGCTTTTTATGTATTTTAGTTGGTATAGCTTTGTTATTATTCATATTAACAAATCTGAAAATATGTCAAATTACGTGTTTTTATGACCATGTAATGTTTTAAAGGCACCTACTTGTTATAAAATCATAATTTAGGATAAATGTGGTAAAACTTAGCAAAACTATATTTGGTTTAGTTTTCCCACTGGTATTTATAGTTTACTTTGAATATTTATATTAATAATTAGCTCATAATTTTTATTGCAAGGCTCAATGACTGTCATTGGAATATAATTTTGTTCAGTACAAAGATACTTGTAGCTGTCTGTGATTTACGAGTTAGGCACTACATCTCCATTTTCAGACTGAGGGGTGGCAGGCTTCACATACAGTGGGAATGGAGTAATTACAGGAGGGAGTTGTAGGAGCTTTGAAGTCAGAGAGGGAGGTAGAGGCCTTTTTACCTAGGGCCTCAAAGGCCATTGGAATTTTACTTTTATTCTGAGATAGGAATCTGTTGGAAGGATTTGAACAGGTGATTGAATATGTTAGGAACTTTGAGGCTGAGTTGAGCTTCTGAGATGATTGAATGTTGGAATGAATCTGTTGTGTAAGTAAGAGAATACCAATTTGGCAGGAAGAGAACATATTCTGCATCCCTCACTGAATTCAGTAATAAATAAAAATGTGTACATGTGATTAAAAGAAGGTGAATTGATATGTGTGGTGATAATTTTCAAAGTAGATATGTTAGAATTAAACATTATTAACATAATTTAATAAGGCAGTTTATAAAATCAGTAACAAATATTTTATCAGGTGGTTGTGAGACAACTTCAACAAGAAGTGGCTGACAGCGTAAAAAAATTAACGACGTTAGAGTCTCCACTGGAAGGTATATCACGTTGTCACATTAATTTGGATGAGACACAGGCCTCAAATAAGAAATTATTTCAAGTGAAAAGTCAAATATGTATGGAATTTAACATGTCAACAGTTATTCTGTAGCTAGTTGAATTATATAACGTGTTTTAGGATACTAATTTTGGCAGAAGCTTGATTTTTTATTTTCATTATAATGAATGATTTCCATTTTACTATCTTTATAATGTACTATTTTTTTATATTGTGACTTTCATTATACCATTTTGAAAAACCATTGCATACCTTTTCTCTTACAATATGTACCCTTGGAAAAGTTGAGAATTATACATCATTCCTCATAGAAAATTGACTTTTTTCCTGTTAAACAGTATTTTTAAGTAATTTGTGTATTGCTCTGATGAGGCAAGCCAGATTAAATCAGAGGAGAATGTTTCATGGAATGTTCCAGAAAATTGTCTTATTTCTTCACTTTTGTGAATGGACACAGAATCTGTGTCTATTTGTTTCACAGATTCTAGGTTAACTTGTACAGAAAGGCCATTATACTATTCTTTGAAATGTGCATGTTTTAGGTTAATTTACAAACTATTTGAAAAGTTAGGCATTTTCTTTATCTTTTATTTAAAATATACTGTAAAACTGTAGAAATATTTAGATTTGATATAGCATGTACATCAAAAATTAAGAGTTGAGAAAATTATCTTGATCCTGCCTTTGGATTTTAAAAAGATTCACTGAGATGTCATTCACATATCAGACAGTTCAACCATTTAAAATGTACAACTCAGTGTCTATTAGTATGTTCACAGCATTTTCGTCACCCTGAAAAGTGACCCCACATCTCCTAGGCATGACTGCAGCCTTCCTCCATGTCCCTCCACCTACCCCTGTTGTAGGCAACCACCGTCTACTTTTGTCTCCATATGTTTGCCTGTTCTGCATATTTCATATACATAGAGTTATACAATATGTAGTCCTTTGTGACTGGCTTTTTCACTTAGCATAATGTTTTCAGAATTCATGCATGTTTTAGCACACATTCGTAGTTTATTTCTTCTTATAGTTAAATGATATTCTATTCCATGGCTATACTGGTTTTCCATTCGTTCATCAGTTGATGGACCTTTAGGTTAGTTTCCACTTTTTAGCTATTATGAAAAATGCTGCTGTGAACATTCACTTACAGGTTATTATGTGGACACGGGTTTTTATTTCCCTGCCATTGGACTTTATCCTCAGAGTTAATTGGGCAGATTTCAGCACTTGTCTTGCTCATGCTATTCTTTCTGCCTTCTCAGTTTCTGTTCATCTAGCCTCATTCATTCAGACCTGGCAGACAATTTTTTTGTTTTCATGAAGCTTTCTCTGACTGTTCTGTCATTGACCTTATGTGTTAGCAATCGTTGTCTAGTCTGTGCTGAAAAACTTAGTCCTTAATTTTACATGGCTTTTATTTTTTTATGGAAGATAATTTTCTCTCATTATAAATTTGCTTAATGGGGGAATAATATATAATGTGTATGCCACCTATCCTTGCATACATTGAAAATATTTTAGCTTAGAAGTTTGTAGCATACAATTCAATCATTTATACCATACCAATTATTTCTTCTTTGAGACCTTGACACAGTAAGGTTATATTCTAAATATATTTTTAGCAATTAAATATCAAATCTAACCCAATTAGTCTAACACAGGAGATGCGTTCAATCACGTGTTTATGTTTTTCTCTCTATGAAAAAGAATATAAATTGGCCTTTTTTCACTATGCAGCCATTACTGTGTTTCTGGACTGCTCCCAGTCTGTCAGCTGAACAGTTCTGGGTGCAGCTTGTCTGATGAAGGATAGCACAGCCCCTCAATCTGAGTGCTCAGCAGAGTGCTTGTGAAGGCAGCACCACAGCAACAGTTGCTCAGAGGGAACGGATTCAGGAGCCTTGACTTAGCAATAGAGTCCAGGGTTTTCAGCTCAGTGTCTTTAGCCTGTCTCTGCTGGTCATGTCAGTTACGTACTATTCCATCCAGGAGGTGCTATTTACATTGTAGTACATACACAGTCATTGCCTAATGAGTCATACAGAGAGAAAAGTAAGTTATAAATTATGTCCCCCATTTGCTGCAACTCTCAGTGTTAAGAATGATTCAGTGCAGCTATAGGAGACTACTTCCATTGGCATGCCACCTGCGTAAATACACAATTTTGTTAAGATATACAATAAAATTATTATGCTAATAGCAAATATTTTATGTAGCTCACTATGTTCCATGTAGTCTTCTAAGTGCTTCATGTTAGTCCCCATTTAAACACCTGGTTTTGGAAGGCTGAGGCAGGAGGATTGCTTGAGCCCAGGAGTTTGAGACCAGCCAGAGCAATATAGTGAGACTCTGTCTCTAAAAAAAAAAAAAAATTTTTTTAAACACTTAGCTGAGGCATGGTGGTGCATGCCTGTAGTCCCAGCTACATTGGGAGGCTGTGGTAGGAGGGTTGTTTGAGCTTGGAATATTGAGGCTGCAGTGAGCAGTGATCAAGCCACTGCACTCCAGCCTAGGTAGCAGAGGGAGACTCTGTCTCATAAATAAATCATGTTGTATAGATTCCCATAGAAGTGAGTTAGACATCAGGCATAGAATTATTAGCCGCTTTGATGTCTGCCTTGGGAGTAAAACACATAATAAGGGGCAGCTTTAAACCATCTCAATCAATAGCCTCTAACTTCTCCAGAAGGTTCTTATTTCATGAATTTCTAAGCAAGGGACTACCTGGATTAAGACATTTGGTAGACACCATTTTGAGATGAAGAATCTTGAATGGGAAGAAGGGAGATCTCTACTTACTGAAGCTTCCCGATGACATAGTTGAGTGTCCCCCAAAAGGAACTTTAGAACAAGATGTTCATCATGCCATATCTCTATGGAAAAGGAAATTATTTAAAAGAAAACAAAGGCAAACAATTGATAATCTGATTCTCATGGGAAAGTTTTCATTATCAAAGAAAAAGAGGGCTGGGTTCCATGGCTCACATCTGTAATCCCAACACTTTGGGAGGCTGAGAGGGGTGGATTACCTGAGGTCAGGAGTTCAAAAACAGCCTGGCCAACATGGTGAAACCCTGTCTCTACTGAAAATACAAAAATTAGCCAGGCGTGGTGGTGTGCACCTGTAGTCCCAGCTACTTGCCAGGCAGAGGCAGGAGAATCACTTGAACCCAGGAGGTAGAAGTTGCAGTAAGCTGAGATGGCACCACTGCACTCCAGCCTGGATGACACAGTGTGACTCCATCTCAAAAAAAGAAAAGGACAAAGTATATTGGTCCAAAAAAGAAGAAAGAATGAAAAAAAGGACAAAGTATACTGGTTAGTATCGTAACAGTGAGATAGTCCCCCTTTGAGATTAGAAAATAACAGTATACTCAAAGTAACATCAATAAGAACCAACATAAAATAGACAAGATTCACTATCTACAAAAGTAATCTGCACCAAGTAGCAATGTATGAGCATGTGGTGGAGAATATTGTCTATAATATGTGTACTAGAAGGAAGAGACCTCAAGAAAAAGGTCAGAGCTGGAAATGTAGATTAGGGAATCTAGGTCAAAGTTTTGAGATTTTAGGAGTCCTGAGAGAATTTAAAAAGCTAAATAGCCACCGGGCGTAGTGGCCACACCCGTAATCCCAGCACTTTGGGAGGCCAAGGCAGGCAGATCATGAGGTCAGGAGTTCAAGACCAGTCTGACCAACATAGTGAAACCCCGTCTCTACTAAGAATACAAAAAATTAGCTGGGTGTGGTAGCACATGCCTGTAATCCTAGCTACTTGGGAGGCTGAGGCAGGAGAATCGCTTGAATCCAGGAGGTGGAGGTTGTGGTGAGCCGAGATCATGCCACTGCACTCCAACCTGGGTGACAGTGGGAGACTCCATCTCAAAACAAAAAACAAAAACAAAACAAAAAACCAGAAAAGGATAGGGCTGAAGAACAGAGGTCACTGCATTTAGAAAGGAAGTGGGGTCAGAGGAGCAGAGGGAGCATTTGGTCACTGCTCTGCTGAGTAAAGCAGGATAAAGTCCTTCATGACCGTTGGACTTTTTTATTGGAATTATTAAAAATCAGATTTCAGTATAAAAAACACAATAATTGATGAAAAAAGATTTCTGAATGAAACCATGTGTCATAGAGTCCAATGGAAGGGGAGAAACAGGATAATAGAAAAGCCACAAAAAGTAGACGAAAGTTGTTTTTGTTTATTGTAGAAAAAATAAACTTTATTTAAAGAGAAATGGTTAAGAGAAAGGGAAAAACTGAAACCTATGGGTGAATACTTAGAATGACAGTATTTAGCTCAGCCTGAAGACAGATGAGGATGAAAAATGTAATGGGAACTAGATAAGAGTTTTCTAAAATTTGTCTTAGTAAGATGTAATTTAAGAGAACTTGGAATATCTTAAACTGTTAAAAACAATATTTCTAGAGCATCTTTAAAAACTAAAATGTAAATATAACTACTCTTTTTTTTTTTAACTAACCCTTAGTATTTTGTGTGTAAAAACCCTCATTTGTAACAAACATTGTTGGCAGTTTAAATTTCAGAAAAGATAATGATGAAAATTTGAATCATTTTTAGCAGTTTTAAGAAAAGTGACTATTATTGAAATCTGACCTTATTGGCATCAGGTTTATAAAATGCACTTTATACACCTGCATAAATACGTATTACTAATCCACTTATGAGAAATAATATTTTTGAGATAAAAGAGGGTCTCCAGATTTTACAAAAATAATTTTAAACACTTTTTTTAAGCCTAAAAAAGAAAATGAAGAATTAAGAAAACTTTTTGAGTTAATATCATCACTGAAGTATAATGTGAATCGAATAAGAAAGAAAAATGATGAATTAGAAGAAGAGGCAACTGGGTATGGTTTTCATATTGTAGAACATGTTAGCCATTTATTAATTGATTTAACTCTAATTTTACTTGACTAAAACCTAGATACAAATTCATTTTATGTTTGCATTTTCATAATTAAATGAATTCTGTTTTAAAATGTATTTCAGAAACTCACAGCACAACTTTTTAGACGTGTGTCATGGGGGTGGGAGTCAGCTGAGCTGCTGGGGCAAGGTGAAATTTTTTTTGAATGCCAAAATATTCTTTTTTTTTTTTTTTTTTTTTTTTTTTGAGAAAAAGTCTGGCTTTGTTTCCCAGACTGGAGTACAATGGCGCGGTCTTGGCTCACTGCAACCTATGCCTCCAAGCAATTTTCCTGCCTCAGCCTCCTGAGTAGCTGGCATTACAGGCATGTGCCACCACACCCGGCTAATTTTTGTATTTTTATTAGAGACGGGGTTTTGCCAAGTTGGTCAGGCTGGTCTCGAATTCCTGACCTCGTGATCTGCCCGCCTCGGCCTCCCAAAGTGACATGAGCCACCATGCCCAGCCACTTATTCTTTAATGATTTTGAAAACAATGACCACGCCTTGGACATTTAATGTCCAGTGCACTCTTCATTATCTGGTTTGAATTTTTATTTCTGAAGATATTTTTTTGCTGTCTGTGGTCATTTTTTCTTCCTTTTGTAGTATCCTCTGCTGCATTCAAATTGTTTAAAGAAGACCTGTTTGTGTCATTCTTTAACATCAAATTTATCTTGATATGTAGCTTATATTTTGTTTCTGCTTTTTCTTTTAGATATAAAACGTGGAAATTTACTCATTGTACATGAGTACCTCTGTTGTATACATGAAGTATACATGTTATTAAACTTGTTTTACATAAATAAATTTCATATATATAAAAATATACGTATAACTTAAAGAAAAAGTAAAATGAACATTCATGTTTTGATCACAGATTTTTTTTAAAACAATGGAATCTGTCTTTGAAGCCCTGAACACAGCTACTTTTCTATTTATTTACTGAGCACTTAATTTGGTTTTCTGATTAGAATCAACATTTTTCTGTCATTGCTTTTCTCTACATGGTTTTGTATCTCTTTCATTTTGTTGACATTATGTCAGCAAAGATGTCTAGATCTCTTCTTCAAAGTCTTTAAATCGTCACACATCTCTCTGCCCCTTTCCTTTTTTCTAAAACTGCCTGTATCCTTTTTCTCCTCAACTCAGATATTAAAGATGTTTTCTTCTCTTTTTCTACATTGAATGATCTCCTTGATGCTTTTTGTGTGTACTTTTTTTTCTTCTGATAGACTGTGGTCAGTGGGTATCAAAATGTACTTTTGTGTCTTTTTAAATGTATGTGTTTTACTTTTTTATCTTGGTTACTCATCTCTGGGTTATGGCTTATATTTAGTAATACGTTATTTTACTTAGCATACCAACATGGATATCAGTAGTTTATTTACAAAAAGTGTATGGTTAGGCCAGGTGTGGTGGCTCACACCTGTAATCCCAGCACTTTGGGAGGCCAATGTGGGTGGATCATTTGAGGTCAAGAGTTCAAGACCAGTCTGACCAGTGAAACCCCGTCTCTACTAAAAATACAAAATGAGCCAGGCGTGGTGGTACACACCTGTAATCCCAGCCACTTGGGAGGCTGAGACAGGTGAATCACTTGAGTCCAGGAGGCAGAGGTTGCAGTGAGCTGAGACCACACCACTGCACTTTGGCCTGGGCAACAAGAGTGAAATTCCATCTCAAAACAAAACAAAAAACAAAACAAAAACACTGTATGGCTATAATATCACTTTACCTGCCATATATGCCATAAAATTGTTCTTCATATTATTTATCTAAGATTATAATTTCATATAGAATGCTTTCAAACTATGTTCAGTTGAAACTGAAAGTAACATAGTTTATAGATTTGTTTCTTTGATATGCCATAACAGATGTTTAAACAATTATTAAATATTTACTCTTAAAAATACTTGACTTACTAATTCTGTACATTTCTGCAGATATAAGAAACTCCTGGAAATGACAATAAATATGTTAAATGTATTTGGAAATGAAGACTTTGATTGCCATGGAGACTTAAAAACAGATCAACTGAAAATGGATATTCTGATTAAGAAGCTAAAACAGAAGGTAATTTAAAAAAATTATTTTATCTTAAGGTCTAGATTACATGTGTGAGACGTGCAGGTTTGTTATATAGGTAAACGTGTGTCATGTTGGTTTGCTGCACCTATCAATCCATCACCTAGATATTAAGCCCTGCAGGCATTAGCTATTGATCTTGATGCTCTCCCTCCTGATCCTAACAGGCCCCAGTGTTTGTTGTTCCCCTCCCCGAGTCCATGTGTTCTCATCATTCAGCTCCCACTTCTAAGTGAGAAGATGCAGTGTTTGTTTTTTTCTTCCTGCATTAGTTTGCTGAAGATATCAGCTTTGAGCTCATCCATATCCCTGCAAAAAGCATGATCTCATTCATTTTTATGGCTCCATAGTATTCCATGATGTATATGTACCACATTTTCTTTATCCCGTCTATCACTGATGGACATCTGGGTTGATTCCATGGCTTTACTGTTGTGAATAGTGCTGCAATGAACATACAAATGCATGTATCTTTATAATAGAATAATTTATATTCCAACGTATGGTAATTTTAAATCAGTTTTGGTATTAAAAATCATGTAATTTTGGAAAATATTGATAATGGAAAAACCCAAATTCTGCCAAAATATGTTGAGAAAATAGAGGGTAAATATATCTTTTCAGACTTTGAATGCCTCAGGCTCTTAGTTAATCTTCCCCAGATCTGGGAAGACCTAGAAGGGGAGAGATTGGGCTACATTAATGAGGACCATTTCAATCTCTTGGCCCTGCAGCAGCCATTTCAAAATATGACAAAAAATATATTTTGGGGTAAAATATTTTGATTTCCTTCAGCTTCTTCTCTCTGTGATGCTGCACCAGAATCAGGTTAGAAAGGAAGCCACATTATAAGAGTTAATAAAACCCATCTGATGAGATTTGATAGTTTGAAGGGTGTGATTCCCAGACCCTTTAGATAGAAATTGGGGCCAAGGAAAACAAGGTCTTATTCCTCAATATAAATCTGTCAGTGCTTTAAGCAGTGAAAGATTTTTCATTTAATTTTACAGACTTGAAACTAATGAAAAGGATAGCTTTTAAAATATCAATCTCTTTTTCTATGAAAAGGACATGCTGTTGATTCTCTTAGGCCTTGAACCCTGGCCAGTGATCTGAAACCAAGCAGTACCTGTCTCCAGATCACTACTACCAAAATCACTAGTACCAAATTAATTTGGGGTGGGGGGTAACAGGTTTATTGAGAAATAATGAACACACCATGCAATTCACTCATTTAAAATATACAATTTATTAACTTCAGTATTTTCAGAGAGTTATGCAGTCATCATTACAATCAATTGTAGAACATTTTCATCACCCTAAAAGCAAACCCCACATCATTTAGCTATCTTCACTAGTTTTCCCTTCCTCCCTCAGCCCTAGGTAACCACCCACCTTCTTTGTATAGATTTGCCTATAAGCCTCTGAAATGAAAAGCAAGTGGTCTACTGTGACTGGCTTATTTCACTTAGCATAATTTTCCATGCTGCATCTGTGTTGCAGCAGGTATTGATGCAGGGTTTTTGCTCCTTAGTTCAGCTCAATCTGGTTTCTTCTCTCATGACCAGGAAAAATTAAGCACACAGACACATTGAAGGGTGAGGAGGACAGAATTTATTAAGTGAAAGGAAAGCTCTCAGCAAAGAGGGGCGTCCTGCAAACAGGTTTCCACCTCACAATTGAATACCAGGAGCACAGGAGCTGAAGCGGCCAGGCTCCTGCTCTGCATAAGGCGTGAATTCCTGGTGACTCCACCCCATCCCCCCAGTGCTTGTGGGCCTCGGGTCTGCTGCCGGCATGTCCAGGCAAGACAAGTCCAGGTTCCCTTATCTGCACATAACGTCTGGTGTAAACACTTGTGAGGCTTGTTGGGGATTCTCCGGGGACCCTTCCTTATCTGCCTAGGCATTTTGCTGTCTCCTCCTAATACAGTATCAGTACTTAGTTTCTTCTTATTGCTGAGTGATATTCCATTGTATGGATACATCAAACAGTTTATTTATCCATTCACCAGGTGATGGACCTTTGGGTTCTTTCCCACCCAAAGGTGATGGACATTTTGGTTCTTTCCACTTTTCACTCTTATTAATAATGCTGCTGTAAACATTTACGTATGAGTTTTTGTGCTTGCATATGTTTTTGATTTTCTGGAGTATATACTCATGACTGGAATTTCTGGGTCATATGGTAACTTCATGCTTAACCTTTTGAGGAGCTGCCAGTTTGTTTTCCAAAGTGGCTGCACCACTTTACATCCCCAGCAGCATTGGATAAGGGCTTTAATTTCTTTACATTTTTCCTAACACTTATTTTCTCTTTTTTATTGAATAAAGGTTTCATCCTGTGGTGTGAAGTGATACCACACGTGGTTTTGATTTACTTTTTCCTAATGACTAATTACATTAAGCATCTATTAATGTGCTTATTATCCATCTTTATATCTTCTTTGCAAATATATCTATTCAAAATCTTTGCCCATTTTTTAAATTGGGTTATCTTGTTATTTATGAATTGCAAAGGTTCTTTATATATCCTACATATGTAAGTCCCTTATCAGATACATGCTTTTCAAATACTTTCTTCTACTCAGTATCTTACCTTTTCACTTCTTGATACTGTCTTCTCAAGCACAGCAGTTTTCAATTTTGAAGTTCATTGAATCCATTTTTCCTTTGGAGTCATAGCTAAGAAAACACTGCCAAATGCAGTCACAAAGATTTATGCCAGGGTTTTCTTCGTACTTTATTTATTTTTTGCATGTGGATATCCAGTTGTCGCAGCACCATTTGTTGAAAAGACTATTCTTTTCCCATTCTGTTCTTTTGTTAACCTTGTATAAAATCAATTGACTGTAAATGTGCAGGTTTATTTGTAGATTATCAATTCTTAGTTTGTTTATATCTATTCTTATGCCAAGGCCAAATTGAATTTAATGAGAAGATTTTTTCAAGCATGTTGCATATTACCAGTTGTCTTATATCATAATAAAAATTAAATTTAGTGGAATATCTTTAACTTCACCTTTTGTGCCTCAAAGGAATCTCTGGCCAGCTTATACCTTACTTACTCTAAGACATGATGGCAAGTCAGGCTTACAAGACACTCTTTCTTTTTTTCTCTATTCAAACCTTTAGTCTCTTTTCCATTGCCTCCCTCTATAGTTATATTTTCAGTAAGTTTTCATCACAGGATCTGCTGATGTAGTCTAATATTTAGTGTATTATGTTTTGCTAACTCATTATAATTCATAGAATCTTCCATAGATGTTTACCATCCAGGAAGGAGAAGTCTGAGCTGCCAGCTTTCCTCAGTGGAAATCATGTGAAGTCATCATGTTGTAGTTCGCAGATCCTCTTTCCACCTGGTAGCTGGTTCTCTTGGGTAGCTCTGCATCTAATCCTTTACTTGGTGCAGATCTTGCATTCTCAGAAACCACAGTTCCCTGTATTGACCTCCTTTTACTGAAACAGAGATGCACAGCTCTGCTTTCTAGCTCAGTAGAGGATTCTTGGGATATAAAGTTTAACTCATTCCAAGAAAAAGTCTTAGGAGTGCAGCACTTCAAAATCAGGTAATGTTCAGGCAATTTATCAGAGACAAATAGTAGATTAGTATTTTGACTTTTGAAATTTCGGAGCCAAGTTGTGTGCTGTAGAGAAGCATTGTGGTATAATACAGAGATGGGATGGTCTTAACTTCTCCATACAAACAAGCTTGAAGTAAGATAAAGGAGAAATTGCATTTGATGTCTTAACACTCAAAGCATATTGTGCTTATTTTACTTCTGTGAAGACTAAAAATCATTCCATAATGTTCTCCTTATTTCCTCATTGAGAAAAGGAAAATGAAAATTGAATACTAGATTGATTAATAAATACTCAAAGCTTATTCTTTTAGAATTTTCATTAACTGAAATCAGGCAAATGTCTGATTTTGGTTATCTAACCAAGTATTTCTAGTTGTTTTTCAAATCATACTTCTTCTTTCTTTGCAGTCTTATTTCCTAACTTGAGGGGAAATTGTAAGGAGACACCCTTGCCTTGTTATCAGAGTTCATAATTGAAGGGGGTTTTAGGAAATGTTCCTCCTCAGCAGCTTATGTCTCTCTCCTGGTTATCTACTGCTTCTCAATAATGTTTGCCATCAATAAATTAATCTCAACATTTATTAGATCCTACTTTAAAGGAGACTCTTTTCTCTGCATAAGTTATGTTTCCTGTTGTCTCTTTTTAAAACTTATTTTTCTAACAATTATCCAGGTTTTTGTGGCTTAAAAGAAAAACATTTATTTTGTTCATGAACCTATGGTTTGAAAAAAGCTTAGCCAGGACAGGTCATCTCTGCTCCCCTCAGCTTCCCTAGGAATAGCTGATCAGTTGGGGAAATGGAATCCTCTGAAGCTTTGCTCACCCATGTGTTTGATGGTTGATGCTGGCCATTGGCTGGAACCTTGGTTGGAGCAGGCAGCATGAATATTGACACTGACACTCCCAGGCTGTCTCTCTGGCCTGATCTCACTCACAATCTGGGGGCTGAGTTCAAAGGGAAAGCAGTCTGAGATAGGGAAGCCACATGATATCCCTTTTACTGCATTCTATTCATTAGAAGGAAGTCAGTAAGGATTGCCCATATTCTGTTTTTTTAATGGGATAAATATAGCTTCTCTTTTGTTTTAATTGACATGTATATACATAATTTTGGCCAATAGAGTGATATTTTGATACATGTATATAGTGTGTAATGATCGAGCTAACTAGCACATTTACTACTTCAACCATTTTTCATTTTTTGAATTGTGAACATTCAAAATCTTCTGCCTTTTTAAAAATATACAATAAATCATAGTTAACCATATTCACCCTACAATGCCACAGAACACCAGAACTCATTCCTCTTATCTAACTGTAATTCGGTATCCATTAACCATCCTCCCCTCCCCTACCTCTGTGAGCTTTTTTGTTGTTGTTAAGAGACAGGGCCTTGCTAGTCCAGTCTGGGCTCTGGGCATCTGTAGTCACCCAGACTAGAGACAGTGGCTTGATCATAGCTCACTGCAGCCTCAAACTCTTGGGCTCATGTGATCCTCTGACCTCACCCTCCTGAGCAGCTAGGATTATGGGCATGCACCATTGCACCTGTCTGATTTTTGACTTTGTAGAGCTATCTACCTATGTTGTCCAGGGTGCTCTGGAACTTTGGCCTCAAGTGATTCTCCTGCCTTGGTCTTTCAAAGTGCTAGGAAATTACAGGCAATAGCCATGTTGCCCAGCCCTCAGTTTTTCTTTAGCTCCCACATATGAGTGAGAATGTGCAGTGTTTATCTTTCTGTGTCTGCACTTAACATACCATCCCTCAGACTGATCCACATGGCCACGAATAACAGGATTGAATTCCTTTATACGGTGAATAGTATTCTACTGTGTTTGTGTGCCACAGTTTTTTGTCCATTCATTTGGTTATGGACATGCAGGTTGATTCCATACATCAGCTATTGTGAATAGTGCTACAATAAACATACGAGTACAGGTATCTTTTTGATCTATTGTTTTCTTTTCTATTGCCTGAATACCCAATAGTGGGTTTGCCGGATCCCTTGGCAGTCCCATTATTAGCTTTTTGAGAAAACCTCATGTTGTTTTCTATAGTGGCTGCACTAATTTACCTTCCCACCAACAGCATGTTAGAGTTTACTGTTCTCTGGAACCTCACCAGCATATGTTATTTTTTTGTCTTTTCAATGATAGCAATTTATTCAAATTGAAGCAAGATTGTATCACATTGAAGATTTGATTTTTATTTCCCTGAGGATTAGTGATACTGAGCGTTTTTAAATTTATTTATTGGCTATTTGTATTTCTTTTTTCTAAAGAAAAGTATAGTTAGATATTTTGCCCAATTTTGAACCCAGATTTTTTTTTACTGTCAAGTTTTTTGAGTTTCTTGTATATTTTGGATACTAGTCCCTTATTAGATGAATAGTTGACAATATTTTCTCCCATTCCACTGGTTTTCTCTTCACTCAGTTTGCTGGGCAGAAGCTCTTTATCTTAATGTAATACCATTTGTCTATCATTTGGTTTTTGCCTATGCTTCTGATGTCTTACCCATAAAAATCTTTGTGCAGACTAATGTCCTCAAGCATTTTTCCTCCATTTACTTAGAGTGGTTTCATAATTTTAGGCCTTAAATGTCAGTCTTCAATCAATTCTGAGTTTATTTCATTATGTGCTGTTACATAGGAAGCTAGTATCATTCTTCTCCATATGGATATTTAGTTTTCCCAGTGCCATTCATTTGAAGAGACTGTCCTTCCCCCAGTGTATGTTCTTGGCACCTTTGTCCAAAATCAGTTGGCTGTAAATATGTGGATTTATTTCTGGGTGTGTATTCTATGGCCTTTACCCCAAGAATCATTACTTCGTAAAATGCAATTCAAATTAGCATGAAACATTTGCAGTTTAAGGAAAGGCTTATGGCATCAGAATCCTTATTTACAGGATTCATTATTTTGTGTTTTTTTGAGATATGGTCTTTGTCTGTCATCCAGGCAGAAGTGCGGTGATGTGGTCATAATTCACTGCAGCCCTGAACTCTGGGTACAAGCCATCCTTTTGCCTCAGTCTCCCAACTAGCTGGGTCTAGAGGCATGAGCCACCATGCCAAGCTAATTTAAAAAAAAAATTTTGTAGACATGGGGGTCTCACTATGTTGCTCTGGCTGATCTCAAATTCTGGCCTCAAGTGATCATTCTGGCACAGGCTTTTAAATTGCTACAATTACAGGAATGAGCCACCATGCCTAGTATAGAGTGTTATATTATTTTCAAAGTCTTATTCTGAGAGCCATTTATTGACTTTGGCCTAAATAACTCAATATGATATCTCTGAAACTTTTTTTTGACATATTATGGGGAATGATAATGAGGGAAGGTGGTTAGACACTTTTTACTAAGAGATAACTTAGTGCCATCTAAGGAGGAACAAAAATGAATTATCAGAAAAATAAAAGTAAGATGAAGTGCAAAAATTCTGTGGCAAAGATGATGATAGCAAATAATATATTTTTGTGACTCATGGTAGCTTTAACTTTGTTCTTAAAATTCTGAGTAATTTAAGGGTTCACATTTGAAGAATCCACTGCATTACGGATAACATTTTATTGCAAGTAAATGCATTTCAAAATTTGCTATTGGTTTTGTATTAGATTATTCTCAGCCTACTTCATTATCAAGCTATATTATTTTATTCATGCAGTTTGATGATCTTACGGCAGAGAAGGAAGCTTTATCTTCAAAATGTGTCAATTTGGCTAAAGACAATCAAGTTCTTCAACAGGAGTTTTTATCTATGAAAAAAGTACAACAGCAATGTGAGAAACTTGAGGAGGATAAAAAGATGTTGAAAGAAGAAATATTAAATCTTAAGACACATATGGAAAACAATAGGGTAGAACTTAGTAAACTACAAGAATATAAATTGGAGCTAGATGAAAAGGCAGTGCAGGCAGTAGAAAAATTAGAAGAAATCCATTTACAGGTTAGTTTTTTAAATCAGGTAAGTTTATCTGTAATGTGCTTTCATTTATTTCACCGCAAATTATATTTTGGATATGTATATATTATGTTTCCTCTGCCTCTCTTGTAGCAATTTGCTTTGTAGAGTTCTAGAAAAAAAATGGCATCTGTTTTTTCTTTTAAATATTTACATTTCCATTATTATTATAACAAAATCAATCTTTCAGAGTAATGATTCTCACTGTGGAGTCATTTGATGATTAAGATCAGTTGGCATAAGAAACAATTGTGATTTCAAAATTATGTGATACTTTTGAATTGGTCTTAAGCTACATTGTTCATTAATCACTTTTTAAAATTATGAATGGATTCTATTACTTTTTATATGACCAGATTACATTAATACTAACATAATTATGATTTCAAATTTTTATAAATCAGACAATTCTGAATTCAGTTATTAGTTTTGAACTTGCTGATAAATATTTTAAGCTTCAGCCTCTTTTACTAACATATTCACAATTGCTCTTTGAATCACTGACTCAAAATGAAAGGCAACAAACATATAATAATTAGGTTATAATTGTTTTAAAAGTGTATTCTTTTCCTTTGTTTTAGGAACAAGCACAATATGAAAAACAATTAGAGCAGTTAAACAAGGATAATATGGCTTCACTAAATAAAAAGGAACTCACACTTAAAGATGTGGAATGTAAATTCTCAGAAATGAAAACTGCTTATGAAGAGGTTACAACCGAATTAGAAGAATATAAGGAAGCCTTTGCAGCAGCATTGAAAGCTAACAATTCCATGTCAAAAAAATTAACAAAGTAAGTCAAAACATACACTCATAGAAAATGAATTAAGCTCATTAATTTGTTTTGAAAGCATAATTTTTAGTGAGATGGCTTCAGGAGATTAGTAGGAAGTGAATGCTAATCTAATAATGTAATTTCAGAAAATAATGTTAGTAAATAATCTTACCTTTAAAATGTTAGTCAAGGATAGTTTCTGTCCCATTTCTTTCTCTCTCTCTCTCTTTTTTTTTTTGCTTTTGTATGGCTTTTTTCCCCTGAAAAGTCTCATGTAGTTAACCTGATCTGTTAGTTTTTGTCACTAAGTACTTTCGAAGCTTTATAATTAATAATGTGATCTTGTTATAAAATTGCTTGTCAGAATTTTCCTAAATAGAAATATTAATGAGTTTAATTTATTTTTTGGTAGATCACAACCTAAACCCAAAGTTTCAAGTGGTACTGCTACTCCGGGCACAATCATTTTTGATTGTGATCTTTAGTATTATCACTAGAGCGTGCCTCAAGAAAGACTATTTGTGTAACATTTTCAAGATGTTACAGAAAGGCATCCTTGTGAAATAGGGAATAATTATCAAGGAATTTAAAGAAGTGTAATTCACAAAGTGGTTAAAACATAACTAGAAATACCATTTGACCCAGCAATCCCATTACTGGGTGTATACCCAAAGGATTATAAACCATGCTGCTATAAAGACACATGCACACGTATGTTTATTGCAGCACTATTCACAATAGCAAAGACTTGGAAGCAACACAAATATCCAACAATGATAGACTGGATTAAGGAAATGTCGCACATATACACCATGGAATACTATGCAGCCATAACAAATAATGAGTTCATGTCCTTTGTAGGGACATGGATGGAGCTGGAAACCATCATTCTCAGCAAACTATCGCAAGGACAAAAAACCAAACACTGTATGTTCTCACTCATAGGTGGGAATTGAACAATGAGAACACATGGACACAGGAAGGGGGGAACATCACACACCGGGGCCTGTCGTGGGGTGGGGGGATGGGGGAGGGATAACATTTGGAGATATACCTAATGTTAAATGATGAGTTACTGGGTGCAGCACACCAACATGGCACAGGTATACATATGTAACTAACCTGCACGTTGTGCACATGTACCCTAAAACTTAAAGTATAAAAAAAAAAAAACTTGTTCAGCCTGAAGGGGTGTGTGGAAGGCAGAAGGAAAAAGCCCCACCTCCAGTGCCTTGGTCACAGTGCTGGGCGCTAATTGCCTTCAGACATGCTTTAGTTCTTTTTGATCACCAACCAGCCAATCTAGTTCTCCCCCAGGAGTTGTTGTTCTGAATTATTCCTCAGTGCCAAATGCTTAATTGTTCCTAGATAATGGGTGAAATGCACAAGGGTGAAACCTAAAATTTGTTTGCTAAACACAAGTATTCCTAAATTTTTTTGTTGTTGTTCATTTTAGTTTTCTTAACCTACATTAAGGAGTACAACATGATGTTTTGATACAATTATTTCTAGTGAAGTGGTTCTTATAATCAAGCAAATCAACATATTCTTTTCTCACATTGTTACCCTTTAAATATGAGTATTTCTAATGGAATCTTCAGAATCTCACAAGTAGAGCCCTTTTAGAAGGCAGCAAGTGTTACCTGTCAAGCCATATATCACTGATAGCCATTTCTCTTCCCTGTCTACTTTGTTTGTACTGCTTGTTCAGTATAAATCACCTTAGAAACACAGGTGCTTCTTTAGAATGATTTTAAAATTATACTTGCTTACAACAGGTATGCTCTCACACATCTTCAGTGTGAAAACACTGTTTAGTGGATAATTTGGTTTGCTCTCAGGGCAAGTTTTTAAAAACTGCAAGTCATTAAGAATCATTAGAGGAAAAATGAAATACTAAGCGTGTGTCTTTGCTATCTTTACAGATCAAATAAGAAAATAGCAGTGATCAGCATGAAGCTCCTTATGGAGAAAGAGCAGATGAAATATTTTCTCAGTGCTCTTCCTACAAGGCGAGACCCAGAGTCACCTTGTGTTGAAAATCTTACTAGTATAGGACTCAACAGAAAATATATTCCCCAAACACCCATAAGAATTCCTATTTCAAGCCCACAGACTTCAAATAACTGCAAGAACTCCTAGACTGTGGTTAGTTACATGACCATTTCTCTTTTGGGTTTCATTTCTCTAATATAATTCTTGTTTTTAATTTGGTGAAATACTGAATTCTGTTGACTTATGCATGTTTTGTAAAGATCATAATTAGCTGTGTTAACACAGAAAGGAAATGGGAACTTTACATTTTTTAATTCCCTGGAGCTCTCATTTTCAAGAGATACCCGTTTACTAACTTTATTCCATAAATGTGACTAAACTGACACATTTAAAATGTCTTTAAAAGCTGCATTTAAGTTAGGTTTTAGAAATTGCATATTATTGCCTGATAACTGATGATATAGTTTGAGATGCTTTGGCTTACTCTCTAATTGATTATAGTTTAGCTGTGGTTCATACTGCCCCCCCTTTTTTTTAAATTGAGACAGTGTTTCACTCTATTGCCCAGGCTGGAGTGTTGTGGCACCATCTTGGCTCACTGCAACCTCCACCTCCCAGGTTCAAGCGATTTTCCTGCCTCAGCCTCCCAAGTAGCTGAGACTACAGGCACCTGCCATTACACCCAGCTAATGTTTGTATTTTTAGTAGAGACAGGGTTTCACCATATTGGCCAGGCTGTTCTCAAACTCCTGACCTTGTGATCTGCCTGCCTCAGCCTCCCAAAGTGCTGGGATAACAGGCATGAGCTACCACGTCCAGCCCATGTCACTTTTAAAGTTTCTTTGCACCAGCCAGGTGTGGTGGCTCATGTCTGTAATCCCAGCACTTCGGGAGGCTGAGGCAGGTGTGTCACAATGTCAGGAGTTCAAGACCAGCCTGGCCAAGATGGTGAAAGTACAAAAAGTAGAAAAAAAAAATTAGCCAGGTGTGGTGGAGAGCACCTGTAATCCCAGCTACTAGGGAGGCTGAGGCAGAGAATTGCTTGAACCCAGGAGGCGGAGGTTGCAGTGAGCCGAGATCGTGCCACTGAACTCCAGCCTGAGTGACAGGGTGAGACTTCATCTTGAATATAAAAAATTTAAAAAAAAGTTTATTTGCACCATCTCAACTCTTCCCACCCATAATCACAACTGAATGATTGGCATCCAAACAGTTTACCACATATAGATGTTTATTATTTAGTAGAATCCAAAATAATTGCATTTTATGAATTAAACAAAACACTAAAATGTTCATTTCCATTTTTATGTTCA
The DNA here is from genome assembly GCF_000001405.40 of Homo sapiens. NCBI lineage: Eukaryota > Metazoa > Chordata > Mammalia > Primates > Hominidae > Homo > Homo sapiens. Next base: position 66,090,532 of record NC_000009.12, on the reverse strand, counting down.
AAGCTTTGTGCTTGGCCAGGTGCCGTGGCTCACACTTACAATCCCAACATTTTGGGAGGCCGAGGCAGGTGGATCACCTGAGGTCAGGAGTTTGAGACCAGCCTGGCCAACATGATGAAACCCAACTCTACTAAAAATACAAAAATTAGCAAGGCATGTTGGCAGGCATGTGTAATCTCAGATACTTGGGAGGCTGAGGCGGGAGAGTCACTTGAACCCGGGAGACAGAGGTTGCAGTGAACCAAGATCATACCACTGCACTATATGGAGACTCTGTCTCAAAAAAAAAAAAAAAAGGTTTGTGCTTTTCTTACATAAGAGTACATCCTCTGACTATAAAAATCCTGGAAGAAAACCTAGGAAATACTCTTCTGGACTTCATACTTCTCAATTAATTTATGGCAAAGTCCTCAAAAGCAATTGCAAGAATAACAAAAATTGACAAGTATGATCTAATTAAGCTAAAGAGCTTCTGCACAGCATGAGAAACTATCACGGGATTAAACAGACAGCATAGAGAATGGAAGAAAATATTCACAAACTATGGATACAGCAAACGCCTATTATCCAGAATCCATAAGAGATCTAAACAAATCAACAAGCAAAAAATAAATAACACCATTAAAAATGGGCAAAGGACGTGAACAGACACTTCTCAAAATAACACATGTAAGTGGCCAACAAACATATTAACAAATGCTTACCATTGTTAATCATCAGAAAAGTGCCAAACAAAACATCAGTGAGATACTATTTCACACCAGTCAGAATAACTTTTGTTGAAAAGTAAAAAGAAAAAAAAAAAGATGTTGGGGAAGCAGTGGAGAAAAGGGAACACACACCGTTTGTGGCAATGTAAATTAATTCAGCTACTATGGAGAGCAGTTTGGAAATTAAGAACTAAGGATGACCGTTGGATGCAGCAATCCCATTACTATACTAGGGGTATACCTAAAGGACAATAAATCATTGTAATAAAAAGATGCTTGCACATGTGTGTTCATTGCAGCACTATTCAAAGCAGCAAAGACATGGAGTCAATCCAGGTGCATCCAAGGCAGATTGAAAATCCAAGGTAGATTGGAATGTTCCATACATACCATGGAATACTATGCAGCCAAGAAAAGAACAAAATCATGTCCTTTGCAGCAACATGGATACAGCTGGAATCCACTATCCTAAGCAAACTAACACAGAAACAGAAACCAAATATCTCATGTTTTCACTTATGTGGGAGCTACACATTGGGTGCACATTGTCATAAACCTGGGAACAATAGACACTGGGAAATAAGAACAGGGAGGGACAGAGTGGGCCAGGGTTGGAAAACTACTTATTGGGTCCTATGCTTACTACCTGTGTGATGGGTTCCACTGTACTCTAAACCTTGGCATCCCTCAATATTCTCTTGGAAGAAGCCTACACAGGTACCACCTTAATTTAGAATACAAACTAGAAAAAAACAAACAAAAAAAAAACAAGAAAAATTTACTATTAAAAAAGTTTACTATAAGTAGAGAATAGAAATTTCTTTTTAAGATAAAATTTATTGATGTAAAAAAATTGGATTAAACTTGTATAAAGGGCAGAGTTTTGCTAAGAATTTCAAAGCAATGCATTCATTGAAAAGATGACTTTAATTATTTAATTTTTTTTTTTTTTTTGAGACAAGGTCTCACTGTATCACCAGGCTGGAGTGCAGTGGTGCAATCTTGGCTCACTGCAACCTCCACCTCCTGGCTTCAAGCAATTCTCCTGCCTTAGCCTCCTGAGTAGCTGGGACTACAAGTGTGCACCACCATGCCCAGCTAATTTTTGTATTTTTAATAGAGACAGAGTTTCCCCATGTTGGCCAGGATGGTCTCGATCTCCTGACCTCATGATCTGCCTGCCTTGGCCTCCCCAAGTGCTGGGATTACAGGCATGAGTCACCACACCTGGCCATTGTTTAACCTTTGTACTAATAAAACACTACCTTTCTAAAATCATGTATATGCAGTAGACCAATATTAACTGTATTTTTGTCTGATTACTCTAAACAGCATTACACAGGTGCATCCTCTGTTATCTAAACTTAAAATAAGTAGAAATTTTACTTTATTTATGTGATTATTTTTCTATTTAAGCAAACTTCAAGTTATGTCTAGTCACTAAAAATACTAAAGGTCACATTTTGTAAGTGATACATTATTTGCATGATAATGTTTCTTGTTTAACTTAAACATTATTATTATTTTTACTTATTTTAGATGGAGCTGGACTGTGTAGAACAAATAACTAGAGAAACAAAGAGAAGTATGTTGCCAAAATTTATTAATTACATTTAGGTTTATTTTAGAAATTAAGTGTAAATAACAAATGGCATTCCTTTTCATTGTTTGGTTAGTAGATACTATGTCAAGTATTTTTTTTCTTACACACATCTAATGCAAGATGTGAAAACAAAAACTTTCACAGAGAAGACTGTACTTATGCACTATAAATTCATCATGTTCCATAGCTTAAAAAATTCCCAAGAAGTCTGTGCATCTGTTTTTTACTGGCTCTACACTTTCTTAAGTTTTGCCATCATCATGGAACTGTCAGCCAGCACACTGAAACGATTCTCAGAAAACAAAGGCATCACCAAGTTCTCAGGGTTTTGGTACAGATTGAAGGCCAACAGACCTCAGACTCATTTTGAAATTCTTAGCTGGGCAATAACCCTTCATAAGCAGTCACTTGACAGGTGACATTTTAAATCTCCTATCATATACTGTGTCATTGGCTTACATCTGTTCTCAGGAAAAGTTCCAAATTTTTCACCATGAAATAAAAACACCCACGTCAATGTGATTCTTGTCAAGTTACTCAGCCTTGTTTTTTGCCACTTACCGCACTCTACCCTTTGCTCTAGCACCAAAGTGGAGGAGAGTAGAACTCCGCAGGGCTCTTCCTCACCTCAGGCTCTTTGCCTTCGCCTCTTCCCTCTATCTGGCAAGCTTTTCCTTGTCCTTCAGGTATCAACCTATGTTATCTCCTCCACCAGAAAGCCCATGATATTGACATAAAAGTGGGATAGATGTCCCTTTTGTGTGTTCCAGTAGTGCCCTGCTGTATACCTGTCATGGTATCTATGACACTATGTGGACATTGCCTACCTGTCTGTGTTTTTAGGTTATAGCATATGACTATTGGGAGGTGGACCATGCCATCTTCATCTTGGAATTCCAGTGCTGGTTCTAGTACCTTAGCACGTGGCTGTTGATTACATGAATGAAGAATGAAAAACCTCTAATATTTAAACACAATAGAATTAATGCCATGTGTAAATTATTTAATAGTAATTTTGTATTGTAAATGTACATAGATATTTCTCATTCTTACTAACTCTGATAAAGTTCTCAACTCTTTAGTATTTAAACTCACATTTAGTTAACTGAAGTGTTTTAGGTAAAGAACATAATTCTTTCTCTTTCCAGTTGTTGCTGTGTTGAACACTTGCTCCCGTCTACTTACTTCTCTATAATCCACTGGTAAGCCACATCTAATGAAGAGAATGTTTAACCATAAAGTCTTAAGGAAAAATTTTATTATTTAAAAGATTATAAAACTTTATTACTGGGCTGTTTACACAACATTTTAATTGTTTCTCATAAAATATATAACATTACAATCTTTACTGAAGTAGGATGTTTTTGTATCACATGTGTGATGATAATTTATAGGGTAATTTAAATGATGTTTTTTAGCCTCCTTAAGTTTTAAGTGGATCTTGCAAATGAACACCAGTATTATTGAGTTTGACGTACTCAAATTGCCCAAATGCCAGCTGTTTAAACAGCCAAAGAACGAAGTCATCATTGATACTTTAGTAAAGGTCATCGAAGGCTTCTTTGCATTTTACAGCTTTTACTACTTAGGGGAGTTAAGGAGTACCTGCCAGGCTTGTGCATGCTAATGTGACAATTTTCTTTTTGTAGTTGAACCGTATTTTGTGGGGAGATACTTTGAGGCTCTGTAAATATCCAGTTACTCCCAGAACCCACTAGATTTAGCATTTCATGGATGACTTGTGTTTGAACAATTATTACTATGATGGTTGCCAGATGATTATTTTCTTCTCTTCTTTGCTGTACCTGGAGAAGTAAAACCAATAAATAACTGAGAAGGGAAAGCTCATGATTCTGGTGCTCCAATTCCCCAAGATTAGGCCAGTGGTAGACATTTCAAGCTGACTTCTTGTCTTTTTTATTTGTCTTCGTTACTCTGTCAGCACTTTTTTAGTTTCAGGAACAAGATGTTCTAAGCTAATGTTGTATTTTCTCTGCTCCAGCCATGGAATGAGTGATTTTTCTTAGAAGCAGAGGTGGAGCCACTGAGGAAGCACAGGCGAGCCCTCCCCAGCACGTGCTCACTGGTCCCCAACAGAACAACCGCTGCCACATCCATGAGGTACCAAGAAACTAGCAAAGGGCCTTCTGGCTGTCTGGGCACAGTCCTCATGTGGTCCCTGGCTCAGCCTCAAGGGTCCTGCATTAGTCTTCCTGTAGCCTCTGTGCTGTGTCTGTAGATCGGGACTCTGTGGGAAGGGCCCTGGGATGCCCAACAGCACAAGATGTCTCATCTGCCAAATGTCCCTGCCTTCCTCCCACTCTGACACTCAGGAATAGGCTACATGGCATGTCCAGGCAGTGCCAGGCCACCTCACTATCTCCTTTGAGATTGGCCCAGAGGGCTTTTGGGGTGAGTGTGGAGCTGGGCACCTGGAGCCTGAGGCCAGCTGTCTCTCCCTCTGTCTTGGAGGAAAAGCCATGTCCCAAAAAAAACCCCAGGGCCTGACCTCTGGACACACATACAGGGAGGGAGGGTCTGTGGGCTGAGGGGGGCATTGTAATGAGACTTTGAGCACGCTGCTCAGGGGCCTGGTCAGTGGACCATGCTCAGAGATGACCTGGTCATTAGGACCTAGTCAGTTGGGACCTGGTTAGTGGTGGCCTCCTCAGTAAAGGCCTCCTCAGTGGGGACCTGGTGACCTAGTCATTGGAAGCCCGGTTCATGGGGACCTGGTCACTGATGGTCTTCTTAGTGAGGCCTGATGGGCTGGAACATAAACAATGAAAAACTGGTGGGGCCTATGCAGTATACTAGGGGCCTGGTCAGTGTGGGGCCTTAGTGGCTTGGAGCCTCGTCAGTGAGGGTCTGGTCAGAGGGGGCTCGGTCAGCTGGGGACTGATCCATGGAAAATTGTTTAGTGGGGGTCAGGTGAGCAGCGACTTGGTCAACTGTGGTCTTGTCAGTGGGAACCTGGTCAGTGGGGACCAGGTCAGTGGGAAATTGGTCAGTGAGGTCTGGCCTATGAGGCCTATTAAGTGTGAGCCTGGTTAGGAAGACATGGTCAGTGGGGACTTGGTCAGTGGGAACTGGTAAATGGAGGAGTGGTCATTAGAGGCCTCATCAGTGGGAAACTGGTCCTGGGCGGCTGGTCAGTAGGAACCTGGCCAGCTGGCCACTGTGTGACCTCAGGCAGGGGGTTTGTCTGTGGAGTCTCCTTGCCTCCATCTGCAGGGAAGGTGAGTCAGGGCACCTTGGAGGGTGGCTGGAAAGAGAAGGTGAGAAGATGTGTTGAATCCAGCACCACTTGGCAGACCTACAACTTTACACATGACCTGTGTGCCACCTAGAGGGGGTCCCAGCCCTCTCTGCTGTGCCTGGTGCCCCTCCTCTCTCTGCATCCCCAGGACCACCATGGGTGGGGAAGGCAGAGATTGGGGAGCACCTGTAGAAGCTCTAATGCTGGCCATGAGCCCTCGGTGATGACCTGGGTGCACCTGTGAGTGGAGAAGCTAGGCCTGGCCAGAGAAGCAAGAGAAACACACACACACATATGTGCACACACACACACAGGCACACACGCATGCACAAACACACTGCATCCACACATGTCAGTTCAGGGGATAGAGGACACTGACTCTGGGCGCTGTTGACCCATGCAGGCTCCCATTGTGGTGGGTTGTGTCACCCCACAATGTCACTGTTGCTGAGCCCCCATCGCCTCTGTGTTGTGGAGCAGTTAGAGACACACTGTGGTGTCTGAGTGGCTCTGCGTGAAGGACCGTTTTCTAGGTGAGAGGCACATCTCAACACAGCTGACTGATCAGACTCAGGTGAGTGGGACCTGCTCTCTTCTCTTGCTCCTAGCTTGGGGACAGTCGCTATCAGTTGGGTGGTTTTGGCCTCTGAGCAGCTACTGAGGGTAATCCCTGAACACTCACCGGCTGCCTATTCTGTGCTGACAGTCATCTCGTTCATCCTCGCAGCAATTCCATTCTGCATCTTTTCTGATCACCCCCGTGATTACCCAGGACAACCCCATCAGGCCCTCTCACCCAGGCCCAGTCCAGCTCCATGATAACAAAGACGCAGGTCCAGAGACAACTGCCCTGCATGGTGCCTGCATCTGACCCCCCTTGGTGGGTAGTGACCAGCACGACATGGAAGAAGCCAGGGCAGCATGCAGCCAGCTGCCCTGCAGCCCCAGATGGCTCCTAGGCCTTGGGAAGTCATTCTCAAAGGGGAAGCTGGTCATTTTGAGGTCCCTGGAGGGAAGGGTGAATGTGTCATCCCAACAGCCCTGGAAGCCAGCAGCATGCCATACATCTTACCCAACCTGTGTGACAGAGGCCCCCTCCTGGGGCACAAGTCCCATACCTAAAGGGTCCTGTCCTAGTTGAACCTCATCCTGAGCCCTGGGAGGGGAGGAGCACCATGGGCCTCCCTGCAGCAGCCAGGATTACCACCCAGGGGACTCAGCCTTCTGTGGCCCTGGCCAGAGTTAGAATTTGGCCCAAGACAAGACAAGCTCACTCGGAGCAGCTTGTCAGTACCCGGGGCCTGTGCATGCCAAGTAAGTCCAAGCTGGCTCAAAGAGCAACCAGCCACCTCTGCAAGGGTGTGCCAGGAGCAGGTGGACCAGCCACCAACCTCACCCACTCAAGGAAACAGGGATGGCCAGGTTCCCACACCCTGAGTGACCACCACCTGACAGCTGATGAAGTGGAGGCCTGAGGAAAAGCAGATGGCACTGGGGCCCTACCTCCAGGGCAGAATAACTGATTTACCCCGATTGGCAGCAAGTGAGGTTGGTGGCTGGTCCACCTGCTCCTGGTACACCCTTGCAGAGGTGGCTGGTTGCTCTTTGAGCCAACTTGGCCTTGCCTGGCATGCACAAGCCTCAGTTCAACAACTGTGCTGCAAATGGAGCCACATAGAGGAAATGAGCAGCAGCCTCAGGAGCAGGGTTTGCGCTGCCTTTGGGGCTCCAATCCATGCATCAGGGCTCCTACAGCACTGTGGGCTTCTTGGGTGCCAAGAGGCAGACCACAGGCCCTCTTGAGGAGGATTCTATGTTCAAGTGCAGAAAGGGCCCAATCTGGTGGATGAACCACATGGCCAGCTTCTGGGTGCAGGCACAGTGCCACATCTTCCATCACTTCCTGATGTGCCACACCAGCACTGAAGAGACAGCCTGGAGACAGGGCAAGAGGAATGCTGAGAAGGATGAGATGGTGAGTGCCAGATTCTCCCTGGCTCTGAGCCCACCTCCAGGGTGACACTCAAACTTTAGGAGTGGGAGAGCAAGATTGACAGCTTCAAATGCTTCACCAAGAAGATGAACAACAGGGCACTCGGCTCAACTTCACAGCCAATGAGTTGACATGCAAGCAGGTGATGGTGACAGGCTTTAAGAAGGAGCATCAGAAGGCTGCCAGTTCTTCAGCCTCAGCCAGGCCTTGGAGCTGGACCAGCCCATCCACTTCACCACAGATGCCTTCAACACTGTCAGTGAGCTCTTTGCCAATCATCCCAGGCAGAACCTGGACCCAGTCATGGACCTGTTAGTGCTGTCTCAGGGACACCAGACCAACATCCTGAACATCATCCACATACACAAGCAAGTTCTTACCAAAGTCGCGGAGGACAGGCAACATGTGGCAGAAGGGAAGATAGAGATGCAGAGGCTGATGACACCAGAATCACAGGAACAGGAATTCTTTCACCACTTCAGTGGAAATTCACCACTTCCATCCAATTTGAATGAGAGACATGAAATCACAGATGCAGCATTTCTTGCAACAAGAGATACTATTTTTTCAAAAATCATCCAGGAATTGATAATGTTGAATGACTAGATATTTGATTGTGGACTGTTTCCAGTTCAAGGATACTTTCTACACAGAATAATAACACTAGCAAGGAGCTAGTGCCAGCTATCCGTGGTAGCACAAGGATGGTTTTGTGCTCAACTGAAATCCAGCTGAATACAGAATTGTGTAGGAAACAGTTAATATGTTGACAGAATAGAAACAGTAGCAAACATGAACTAAATCATGCCATGAATGCCTAAACTACCATTGGGACTTTTGGAAGAATGATAATACCACTTTACTGCTCTTTGAAGTATGAATATTTTAGTGTATATGCTGTAGACCACAAACCCTATAAAGAGTCCCAAATAAGTTGGCTGGATAAAGCCTGCTGTGCATGTCTTTATACTCAAAGACTGATGATGCAATTCGAATATGTGTCCCCACCAAATCTCATATTTAATTATATTTCCTAATGTGGAAGGTGGATCCTGGTATAAGGCAATTGATTTATGAAGGCAAATTTCTCATGAATGGTTCAGCACCATCCCCTTGTACCATCCTCACAATCATGAGTGACTTCTCGTGAGATCTGGCCACTGAAAACTATGTCACCTCCCTACTCTGCGTGTTTTCCTCTTGCCATGTGAGACAACTCACTCTTTCTTTGCCTTGTACAAAGATTGAAAGATTTCTGAGGCCTCCCAGAATCAGAAGCCCTGTGCTTCCTGTCCACCCTGCAGAACCATGAGCCAATTAAACCTCTTTTTCAAAATGAATCAAACAGAAAATGGCAAATGACGATTGCAGCATTGCTATAAAGATACCTGAAAATGTGGAAGCAGCTTTGGAACTAGGTAATGGGCAGAGGTTGGAAGAGTTTGGAAGTCTCAAAAGAAGACAGATGAGAAAATTTTTGGACTATCTTAGAGACTGGTTAAATGGTTGTGATAAAAATCCTGGCACAAACATGGATAGTGAAGGCCAGGCTGAGGAGGTCTCAGATAGAAATAAGAAGCTTTCTGGAAAAGGTCTTCCTTTTGAATATGGAAAGCTTACACAATGCCTGTACCATCATTATACGTTAGAAGCTGTGAGCTTGCTTTTTAATTCAGAGGCTCATAGGAAAAAGAGACCGTAGCCTTGACTCAGATGAGATTTTGGACTTTGTAAGTTTGAGTTAATGCTGAAATGAGTTAAGACTCATTCTGGCAAGGCATGATTGTATTTTGCAATGTGAGAAGGACATGATATTCATGGGATCAGGGACAGAATAATATGGTTTGTCTCTGTGTCCGTATCAAAACCCATGTGGAATTATACTCCCTAATGTTAGAGGTGGGGCCTAGGTGGAAAAAGATTTAGTTATAAAAGGGTGCGGGTAGGTTCTCCACGAATGATAAAGGACCATCACCTTGATGCTGTCCTCCTGATAGCGAGTGAGTTCTCATGAGATCTGGTTGTTTAAAAGGCTGTGGAACCTCTTTCCTCACTCTGTCTTCCTCCTACTCCTGCCTTAGGAGGTATCTCATTGTCTTGGCTTTTGGTATAATTAGGAGGCTTCTTGATTCCTCCCAGAAACGGAAGACACTATGCTTCCTTCACAGCTTGCAAAACCATGATTCAATTAAACCTCTTTCATTTACAATAATAGAGAAAATTAGAACTGCCGAGAGAGCTGTGCATGTCTTCAAGGCCTTTTTTCCCTTTGTCTTGGCTATTAGCACAGGGCTTCTTTATATGCAAATTTCTGAAGTCTTCTTGAATTTTTCCCCTTAAATGGGGTTTTGTGTTATTGCTACATAGCCAACCTGCTATAGAGATACCTGAAAAAGTAGAAGCAGGCTCAGTAGTGGGTAGCAAACAAAGATTGGGAGGGTTTGGAGGGATTAGAGCATGACAGAAAGATGAGGGAGAGGGAGGAAGTGATTTAATCATGGATGAGCAGGGGTGGGTGTGGATGGAAAAAGGGGTGGGTAGGGTGGGAATGAGTAGGCTGGCTGTAGGGTGGTGGGAGGGTCGTGGGTAGTAGGAAGGGGGAGTAGCGTGCTGCAGAGGCAGAGCCTCATGTAAAACCATTACTAGGGCAGTGCACCTGTGGCTTTGCAGGTTTGAGCCCCCATGGATGCTCTCATGGACTGGACTAGTGTTCAGTGCCTGTAGCTTTTCCACACTGAGGGTGCAAGCTGTTGGTGGGTCTCTAAATCTGGGGTCTGTAGGGTGGTAGCCCTGTGTGGGGGCTCCAAGTCCGTATTTTCCTTCTGCACTGCCCTAGTAGAGGTTTCCCAAGAACTCTGCGTCTGCAGCAGGCTGCTGCCTGGAAACAGTGGGAGATGGGGGTGGGAGGCAGATCCTTCACCAATGGTTAAGCAACATCTTCTTGATGCTGACCTAGTAACAGTGAGTTCTTATGAGATCTGGTTATATAACAAGGTGTGGCACCTCTTTCCTCTCTCAGTCTTGCTTCTATTCCAGCCATATGAAACATCTCCTTGCCCCTTGGCCTTCTGGTATGGTTGTGAGGCTCCCTGAGACGTCCCAGAAGCAGAAGCCACTCTGCCTCCTTTACAGCCTGCTGAACCATGAGCCAATTAAACCTCTTTTCTTTATGATCATACAGAAAATTAGTGCTATGAAGTGGAGCTATGAAGTGCCTTCAAGGCCCTTTCCCCTTTTCTTGGCAACCAGCACTCAGCTTCTTTTCATGCAAATATCTGGAGCCTTCATGAATTTTGCCCCTGAAAGTGGACTTTTCTTCTTTTACCACACGGCCAGGTTGTGATAAAGATAGCTGACAATGTAGAACCAGGTTCAGAAGTGGGTAAAAGACAGAGGTCAGGAGAGTTGGGAAAGCTTGGAAGACAGCAAGATGAGGAAAATTTGACCACTGTAGAGAATTGTTAAATACTTGCGATCAGAAGGCTGACAGAAGGATAAACACTGAAGTTCAGACTTAAAAGGTCTCAGATGAAGATTAGGAATTTCCTGTGAACAGGAGCCATGGTTACATTTGATTGGCCTTAGCAAAGAACGTGGCTGCACGGTGACCCTGCCCTGGACATCTATGAAACTATGAATTTGGGGGTGATGATTTAGGATGTATCTGGTGGAATGAACATCTAGGCAGCCTAGCGAGGTGTCCTGTCTGCATTGAATAGCCTGTGTTCTTATGCGTGACCTAAGAAATGACTTCAAGTTGGAACTTCTATTGAAATGAGAAGTGGAGACCTAAAGTTTGGAAAATCTGCAGCCTGGCCAAGTGGTCAAAAAGAAAAGCTGATTTTCCGGGGGAAAATTCAAGGAGGCTTAGAGTATCTGCATAAAAAGAAGCCCAGTGCAAATAGCCAAGACAATGGGAAAGAGGCCTCGAAGGCATTTCACAGTCCTCTGCAGCAGCCCTTGCTGTCACAGGCCCCCATACAGGGAGGCATCATTCTCCAAACCCCAGATTCATAGACCCACAAACAGCTTGCACCCTCAGTATGGAAAAGCTACAGGCACTCAACACCAGCCCTGTCCATGACGGCAGCTACAGGGGCTGAACACTGCAAAGCCACAGGTGCAGATCTGCCCAAGGCCTAGGAAGACCAGCCCTCATACCCCTGTGCCATGGATGTGGGACAGGGATTCAAAAAGGATGATTCTGGAGCTGTAGGATTGAGTGACTGGCCTGCTGGGTTTTGGACATTTATGTATCCTATGAATCCCATCTGTGTTTTGTGCTTCTTTCCAGCAATTTTTTTTTCTATTGGTTGAGAATGCTTACCCATTGCCTGTACAATCATTGTAGCTTGGAAGTAGTTAAGTTGTTTTATAATTCACAGACTCATGGCAGAAGGGACTGTAGACTTGTCTCAGATAAGACTTTGGGCTTTGGATATTTGAGTAAATGCTGTAATGAGTTAAGATTTGGGGGACTGTAGGGAAGGCATCATTGTATTTTGCAATGTGAGAAAGACATGAGATTTGGGGGACCCAGGACAGAGTAATATGATTTGGCTCTGTACCTCTCCCAAAACTCATGTGGAATTTTAATGGGGAATGTTAAAGGTGGGGGCTGGTGGAAGGTGATTTAATCATGGTGGAGAGTGGAGGTTGGATGGGAGGGATGGGGAGAGTTGGAGGGTATTGAGGGGGTGGGGAGAGTTGGGGGGATTGTGTTTGGGTTTATGGGTAAAAGGCAGGAGTGGGGGTGGATCCTTCACAAATGGGTAAACACCATCTCCTTAATGCTGCCCTTCTGAGAGTGAGTTCTATTCATGATTTTGGAGCTGTGAGATTGAATGAACAGTGTCCTGCTGGGTTTTGGATGTGCATTGGGCCTGTGGTCCCACTTGTGTTATTTTTCTTGGAAATTTCTTCCCTTTGGATTGAGAAAACTTACCCAATACCTGTACCATCATTGTACCTAGAAAGAAATGAATGCCCTTTTAACTTCAGGGCCTCATAGGCAGAAGAGACTGTAGCCTGATCTCAGATGAGACTTTTAACTTTTCACATTTGAGTTAGTGTGGAAATGAGTTAAGGCTTTTGGAAACTTTTGAAAAGATGTGATTGTATTTTACTGTGTGAGAAGGACATGGGATTTGGGGGGGTCAAGGTCAGCATAATATGATTTGGTTGTGTGCCTCTAGAAAAACTCACATGGAATTTTAATCCCAAATGTTGGAGGTGGGGCCTGGTGGGAGATTATTTAATCATGGATGGGAGGTGTGGGGGTGGAAGAAAAAAGGGGTGGGTAGGGTGGGGAACAGTAGGCCGGCTGTAGGGTTGTGGGAGGGTGGTGGGTAGTAGGAAGGGGGAGTAGCCTGCTGCAGAGGTAGAGGCTCATGGAAAACCTCTACCAGGGCAGTGCACCTGTGGCTTTGCAGGCTTTAGCCCCCATGGCTGCCCTTATGGGCTGGGCTGGTATTGAGTGTCTATCACTTTTCCAAACTGAGGGTGTGAACTGTTGGTAGGTCTACGAATCTGGGGTCTAGAGGATGGCGGCTTCCTGCAGAGCGACTCAAAGCCCTTGTTTTCCTTCTGCACTGCCACAGAACAGGATTTCCAAGAGGCTCTGCCTCTGCAGCAGGCTTCTGTCTGGAAACAGTAGGGGGTGGAGGTGTGTTGGGGGGTGGATCCTTCACCAATGGTTAAGCACCATCTTCTTGATGCTGACTTAGTGATAGTGAGTTCTCATGAGATCTGGTTGTATAACAGGCTGTGGCACCTCTTTCCTCTGTGAGTCTTGCTCCTACTCCTGCCGTATGAAACATTTCATTGCTGCTTTCCTTCTGATATGATTGGGAGGCTTCCTGAGTCTTCCCAGAAGCAGAAGCCACCATGCTTTCTTTACAGCCTGAAGACCCATGAGCCAATGAATCCCCTTTTCATTATGACCACACAGAAAATAAGTACTGCAAAGTGGAGCTATGAAATATCTTCAAGGACTTTTCCCCATTGTCTTGGCTGTTAGCACTGGGCTTCTTTTTAATGCAAATATCTGAAGCCTTCTTGAAGTTTCCCCTGGTGGAGAGTGGAGGTTGGATGTGTGGGAAGGGGACAGTTGGAGGGTATTGGGAGGGTGGGGAGAGTTAGGGGGGATTGTGTTTGGGGTTACAGGTGAAAGGCAGGAGTGCCAGGCTGCAACAAAGATAGCTGAAAATGTAAAGCGGTTCAGAAGTCGGTAACACCAGAAGTTGGAGAGTTTGGAGAGCTTGAAAAAAGACAGGAAGATGAGGGAAAGTTGGGACCATTGTAGAGACTTGTTAAATAGTTTTGATTAGAATGCTGACAGAAGGAAGGCCAGGGAAGGCCAGGCTTACAAGGTCTCAGATGAAAATGAGGAACTTACTGGGAACAGGAGCCATGGTTACTTTTGTTTTGCTGTAGCAAAGAACGTGGCTGCAGGGCGACCTTGCCCTTGAGATCTGTGAAACTTTGAACTTGAGGGTGATGATTTAGTGCATATCTGGTGAAATGAACTTCTAGGCACCATAGCACAAGAGGGATCCTGTCTGCATCAAACAGTCTGTGCTGTTATGTGTGACCAAGGAAATGACCTCAAGTTGGAACTTATATTTAAATGATAAGCAGAGCTCAAAAGTTTGAAACATTTGCAGCCTGGCCAGATGGTCAAAGAGAAAAGCTGATTTTCAGGGGGAAAATTCATGAAGTCTCCAGAAATTTGCATAAAATGGAGGCCAGTGCTAATAGCCAAGACAATTGTGGGGAAAAGGCTTGGAGGCATTTCAGAGATGTTTGCAGCAGCCCTTGCTGTCAGGGGCCTTGGGACCTAGGAGAGAAGAATGGTTTCCTGGGCCAGCCCCATGGCCCTGCTGCTGTGTGTAGCCTCAGGACACTGCTGCCTGCATCCCAGCAGCCCCAGCTCCTGCTCCGACCTTGGCTGAAAGATGTACAGGTACAGCTTGGGTCACTGCCTCAGAGGGTGCAAGCTATAGGCCTTGGTTGCTTCTACATAGTGTTAAGCCAGTGGGTGCACGGAGCACTAGTCTAGAGACTTGGGAGCCTCCATATATATTTCAGAAGATGTATGAAAATGCCTGGTGTCCAGACAGAAGGCTGCCAAAAAAGCAGAGTCTCATGGGAAACCTCTACTTGGGCAGTGCAGAAGGAAAATATGAGGTTGGAGCCCCCACACTGGAGGCCACCATCGTGCAGACCCCAGATTCATAGACCCATCAAAAGCTTCGTACCCTCCATGGGTTAAAAACTCCAGGCACTCAACACCAGCACAGCCCATGAGGGCAGCTGCGGGGGCTGAACACTGCAAAGCCACAGGTGCAGAGCTGCCCAAGGCCTTGGGAGCCCACCCTCATGCCCTTGTGCCCTGGATGTGGGACAAGGATTTAAAAAGGATGACTTTGGAGCTGTAGGTTTGAATAAGTGGCCTGCTGAGTTTCAGAATTTTGTGGGACTTGTAAGTCCTGTTTGTGTTTTGTTCTTCTCTCTGGCAAAAATCTTCCTTTTGGGTGGAGATTCTTACTAAATGCCTGGACAATCGTACCTTGGAAGTGGTTAACCTGCTTTGTATTTCAGAGGCTCAGGGGCAGAAGAGACTGCAGCTTTGTCTCAGTTGAGACTTTGGGCTTCAGACATTTGAGTAAATGCTGGAATGAGTTAAGACCTTGGGGGTCTTATCCAAGACGATGGGGAAAAGTCACTGAAGGCATTTCATAGCTTAACTTCACAGTACTAATTTTTTGTGTGTTCATAACAAAAAGGGGTTTAATTGGCTTATAGTTCTGCAGGCTGTAAAAAAAGCATAGTGGCTTGGGGAAATGGCAGGTAATGCATCATTTCATTTTGCAAAGTGAGAAGGACATGAAATCTGGGTAGGCAGGGACAGAATGATAAGATTTGGCTGTGTGTTACAGAAACTTATCTGGAATTTTAATTGGAAATCTTAAAAGTGGGGCCAAGTTGAAGGTGATTTAATCATGGAGGGCAGTAGGTGTTGGAAGGTGGGGATTGGGGAGAATGGGTGGATTTTGGTGGAGGTGAGGGGTGAAAGGTAGGGTTGGAGGCAGGATCCCTCACAAATGGTTAAACACTGTCTCCTTAATGTTTTCCTCACGATGGTGAGTTCTCGTGATGGTTTTGGAGCTGTGAGATTGAATGGATACTGGCCTTCTGGGTTTTGGACTTGTGTTGGCCCTGTCATCTCATTTGTGTTATTTTCCTGGCAATCTCAAACCCTTTGGATTGAGAAAACTTGCCCAATGCCTCTACCATCATCATACCTTGAAAGAAAAGAACTCCCTTTTAAATTCAGGGACTCATAGGCAAAAGGGACTGTAGCCTTTTCTCAGGTGAGACGTTGAACTTTTTACATTTGAGTTAATGTTGAAATGACTTAAGACTTTCAGCAACTTTTGAAAAGGCGTGATTGTATTTTACTCTGTGAGAAGGATATGATATTCAGGGGATCAGGGTCAGAATAATATGGTTTAGCTGTGTATCCCTACCTAAACTCATGTGGAATTGTAATCCTGAATGTTGCAGGTGGGGCCTGGTGGGAGGTGATTTATTCATGGATGGGAGAGGGGTGGGGTTGGAAGTACAAAGAGGTGGGTTAGGTGGGGAGGAGTAGGTTGGCTGTAGGGTGGTGTGAGGGTGGCATGTTGTGGGAGGGGAGTAGCCTGCTGCAGAGGCAGAGGCTCATGGGAAACCTCTACTAGGGCAGTGCACCTGTGGCTTTAGCCCCCATGGCTGCTCTCATGGGCTAGGCTGGTGTTTAGTGTGTGTAGCTTTTCCATACTGAGGGTGCGGGCTGTTGGTGCATCTATGAATCTGGGGTCTGGAGGATGGTGGCCTCCTGCATAGGGGCTCCAAACCCATATTTTCCTTCTGCGCTGCCCTAGTAGAGGTTTTCCAAGAGGCTCTGCCTCTGTCTCAGGCTTCTGCATGGAGACAGTGAGGGGTGGATATGGGGTGGGGGGCAGATCCTTCACCAATAGTTAAGCATCGTCTTTGTGATGCTGATCTCCTCATAGTGAGCTCTCATGAGGTCAAGTTGCATAACAGGATATGGCACCTCTTTCCTCTCGCTGTCGTGCTTCTGCTCCTGCTATATGAAACACTTCATTGCCGCTTGGCCTTCTGGTATGGTTGTGAGGCTTCCTGAGTCCTCCTAGAAGCAGAAACAACTATGCTTTCTTTACAGCCCAAAGAACTGTGAGTCAATTAAATCTCTTTTCTTTATGTATATACAGAAAATCAATGCTGCAAGGTGAAGATATGAAATGCCTTCTAGGCCTTTCCCGCAATCTCTTGGCTGTTAGCACTGTTTTTTTTAATGCAAATATTGGAGGCCTTCTTGATTTTTCCCTTGATAATGGACCCTTCTTCTTTTACCACATTGCCAGGCTGTGACACAGATAGCTGACAATGTAGAAGCCAGTTCTGAATTGGGTAATGGCCAGAGGTTAGAGAGTCTGGAGGATGGTAACCTCTTGTGTGGGGCCACCAAGCCTTTTTTTTTGTTTTTTGTTTTTTTTCTGCTTTGTCCTAGTAGAGGTTTTCCTAGTAGCTCTGCCTCTGCCTCAGGCTTCTGCTTGGAAACAGTGGGGGTTGTGGGTGGTAGGGGGCAGATCTTTCACCAATGGCTCCACCAATGGTTAAGCATTCTTGATGCTGACCTTGTGTTAGAGAGTTCTCAGGAAATCTGGTTGTATAACAGGGTGTGGCACCTTTTTCCTCTCTCTGTCTTGTTTCTACTTCTGCCATATAAAACATACTATTGGTGCTTGGTCTTCTGGAATGATTGGGAGGCTTCCTGAGTCCTCCCAGATGCAGTAGCCTCTATGATTTATTTAAAGCGTGCAGAACCATGAGCCAGTTCAACCTCTTTTCTTTCTGATTATACAGAAAATTAGTGCTGTGAAATGGAGCTATGAAATGCCTTCAAGGCCTTTTCCTTATTTTCTTGGCAATGAGCACTCAGCTTCTTTTCCGGCAAATATCTGAAGCCTGCCTGAATTTTTCTCCTGAAACAGACTTTGCTTCTTTTACCACATTGCCAGGCTGCAACAAACATAGCTGAAAATGTAGAAGCAGGTTGAGAAGTGTGTAACGGCCAGAGGTTGGAGAGTTTGGAGGTGTTGGAAGAAGACAGGAAGATGTGGAAAAGTTTGGACCAGTGTAGAGACTTGTTAAATAGTTATAATTAAAAAGATGACAGAATGATGGACAGTGATGGCCAGGCTTAGAAGGTCTCACATGAAAATGAGGAGCTTGCTGGGATGAGGAGCCAAGGTCACTTTTGTTTTCCCTTAGCAAAGAACGTTACTGCACGATGCCGTTAACCTGGAGATCTGTGAAACTTTGAACTTGAGAGTGATGATTTAGAGTGTATCTGGTGGAATGAACTTTTAGGCAGCAAAGCTCAAGAGGTGTCTGGTCTGTGCCAAACACCCTGAGGTGTCTTATATGTGACCAAAGAAATGACCTCAAGGTGAAACTTATATTTAAATGAGACGGAGAGCTTAAAAGTTTGGAAAATTTGCAGGCTGGCCAAGTGGTCAAAAAGAAAAGCTGATTTTCCGTGGGAAAGTTCAAGAAGATTTCAGAAATGTGCATAAAATGGAATTGAGTGCTAATAGCCAAGACAAGGATAAAAAGGCCTTGAAGGCACTTCAGAGACTTTTGCAGCAACCCTTGCTGTCACAGGCCCCCAGGCCTGGGAGAAAAGAATGATTTCCTTATCCAGTCCCATGGCCCTGCTGCTGTGTCCATCCTCAGGACACTGCTGGCTGCATACCTGAAGCTCCAGCTCCAACCATGGCTGACAGATACAAAGGTACATCTTGGGTCACTGCTTCAGAGGTTGCAAGCTGCAAGCCTTGGTGGCTTCCACATAGTGTTGAGCCAGCAGGTGCAAAAAGGCCAAGACTAGAGGCTCAGAATCCTTCATGTAGACTACAGAGGATTTACAGAAAAACCTGGGTGTCCAGGTCGAAACTATTCAAAGAGGCAGAGCCTCATGGGAATCCTTTACTAGGGCAGTATGGAAGGAACATATAGGGTTGGAACCACCACACAGGGAGCACCATTCTGAAACGTCAGATTCATAGACTCACTAACATCTTGCATCTTCATTGTGGAAAAGCTACAGGTGCTCAACACTAGCCCAGCCCATGAGGGCAGCTGCGGGGGCTGAACACTGCAAAGCCACAGGTACAGAGCTGCCCAAGGCCTTGGGAGCCCAGCCCTCACGCCCTTGTGTCCTAGATGTGGGACAAGGACTTAAAAAGGATGATTTTGGAGCTGTAGGTTTGAATAACTGGCCTGCTGGGTTTTGGAATGTCATGGGAACCTGTAAGTCCCGTTTGTGTTTTGTTCTTCTCTCTGGCAAAAAATCTTCCTTTCGGGTGGAGGTTCTTACTCAATGCCTGGACAGTCATACCTTGGAGGTAATTAACTTGCTTTGTATTTCAGAGGCTCAGGGGCAGAAGGGATGGCAGTCTTGTCTCAGAAGAGACTTTGGGCTTTGGACATTTCAGTAAATGCTGGAATGAGCTAAGACATTGGGAAACTGTAGAGTAGGCATCATTGTATTTTGCAGTGTGAGAACAACATGAGATATGGGGGGTCAGGGTCAGAATAATACGATTTGGGTCTGCATCCCTACCAAACTCATTTGGAATTGTAATGGTGAATGTTAAACGTGGGGCCTGGTGTGAGGTGATTTATTCATGGAGAAGAGTGGGCGTTGGAGGTAGGGGTGTGGGGAGAATGGGGGAGATTATTTTGTGGGTGGGGGTAAAAGGTAAGGTTAGGGGGGCAGATCCTTCACAAATGTTTAAACACTATCTCCTTAATGCCGCCTGCGTGATAGTGAGTTCTCTTGATGATATTTGCAGCTGTGGGATTGAGTGAATACTGTCCCGCTGAGTTTTGGACTTGTGTTGGGCCTGTGGGCCCATTTGTGCTATTTTTATGGGAAATTTCTTCCCTTTGGACTGAGAAAGCTTACCCAATGCCCGTACCATCATTGTACCTGGAAAGAAAAGAACTCCATTTTAAATTCAGGGACTCATAGGCAGAAGAGACTGTAGCCTTGTCTCAGGAGAGACTTTGAACTTTTTTACATTTGGAATGAGTTAAGACTTTTGGAGATTTTTGAAAAGTCATGATTGCATTTTGCTCTGTGATAAGGACATGAGATTCTGGGATATCAGGGTCAGAATAATATGGTTTGGCTGTGTGTCCCTATGAATCTCATGCGGAATCGTAATCCCTAATGTTGAAGCGGGTGACTTAATTATGGACGGGAGGTTGGTGGTGGTGGAAGGTAAAAGGGATGGGTAGGATTGGGAGGAGTGGGTCGGTAGTAGAGTGGTGGGAGGGTGGGTGGTAGTAGGAAGGAGGAGTAGCCTGCTGCAGAGTGAGGGACTCATGGAAAACCCTCTACTAGGGCAGTGCACCTGTGGTTTGCAGGGTTTAGCTCCTCAGCTGTTCTCATGCGCTGGACTGGTATTGAGGGCCTGTAGCTTTTCCTCACTGAGGGTGCCAGCTGTTGGTGGGTCTGTGAATCTGGGGTCTGGACGGTGGTAGCCCCCTATGTGGGGGCTCCAAGTCCATATTTTCCTTCTGCACTGCCCTAGTAGAGGTTTCCCAAGAACTCTGCATCTGCAGCAGGCTGCTGCCTGGAAACAGTGGGAGGTGGGTGTGGGAGGCAGTCCCTTCACCAATGGTTAGGCAGCATGTGCTTGATGCTGTCTTCATGATAGTGCGTTCTCATGAGATCTGGTTATATAACAGGGTGTGGCACCGCTTTCCTCTCTCAGTCTTGCTTCTACTCCTGCCATTTGAAATGTCTCCTTGCCCCTTGGCATTCTGGTAGCTATGAAGTGCCTTCAAGGCCCTTTCCCCTTTTCTTGGCAACCAGCACTCAGCTTCTTTTCATGCAACTATCTGGAGCCTTCATGAATTTTCCCCCTGAAAGTGGACTTTTCTTCTTTTACCACACTACCAGGTTGTGATAAAGATAGCTGACAATGTAGAACCAGGTTCAGAAGTGGGTAAAAGACAGAGGTCAGGAGAGTTGGGAAAGCTTGGAAGACAGCAAGATGAGGAAAATTTGACCGCTGTGGAGAACTGTTAAATTCTTGCGATCAGAAGGCTGACAGAAGGATAAACACTGAAGTCCAGACTTAAAGGGTCTCAGATGAAAATTAGGAATTTCCTGTGAACAGGAGCCATGGTTACATTTGATTGGCCTTAGCAGAGAACGTGGCTGCACGGGGACCCTGCCCTGGACATCTATGAAACTATGAATTTGGGGGTGATGATTTCGGATGTACCTGGTGGAATGAACATCTAGGCAGCCTAGCGAGGTGTCCCGTCTGCATTGAATAGCCTGTGTTCTTATGCGTGACCTAAGAAATGACTTCAAGTTGGAACTTCTATTGAAATGAGAAGTGGAGACCTAAAGTTTGGAAAATCTGCAGCCTGGCCAAGTGGTCAAAAAGAAAAGCTGGTTTTCCGGGGGAAAATTGAAGAAGGCTTAGAGTATCTGCATAAAAAGAAGCCCAGTGCAAATAGCCAAGACAATGGGAAAGAGGCCTCGAAGGCATTTCATGGTCCTCTGCAGCAGCCCTTGCTGTCACAGGCCCTAGGGCCTGGCAGAGAAGAATGGTTTCCTGGGCAAGCTCCATGGCCCCATTGCTGTGTGCATCCTCAGGACACTGCTGGCTGCATCCCTGTAGTTCCAGCTCCAGCCATGGCTCAAAGATGCACAGGTACAGCTTGGGTTACTGCTTCAGAGGTGGCTCCAAGCCTTGATTGTTTCCATATAGTGTTAAGCCAGCAGGTGTACAGAGTAAGAGACTAGAGGCTTGGGAGCCTCTGTGTAGACTCCAGAAGATGCACAGAAAAGCCTGGATGTCTAGGAAAGAAGCTTTTCCAAGAGGCAGGGCCTCCTGGGAAACCTCTACTAGGGGAGCAAACAAGGGACATATAGGGTTGAAGCCCCCACACAGGGAGGCATCATTCTCCAAACCCCAGATTCATAGACCCACAAGCAGCTTGCACCCTCAGTATGGAAAAGCTACGAGGCACACAACACCAGCTGTGTCCATGAGGGCCGCTGCAGGGGCTGAACCCTGCAAAGCCACAGGTGCAGATTGGCCCAAGACCTTGGGAGCCCAGCCCTCACACCCCTGTACCATGGATGTGGGACAGGGATTCAAAAAGGATGATTCTGGAGCTGTAGGATTGAGTGACTGGCCTGCTGGGTTTTGGACATTCATGTATCCTATGAATCCCGTCTGTGTTTTGTGCTTCTTTCTAGCAGTTTTTTTTTTTTTTTTCTTTTGGCTGAGAAGGCTTACCCATTGCCTGTACAATCATTATACCTTGGAAGTAGTGAAGTTGCCTTATAATCCAGAGACTCATGGGCAGAAGGGACTGTAGACTTGTCTCAGATAAGACTTCGGGCTTTGGACACCTGAGTAAATGCTGGAATGAGTTAAGATTTGGGGGACTGCAGGGAAGGCATCATTGTATTTTGCAATGTGAGAAAGACATGAGATTTGGGGGACCAGGGACAGAATAATATGATTTGGCTCTGTGCCTCCCCCAAAACTTGTGGAATTTTAATGGGGAATGTTAAAGGTGGGGGCTGGTGGAAGGTGATTTAATCATGGTGGAGAGTGGATGTTGGATGGGGGGGATGGGGAGAGTTGGAGGGTATTGGAGGGTGGGGAGAGTTGGGGGGTTTTTCGGGGGATGGGGAGAGTTGGGATTGTGGTGGGGTTATGGGTGAAAGGCAGGTGTGGAGGTGGATCCTTCAGAAATGGTTAAACACAGTCTCCTTAATGCTGTCCTTCTGATAGTGAGTTCTCTTCATAATTTTGGAGCCGTGAGACTGAATGAACACTGACCTGCTGGGTTTTGGATGTCCATTGTGCCTGTGGTCCCACTTGTGTTATTTTTCTTGGAAATTTCTTCCGTTTGGATTGAGAAAACTTACCCAATACCTGTACCATCATTGTTCCTTGAAAGAAAGGAGTGTGCTTTTAATTTCAGGGACTCATAGGCAGAAGGGCCTTGTCTCAGATGAGACTTTTAACTTTTCACACTTGAGTTAATGCGGGAATGAGTTAAGGCTTTTGGAAACTTTTGAACAGGTGTGATTGTATTTTACTGTGTGAGAAGGACATGGGATTTGGGGGGGTCAAGGTCAGCATAATATGATTTGGTTGTGTGCCTCTAGAAAAACTCACTTGGAATTGTAATCCCAAATGTTGGAGGTGGGGCCTGGTGGGAGATTATTTAATCATGGATGGGAGGTGTGGGGGTGGAAGAAAAAAGGGGTGGGTAGGGTGGGGAACAGTATGCTGGCTGTAGGGTGGTCGGAGGGTGGTGGGTAGTAGGAAGGGGGAGTAGCCTGCTGCAGAGGCAGAGGCTCATGGAAAACCTCTACCACGGCAGTGCACCTGTGGCTTTGCAGGCTTTAGCCCCCATGGCTGCCTTTATGGGCTGGGCTGGTATTGAGTGCCTATGGCTTTTCCATACTGAGGGTGTGAACTGTTGGTAGGTCTATGAATCTGGGGTCTAGAGGAGGGCGGCCTCCTGCAGAGCGACTCAAAGCCCTTGTTTTCCTTCTGCACTGCCACAGAACAGGATTTCCAAGAGGCTCTGCCTCTGCAGCAGGCTTCTGTCTGGAAACAGTAGGGGGTGGAGGTGTGTTGGGGGGTGGATCCTTCACCAATGGTTAAGCACCATCTTCTTGATGCTGACTTAGTGATAGTGAGTTCTCATGAGATCTGGTTGTATAACAGGCTGTGGCACCTCTTTCCTCTGTGAGTCTTGCTCCTACTCCTGCCGTATGAAACATTTCATTGCTGCTTTCCTTCTGGTATGATTGGGAGGCTTCCTGAGTCTTCCCAGAAGCAGAAGCCACCATGCTTTCTTTACAGCCTGAAGACCCATGAGCCAATGAATCCCCTTTTCATTATGACCACACAGAAAATAAGTACTGCAAAGTGGAGCTATGAAATATCTTCAATGACTTTTCCCCACTGTTTTGGCTGTTAGCACTGGGCTTCTTTTTAACGCAAATATCTGAAGCCTTCTTGAAGTTTCCCCTGGTGGAGAGTGGAGGTTGGATGGGGGGGAGGATGGGGAGAGTTGGAGGGTATTGGGGGGGTGGGGAGAGTTGTGGGGGATTGGGATTGTGTTTGGGGTTACGGGTGAAAGGCAGGAGCGCCAGGCTGCAACAAAGATAGCTGAAAATGTAAAGCAGGTTCAGAAGTGGGTAACAGCCAGAGGTTGGAGAGTTTGGAGAGCTTGAAAAAAGACAGGAAGATGAGGGAAAGTTGGGACCATTGTAGAGACTTGTTAAATAGTTTTGATTAAAATGCTGACAGAAGGAAGGCCAGGGAAGGCCAGGCTTACAAGGTCTCAGATGAAAATGAGGAACTTAACTGGGAACAGGAGCCATGGTTACTTTTGTTTTGCTGTAGCAAAGAACGTGGCTGCAGGGCGACCTTGCCCTTGAGATCTGTGAAACTTTGAACTTGAGGGTGATGATTTAGTGCATATCTGGTGGAATAAACTTCTAGGCACCATAGCACAAGAGGGATCCTGTCTGCATCAAACAGCCTGCGCTCTCATGTGTGACCAAGGAAATGACCTCAAGTTGGAACTTATATTTAAATGACAAGCAGAGCTCAAAAGTTTGGAACATTTGCAGCCTGGCCAAGTTGTCAAAGAGAAAAGCTGATTTTCAGGGGGAAAATTCATGAAGTCTCCAGAAATTTGCATAAAGTGGAGGCCAGTGCTAATAGCCAAGACAATTGTGGGGAAAAGCCTTGGAGGCATTTCAGAGATGTTTGCAGCAGCCCTTGCTGTCACAGGCCCTGGGACCTAGGAGAGAAGAATGGTTTGCTGGGCCAGCCCCGTGGCCCTGCTGCTGTGTGCAGCCTCAGGACACTGCTGCCTGCATCCCAGCAGCCCCGGCTCCTGCTCCGACCTTGGCTGAAAGATGCACAGGTACAGCTTGGGTCACTGCTTCAGAGGGTGCAAGCTATAGGCCTTGGTGGCTTCTACATAGTGTTAAGCCAGTGGGTGCACGGAGCACTAGTCTAGAGACTTGGGAGCCTCCATATAAATATATTTCGGAAGATGTATGGAAATGCCTGGTGTCCAGACAGAAGGCTGCCAAAAAAGCAGAGTCTCATGGGAAACCTCTACTTGGGCAGTGCAGAAGGAAAATATGAGGTTGGAGCCCCCACACTGGAGGCCACCATCGTGCCAACCCCAGGTTCATAGACCCATCAAAAGCTTCGTACCCTCCATGGGTTAAAAACTCCAGGCACTCAACAGCAGCACAGCCCATGAGGGCAGCTGCGGGGGCTGAACACTGCAAAGCCACAGGTGCAGAGCTGCCCAAGGCCTTGGGAGCCCAGCCCTCATGCCCTTGTGTCCTAGATGTGGGACAAGAATTTAAAAAGAATGATTTTGGAGCTGTAGGTTTGAATAACTGGCCTGCTGGGTTTTGGAATGTCATGGGAACCTGTAAGTCCCGTTTGTGTTTTGTTCTTCTCTCTGGCAAAAAATCTTCCTTTCGGGTGGAGGTTCTTACTCAATGCCTGGACAGTCATACCTTGGAGGTAATTAACTTGCTTTGTATTTCAGAGGCTCAGGGGCAGAAGGGATGGCAGTCTTGTCTCAGAAGAGACTTTGGGCTTTGGACATTTCAGTAAATGCTGGAATGAGCTAAGACATTGGGAAACTGTAGAGTAGGCATCATTGTATTTTGCAGTGTGAGAACAACATGAGATATGGGGGGTCAGGGTCAGAATAATACGATTTGGGTCTGCATCCCTACCAAACTCATTTGGAATTGTAATGGTGAATGTTAAACGTGGGGCCTGGTGTGAGGTGATTTATTCATGGAGAAGAGTGGGCGTTGGAGGTAGGGGTGTGGGGAGAATGGGGGAGATTATTTTGTGGGTGGGGGTAAAAGGTAAGGGTAGGGGGCAGATCCTTCACAAATGTTTAAACACTATCTCCTTAATGCCGCCTGTGTGATAGTGAGTTCTCCTGATGATATTTGCAGCTGTGGGATTGAGTGAATACTGTCCCGCTGAGTTTTGGACTTGTGTTGGGCCTGTGGGCCCGTTTGTGCTATTTTTATGGGAAATTTCTTCCCTTTGGACTGAGAAAGCTTACCCAATGCCCATACCATCATTGTACCTGGAAAGAAAAGAACTCCATTTTAAATTCAGGGACTCATAGGCAGAAGAGACTGTAGCCTTGTCTCAGGAGAGACTTTGAATTTTTTTACATTTGGAATGCGTTAAGACTTTTGGAGATTTTTGAAAAGTCATGATTGCATTTTGCTCTGTGATAAGGACATGAGATTCTGGGATATCAGGGTCAGAATAATATGGTTTGGCTGTGTGTCCCTATGAATCTCATGCGGAATCGTAATCCCTAATGTTGAAGCGGGTGACTTAATTATGGACGGGAGGTTGGTGGTGGTGGAAGGTAAAAGGGATGGGTAGGATTGGGAGGAGTGGGTCGGTAGTAGAGTGGTGGGAGGGTGGGTGGTAGTAGGAAGGAGGAGTAGCCTGCTGCAGAGTGAGGGACTCATGGAAAACCCTCTACTAGGGCAGTGCACCTGTGGTTTGCAGGGTTTAGCTCCTCAGCTGTTCTCATGCGCGGGACTGGTATTGAGGGTCTGTAGCTTTTCCTCACTGAGGGTGCCAGCTGTTGGTGGGTCTGTGAATCTGGGGTCTGGACGGTGGTAGCCCCCTATGTGGGGGCTCCAAGTCCATATTTTCCTTCTGCACTGCCCTAGTAGAGGTTTCCCAAGAACTCTGCATCTGCAGCAGGCTGCTGCCTGGAAACAGTGGGAGGTGGGTGTGGGAGGCAGTTCCTTCACCAATGGTTAGGCAGCATGTGCTTGATGCTGTCTTCATGATAGTGAGTTTTCATGAGATCTGGTTGTATAATAGGGCATGACACCTTTTTCCTCTCTCATGCTTGCTCCTGCTCCTGGCATATGAGACATCTCATTGCCCCTTGACATTCTGGTGTGATTGGGAGGCTTCCTGAGTCCTCTGAGATGCAGAAACTAGTATGCCTCCTTACATCCTGCAGAATCATTAACAATTAAACTTCTTTTCTTTTTGATCATTGAGAGCATTTTTAATGCAAAGAAGATCTATTAGGTGTCTTCAAGGCCTTTTCCCCCATGTCTTGGCTATCAGTACTCAGCTTCTTTTCATTCAAGTCTCTGAATCCTCCTTGAATTTTCCCCCTGAAAATGGACTTGTCTTCCATACCACATTGCCAGGCTTTGACAAAGATAGGTGATAATGCAGGAACAGGTTCAGAAGGGGGTAGCAGACTGAGTTCAGGAGAGTTTGGAGGGCTTCCAAGACAAGAAATTGAGGGGAAATTTGGATCTTTGTAAAGAATTGTTAAATACTTGTGATCAGAAGGCTCACAGGAAAATAGACAGTAAAGATCAGACTTAGAAGGTCTCAGATGAAGATGAGGAACTTACTGGGAATAGGAGCCAAGGTTAGTTTTGTTTTGCTGTAGCAAAGAATGTGGCTGCACATTGACCCTGCCCTGGAGATATGTGAAACTTTGAACTTGAGGGTGATGACTTAGTGAGTATCTGGTGGAATGAACTTCTGGGCAGCAAAGCTCAAGAGGTGTCCTGTCTGCATGAAACAGCCCTTGCCCTTTTGTGTGACTGAGGAAATGACCTCTGGATGGGTCTTACATTAAATGAGTCACAACTCTTATATTAAATGAGAAACAGAACTCAAAAGTCTGGAAAACTTGCAGCCTTGCCAAGTGGTCAGAAAGAAAAGCCGATTTTCAGTGGGAAAATTCAAGAAGGCTTCAGGAATTTGCACGAAAAGGAGCCCGGTGCTAATAGCCAAGACAATAAGGAAAAGACCTTGAAGGCATTTCAGAGACCTTTGCAGCAGCCCTTGCTGTCACAGGCCCTGGGGCCTAGGAGAGAAGCATCGTTTCCTGGGCCAGTTCCATGAGCCCCCTCTATGTGCAGCCTCAGGACACTGCTGCCGGCATCCCTGCAGCTCCATTTCCAACTCCAGTCATGGCTGAAAGATGCACAGGTAGAGTTTGCATCCCTGCTTCAGGGGTGCAAGTTCCAAGCCTTGGTGTCTTCCACATAGTGTTAAGCCAGCGGCTGCACAGAGCACAAAACTAGAGGCTTGGGGGCCTGTGTCTAGACTCCAGAGTATGTACGGAAAAACCTGGGTGTTCAGGCAGAAGCTTTTCCAAGAGGCAGAGCCTCATGGCACACCTTTACCAGGGCAGTACAGAAGGAGAAAATGGGGTTGGAGTCCCTAAATATGGAGACACCATTCTCCAGACCTTAGATTCATAGATGCACCAACAGCTGGCACCCTTAGTGTGGAAAAGCCACAGGCACTCAACACAGCCCAGCCCATGAGGGCAGCTGTGGGGGATATATCATGCAAATCCACAGGTGCAGAGTTGCCCAAGGCCTTGGGAGCCCAGCCATCACATGCCTGTGCTCTAGATGTGAGATGTAGATTCAGAAAAGATGATTTGGAGCTGCAGGATTCAATGACTGGCCTGCTGGGTTTTTGACTTCATGGGGTCTGTAAGTCCTTGGACTTTTCAGTAAATGCTGGAATGAGTTAAGTCATTGGGGGACAGTAGAGAAGTCATCATTGTATTTTGCAGTGTGACAAGGATACAAGATTTGGGGACCAAAGGCCAGAATAATATGATTTGGTTCTGTGTCCCTACCAATACTCATGTGGAATCGTAATGGGGAATGTTAAAGTTGGAGCCTGGTGGAAGGTGACTTAATCATGGAGAAGAGTGGGGGTTGGAAGTAGGGGTTTGGGGAGAATGGGGGAGATTATTTTGTGGGTGGGGGTGAAAGATGAGGATAGGGGGGTGGATTCTTCACAAATGGTTAATCACTATCTCCTTAATGCTGTCTGCATGATAGTGAGTTCTCTTGATGATTATGGAGCTTAAAGATTGAGTGAATACTGTCCTGCTGGGTTTTGGACTTCCATTAGGCCTGTGGTCCCATTTGTGTTATTTTTATGGGAAATTTCTTCCCTTTGGATTGAGAAAGCTTACACAATGCCTGTACCATCATTGTACCTTGAAAGAAAAGAAATCCCTTTTAAATTCAGGGACTCATATGCAGAAGGGACAGTAGCCTTGTCTCAGGTGAGACTTTGAACTTTTTACATTTGGAATGAGTTAAGGCTGTTGGAACTTTTGAAAAGGCATGATTGTATTTTACTCTGTGATAAGGACATGAGATTCTGGGATAGCAGGGTCAGAATAATATGGTTTGGCTGTGTGTCCCTATGAAAATTCATGTGGAATTTTAATTCCAAATGTTGAAGTTGGGGCCTGGGGGAGATGATTTAATCATGGACTGGAAGGGGTTGGGGTGGAAGGAAAAGGGTTGGTTAGGGTGGGGAGGAGTAGGCTGGCAGTAGGGTGGTGGGAGGGTGGTGGGTGGGAGGAAGGGGGAGCAGCCTGCTGCAGAGGCAGAGGCTCATGGGAAACCCTCTACTAGGGCAATGCACCTGTGGCTTTGCAGGGTTTAGCCCCTGCCGCAGCTCTCATGGGCTGGGCTGGTGTTGAGTGCCTGTAGCTTTTCCACACAAGGTGTGAGCTGTTGGTGGGTCTATGAATCTGGGGTCTGGAGGTTGGTGGCCATCTGTGTGGGTGCTCCAAGCTCATATTTCCCTTCCGCACTTCCCTAGTAGAGTTTTCCAAGAGGCTCTGCCTCTGCCTCAGGCTTCTGCCTGGAAATAGTGGGAGTTGGGGGTAGGGGGCGAATCCTTCACCAGTGGTTAAGCACCATCTTTGTGATGCTGACCTTGTGATAGTGAGTTCTCATGAGATCTGGTTGTATAATAGGGTGTGGGACCTCTCTCCTCTCCCTGTCTTGCTCCTCCTCCTGCCACATGAATCATCTCATTGCCCCTTGACATTCTGGTATGACTGGGAGGCTTCCTGATTCCTCTTAGATGTAGAAGCCACTATACTTCCTTATAGCCTGCAGAATCATGAGCCAAGTAAACCTCTTCTTTATGATCATAGAGAAAATTAGTACTGCAAAGTGGGTCTATTAAATGTCTTCAAGGCCTTTTCCCTATTGTCTTGGTAGTGAGCACTCAGCTTCTTTTCATTCAAGTCTCTGAACCCTTCTTGAATTTTCCCCCTGAAAATGGACTTGTCTTCCCTTACTACATTGTCAGGCTGCAGCAAAGATAGCTGATAATGTAGAAGCAGGTTCAGAAGGGGGTAGCAGACAGAGTTCAGAGAGTTTGGAGGGCTTTGCAGACAAGAAGTTGAGGGAAAGTTTGGATCTTTGTAAAGAATTGTTACATACTTGTGACCAGAAGGCTCACAGGAAAATGGTGAGTGAAAGCCAGACTTAGAAGGTCTCAAATGAAAATGAGGAACTTACTGGGAACAGAAGCCAAAGTGACTTTTGTTTTGCCTTAACAAAGAATGTGGCTGCACGGTGACCCTGCCCTGGAGATCTGTGAAACTGAACTTGAGGGTGATGACTTACTGAGTATCTGGTGGAATGAACTGGGCAGCAAATCTCAAGAGGTGTCCTGTCCCCATGGAACAGCCTGTGCTCTTATGTGTGATGGAGGAAATAACCTCTGGATGGGACTTACATTAAATGAGTCCCGTCTCTCAGAACTCAAATTTAGGAAAATTTGGAGCCTGGCCAAGTGGTCAAAAAGAAAAGCTGATTTTCAGGGGGAAAATTGAGGAAGGCTTCAGAAACTTGCATGAAAAGGAGCCCGGTGCTAATAGACAAGATAATAGGGAAAAAGGCCTTGAAGGCATTTCAGAGACCTTTGCAGCAGCCCTTGCTATTGTGGGCCCTGGGGCCTAGGAGAGAAGCATGGTTTCCTTGGCCAGTTCCATGAGCCTCCTCTATGTGCAGCCTCAGAACACTGCTGCCTGCATCCCTGCAGCTCAAGCTCCAGCCATGGCTGAAAGATGCACAGGTACAGCTCAGGTCACTGCTTCAGAGGATGCAGGCTAGAAACCTTGGTAACATCCTCATAGTGTTAAGCCACTGGTGGACGGAGTGTGAGACTAGAGGCTTGGGAGCCTCTCTATAGATTTTGGAAGATGTATGGAAATTCCTGGGTGTCCAGGCAAAACATCCCAAAAAGGCAGAGCCTTATATCAAACTTCTACTAGGGCAGTGCAGAAGGAAAATATGGGGTTGGAACTCCCACACTGGAGACCACCATCATGCAGACCCCAGATTCATAGACCCCCCCCCCCAAAACTTGTTTCCTCAATGTGGAAAAGTCACAGGCACTCATCACCAGCCCAGCCCATGAGGGCACCCTTGGGGCATATACCCTGCAAAGCCACAGGTGCCAAGCTGCCCGAGGCCTTGGGAGCCCAGCCCTCACACCCCTGTGTCCTGGATGTGGGACAGGGTTTCAAAAAGGGTGATTTTGGAGCTGTAGGATTGAATGACTGGCCTTCTGGGTTTGGAGTTTCATGGGGCCAGTAAGTCCTATCTGTGTTTTGTTTTTTTTTCTGGCAAAATTCTTCCTTTTGGCTGGGAATGCTTACCCAATGCCTGTACAAGCATTGTACCTTGGAAGTAGTTAACTTGCTTTATATTTCAGAGGCTCATGGGCCTAAGGGACTGTAGCCTTGTGTCAGATGAGACTTTAGGCTTTGGACATTTGTATAAATGCTGGAATGATATAAGATTTTATGGGACTTTAGGGAAGGCATCATTGTATTTTGCAATGTGAGAAGGACATGAGATTTGGGGAGTGAGGGAAAGAATAATAAAATTCAGCTCTGTGTCCCTACCAAAACTCATGTGGAATTGTAATTGGAATGTTAAAGGTGGGGCCTGGTGGAAGATGATTTAATCATGGTGCAGAGTGGGGGTTGGAAGATGGGGGTGTAGGGAAAATGGGGGAATTATGGTGGGGGTGAGGGGTGAAAATTGGGGTGGGGGGTCAGATCCTTCACAAATCATTAAACACTATCTCCTTATTGCTGTCCTTGTGACGGTGAGTTCTTTTCATGATTTTAGAACTGTAAGATTAAATGGATACTGGCCTCCTGGGTTTTGGACTTGCATTGGGCCTGTGGTCCCATTTGTGTTATTTTCCTGGGAAATTTCTGCCCTTTGGATTGAAAAAGCTTACCCAATGCCTGTACCATTATTGTACCTTGAAAGAAAGAACATCCTTTTAAATTCAGGGACTCATAGGCAAAAGGTACTGTAGACTTGTCTCAGATGAGATGTTGAATTTTTTACATTTGAGTTATTGTTGGAATGAGTTAAGACTTTTGGAAAATTTTGAAAAGACATGAATATATTTTGCTCTGTGAGAAGGACAAGAGACTGCAGGGTATCAGGTCAGAATAATATGATTTGGCTGTGTTTCTTTACCAAAACTCATGTGAATTGTAATCCTTAATGTTGGAGGTGGGACCTGGCTGGAGGTGATTTAATCATGGATGGGAGGGGGACCGGGGATGGAAGGAAAGGGGTGGGTAGGGTGAGGAGTAGGTTGTTAGTAGGGTGGTGGGTACTAGGAGGGGGGAGTAACCTGCTTCAGAAGCAGAGGCTCATGGAAAGTCTCTACTAGGGCAGGGCACCTGTGGCTTTGCAGGGTGTAGCCCCCATGGCTGCTGTCATGGGCTGGGCTCGTGTGGAGTGCCTGTAGCTTTTCTGCTCTGAGAGTGCAAGCTGTTGGTGGGTCTATGAATCTGCAGTCTGGAGGATGGTGGCCTCCTGTATGTGGGCTCCAAGCCTACATTTTCCTTCTGCACTGCCCTGGTAGAGGTTCTCCAAGAGGCTCTGCCTCTGCAGGAGGCTTCTACGTGGAAACAGTGGGGGGTGGTGTGGGTGGATCCTTCACCAATGGTTAATCTTCTTGATGCTGATCTCCTGATACTGAGTTCTCATGAGATCTGGTTGTATAACAAGTGTGGCACCTCTTTCCTCTCTCTGTCTTCCTCCTACACCTGCCATATGGAACATCTCATTGTCGCTTGGCCTTCTGGTATGGTAGGAGACTTCCTGAGTCCTCCCAGAAGCAGAAGCCACTATGTTCCCTTTACAGCCTGCAGAACCGTGAGCCAATTAAACCTCTTTTTAAAATAATACTACAGAAAATTTGTACTGTAGAGTGGAGCTATGAAATGCCCTCAAGGTTTTTTTCCTGATTTTTTACTATTAACATTTGGCTTCTTTTATATGCAAATATCTGAAGCCTTCTTGAATTTTCCCCCTGAAAATGGACTTTTTTTCTTTTACCACACTGCCAGGCTGTCACAACGATAGCTGAAAGTGTAGACGCAAGTTCAGAAGCAGGTTCAGAAGCTGGGTAACGACCGCAGGCTGCACAGTTTGGAGGGCTTGGAAGAAGACAGAAAGATGAATGAAAGTTTTGACTATTGTAGAGATGTGTTAAATAGTTATAATTAAAAGGGTGACTGAAGGATGGATAGTGAAGGCCAGGCTTAGAAGGTCTCAGATGAAAATGAACAACTTACTGGGAGCAGAAGCCAAGGTAACTTTTCTTTTGCCTTAGCAAAGAACTTGGCTGGATGGTGCCCCTGCCCTGGTGACCTGTGAAACTTTGAACTTGAGGGTGATGATTTAGGGTATATCTGGTGAAATGAACTTCTAGGCAGCAAAGCTCAAGAGGTATCTTGTCTGTATTGAACAGCCTGTGGTGTTCTGTGTGACCAAATAAATGACCTCAAGTTGAAACTTATATTTAAATGAGAAGCAGAGCTTTGAAGTTTGATTTGCAGCCTGCCCAAGAGGTCAAAAAGAAAAGCTGATTTTTAGTGGGAAAATTCAAGAAGGCTTCAGAAATGTGCATAAAATGGAGCCCAGTGCTAATAGCTAAGACAATGTTAAAAAGGCCTTGAAGGCATTTCAGAGACCTTTGCAGCAGAGCTTGCTGTCAAAGGCCCTGAGTTCTAGGACCAAAGAATGGTTTCCTGGGTCAGTCCCATGGTCGCGCTGCTGTGTCCATCCTCAGGACAGTGCCGCCTGCATCCCTGCAGCTCCAGCTCCAGCTCCAGCCATGGCTGAAAGATGCACAGGTACAGCTTGGGTCACTGCTTCAGAGGGTGCAAGCTGCAAGCCTTGGTGGCTTCCACATAGTGTTAAGCCAGCAGGTGCACAGGCTTGGGAGCCTTTGTCTAGACTCAAGAGTATGTAAGGAAAAACCTCAGTGTCCAGCTGGGCAGAAGCTTTTCCAAGAGGCAGAGCCTCATGGGAAACCTTTACTAGGGCAGTGCAGAAGGAACATACAGGGTTGATGCCCCCATACAGGGAGGAACCATTTTCCAGACCCCAGATTCATAGACCCACCAACTGCTTGCACCCTCAGTGTGGGAAAGCCACAGGCACTGACCACCAGCCCAGCCCACGAGGGCAGCTGTGGGGAAAGACCCTGCACAGCCACAGAAGCTGAGCTGCCCAAGGCCTTGGGAGCCCCGCCATCCACTCTTGTGCTCTAGATGTGGGATGTAGATCCTTTCAGGAAAGATGATTTGGAGCTGTAGGATGGAATGACTTTCCTGCTGGGTTTTTGACTTGCATGGGGTCTGCAAGTCCCATCTGTGTTTTGTGCTTCCCTCTGACAAATTTCTTCCTTTTGGCTGGGAATGCTTACCCAATGTCTCTACAATCATTGTACCTTGGAAGTAGTTAACTTGCTTTGTATTTCAGAGGCTCGAGCAGAAGGGATGGCAGCGTTGTCTCAGATGAGACTGGGCTTTGGACATTTCAGTAAATGCTGGAATGAGTTAAGACTTTGGGGGACTGTAGAGAAGGCATCATTGTATTTTGCAGTGTGACAACGATATGAGATGTGGGGGGACCTGGGTGAGAATAATATGATTTGGCCCTGTGTCACTACCAATACTCTCGTGAAATTGTAATGGGGAATGTTAAAGGTGGGGCCTGGTGGGAGATGATTTAATCATGGAGAAGAGTGGGGGTTGGAGGTGGGGGAGTGGGGAGAATAGGAGAGATTATTTTGTGGGTGGGGGTGAAAAATGAGGGGGGACGGATTCTTCACAACTGGTGAAACACTATCTCCTTAATACTGTCTGCGTGATAGTGAGTTCTCTTGATGATTATGGAGCTTAAAGATTGAGTGAATATTGTCCTGCTGGGGTTTGGACTGACATTTTTGTCATTTTTCTGGGGAATTTCTTCCCTTTGGATTGAGAAACCTTACTTAATGCTTGTACTATCATTGTATCTTGAAAGAAAAGAAATGCCTTTTGAACTCAGGGACTGATAGGCCGAAGGGACTGTAGCCTTGTCTCAGATGAGACTTTGAATTTTTTATATTTGGAATGAGTTAAGAATTTTGGAAACTTTTGAACATGCATGACTGTGTTTTGCTGTGTGAGAAGGACATGAGGTTCTGGGGTATCTGGGTCAAATAATATGGATTGACTGTGTGTCCATATAAAACTCATATGGAATTGTAATCCTTAATTTTGGGGCCTGGTGGTAGGCGATTTAATCTTGAATGGGAGGGGGTTCGGGGTGGTAGGAAAAGGAGGGGTAGGGTGGGGAGGAGTAGGTTGTCAGTAGGGTGGTAGGAGGATGGGGGGTAGTAGGAAGGGGGAGTAGCCTTCTGCAGAGGCAGAGGCTCATGGAAAACCTCTACTAGGGCAGTGCACCTGTGGCTTTGCAGGCTTTAGCCCCATGGCTGCTCTCATGGGCTGGGCTGGTGTTGAGTGCCTGTAGCTTTTCCATACTGAGGGTGTGAGCTGTTGGTGGGCCTATGAATCCGGGATCTGGAGGATGGTGGCCTCCTTTTTGGGGGCTCCAAGCCCATATTTTCCTTCTGCACTGCCATAGTGGAAGTTTCTCAAGAGGCTTGGCCTCTGCAGGAGGCTTCTGCCTGGAAACAGTGGGCGGTGGTGTGGGTGCAGGATCTTCTTGATGCTGATCTCCTGATAGTGAGACCTCATGTGATCTGGTTGTCTAACAGGGTGTGGTACCTCTTTCCTCTCTCTGTCTTGCTCCTACCCCTGCCATATGAAACATCTCATTGCCACTTGGCCTTCTGGTATGATTAGGAAGGGCCTGGTCAGTGTGGGCCTGGTCAGTGAACTAGTCAGTTGGGACTTGGTCAGTGAGGCCTATTTACTGGGGGAATGGTCAGCCAGGGTCTGCTTAGAGAGGGTCTCATTAGAGGGATCGAGTAGTGCAGGTCTTGGTGAGTGGGGACCTAGTGGCAGACAAATGTTTGGTGTCTGGTCAGTGCAAACCTGGGCTGCAGGGCTTGGTGAGTGGAGACCTGGTCAGCTGTGGCTTAGTGGTAGCCTTGTCAGAATGGGCTGGGTCACTGGTGACCCGGTCAAGGGGTGCTATTCAGTGGAGGCCTGGTCACATGGCACCTAGTCAGCAGGGCATGTCCTCATCAGTGAGACCCTTGTCAGTGGGACCCTGGTCATGGCAGCCTGGTCAGGTCAGTGGAACCTAATCAGTGGGGGCCTGGTCAGAGAGGACTTGATCAGTGGTGGCTTTTGTAGCACTGGTCTATGGGGTGACCTGGTCAACGGGGGTCTGAGCGGTACATGCCTGTTCAGTGGTGCCTAGTCACTAGGTTCCTGGTCGGGGCATCTGGTCACCTCAGGCCTGGTTAGTAGGGACCTGGTCACTGGCAGCCTGTTCCCTGGAGACCTGGTCAGTGGGGCTTCATCTGTGGGGCCAGGCAATGGGGTCATGATTGGTGGAATGTGGTCAGGGAGGTCTTGTCAGTGAGGCCCTGGTCAGTGAGGCCTTGTCAGTGAGGTCCTTGTCAGTGGGGTCCTGGACACTGTGGGCCTGGCAGCGGGAATCTAGTTAGTGGGGCCTGGTGATGGGGGCCTAATCAGTGAGAGTGTGGTCAGGGAGGACCTGATGTGCGGGATCTGGTCAGCAGGGACCTGGTCAGTGGGGCTGCTGAGCACTGCTGGGAGGTGTCAGGGGAAATGCATGTTATCAGGGGCCCTATGGACAGCTGGGATGGCCCAGTGGTGTCCAATGGCCCAGTCAAAAGTGGACAAAGCAGGTGTTTGGATGGACCTGGGAGATCTTGCTCAGAGATTCTGAAAGAACAAAGGTAAAGGAAGGGCCAGAGTGGCTAGAGAGATGGTAACAGTCTATGGGCTGCACAGGATGGAGGAAGCCAGGGAACAGGCAGGGTGGGCAGTAGGGGTGCAGGGAGAGGCAGGTGCATGCTGGGAGGTCGGACCCTGTGAGGGCTGTGGGGGCGTCAGGTGGGGTGGGCTCCAGGTGCACTCTCAGTGTGCACTGGGCAGGTCTCGGTCCAGGCTCTCTGGACCCTGGTCGGGTGATGTGGTCACTCCCTGGGGGACTGCTGTCAGGCCTAGCCACCCACCCTTGGCAGCACTGTCCCATCTCAGGACTGGACTTTCTCAGATCCTGCAGAGGGCACAGCCTCCAGCCCAGGAGGGGCAGCCCCTTGGTGCAGCCCAAGCTCTCCATGGGCCTGGAGCATCCCTGCCAGCCCTGCGCTCCCTCTACTCCCAGGTCCCGCTTTTCAAGTGTCAGCCAGCAGAGAGGCTCCGTCCTCCCTTCCCTATGTGTCTCCTGGGCTAAAACTTGGGGCGCATTGGGACAGGGATGGTGCTTTCCTCAGGCCCATTTAGGGAGGGGACTGGCTCCCAGCCTGGCACAGGTCCTCAGCTCTGCCTTGGTTGCCTTAGAGTGACATGGATCAGTCAGTGCCCTGAAGGTAAATGGAAGAGACTGTCCCTGCTGTGTGGGAGGCTGGTCTAGGGATGGAGGACTTGGCAGGTCCTCCCAGTCTGTCAGGCCTGGACAGCACTGTCCTGTCTCAGGACTCAGAAAATCCGGTCTTGGGATGGGACGGTGCTGCCCAGGGTGGGTGGCCAGGGCTTGACAGCAGTCCCCCAGGGAGTGACCACATCAGCCAACCAGGGTCCAGGGAGCCTGGCCTGAGACCCACCCAGTGCATTGAGGGTGCACCTGGAGCCCACCCCACCTGATGCCCCCACAGCCCTCGCAGGGTCTGACCTCCCAGCATGCACCTGCCTCTCCCTGCACCCCAGATGTCCACCCTGCCTTTTCCCTGATTTCCTCCATCCTGTCCAGCAGGATGGGCTGGTCAGTGGGATAGCCTCTGTGCACATTTTGTGGCAAGTAGGAGTGACACATCATTCCTGGGAGGCCCCGTGGTTCCTGCCAAACCCAACCCCAGAATTCTCCCTGAGGTGGTTTTACCAAACCCATAACCCAGAACTGCTATTGTGGTTTGGGGGTCAGCACCCACCAGTGCCAGGGCACTACTGGGAGGCTGGGACCTGACCAAAGCCCATGGTGTCTGTGGCCTGAGGACAGGGTGTCTTGGGGCCATGAGGACAGGCCACCAATGGCCGTTGGGTCATAGGGCCTGAGCCCCAGTGTTTGTCCTTCCCTGGCTCCTTCTGGTTCAGTCCCATCAGGGCTCTGGATCCCAAGACGCAGCATCCAAGGTTCCCTCCAGGAATCCTGGTGGCTCGGCTTACTTTGTCATGTTTCATCTGATAGCAAAAATATCAGATCGGCTGCACAGAAAAATGGCTCAAAGTGCTTAATGACCAGAAGAAATCTGGGAGTAGCAAGAAGGTAATGTGGAGAGGGGAGGACCTCCATGACTGGTGTCTGCAGAGCCAGGGGTACAGGGACCCAGTGCAGTGACCTGGCACCACCTGCCTCTCAGAGGGTGGGTAGCACACTGTCCTTACCTGGGGGACAGCAGGCCTGGTCACCGGCTTTTCTCCCTGTCCCTGCAAGCATCACATTGCTGGAAGAGAATCTCATGCCAGAGCTTGGACCATCCCTAGCTTGGGGGTTAGGGGTTGTCTCTTGGTGACCTAAATGAAAAAATAGGTCCAGATCAGAGTTCGTGATGCATAGCACTCACCCACTCTTTGAATCATGGGAGGGGAGGCCTAGTCCTAGGTAAACCTAAACTCTTTGAGGAACCACAGAGCCCAAGGCTGGAAACCTCCAGAATCCTCCAGCCCCTGATCCCCCCCCCCCCCGGGGACCTCTGTGGCCTGTCTCACCAGAGCACTCTTCTGTCTGTAGAGGTCTCAGGTGCTCTACAAGGGAGTCCCATTTCAGGTGTGGGGCTGGGTATGGTCACTCCTGCTGGATGTCTAGAAGGTGAAAACCAAGGACCTAGGAAAATACCAGATACAGCCTTTCCACCGTCATCCAGAGCAGGACAAACACGCCAGGTGGTGTCAGGAGCCCAGGTCTCCAGCTGGAGGGAATGTCAACCCTGCAGTGGGAGCCCATCATGCATCCTAGGCACAGATGCTAACGTAGGCACCGCAGGTAAGCTGGGTTTGGTACCCCTTCCTGGCTTCAGAAAGAAGCCAAACAAGGAGCTTTCTGCAGAATGAAACCTCTTTTCCATCCAGAAGCACTGCTGACTGTTTGGTGGTTGCTGTTAGGGCAGTGAGCCTTTTGTCCATTCTGAGATTAGGCTGGTTTCTCCTCTTGGCCCTGGCCTACAGACCATAAAGGAAAACAGCAAGAGGTCCCCAGCAAACATCTACAGATGGCCCTGGACATCAGCCACATTCAGAGAAACGTGTCATGTTCTGGGAGGGCTAAGGCATCGAGTAAGGCCTATGGGGCTGGAGGATCACAGGGCAGGTGGGGCAATCCAGAGCTGTGGGGGCTTCCATGGGAATTGGGAGGTCCCAAGGCAGAGGTAGGGGTTCCACAGGAGGAGTCACAGAGCCACCAAGGGCTCTCCTGGCCCAGGGAGCAGTCAACACCATGGACTGAACACCCACTGGGCTAAGCCCTGGGCCAGGCTGGGGCATGTGGGGCCAGGAGGCAGCTCAGAGTGGGAGACAGAGACAAGTGTGCTCAGAGGGCACCCATATCTGCATATAACGTGGTCCTGAATTTCTGGCTGGGAAGTGCTTCCAGGGTTTCATATGTGTTATGGAGATGCTTCCTCTCTCCAACCTCACCGTGCAGGAATCCCAGTGAATATATTGCCACCATCTTGGAGCTCAGTGCCCTCATAGTGTAACAGCACCAGCAGATCTGCCTGTGCACAGACTTCCTGTACTACCTCACTCCTGAGGGGAGATGCTTCTGCAGGGCCTGCGACCTGGTGCACAACTTTAGACACCATCATCCTGGAGCGGCACTGCACCCTCACTAGCCAGGGTGTTGATGACTTCCTCAATGCCAAGGCCACGTTCAAGATTTTCGACTTCAGTGATGCGTTTGTGCTGAGCAAGGTGGGCTTCTCCGGGATCTTAATTCAGGAGGTAGAATGCAGCTTGAGATCTAGTGTCTGATCAAAGAACTTGAACTTGACCTGGAGGGCTCTGGGGAGCCATGGAAGGTGCTGGATAAAGGAAGGGACAGTCATATATATTTTAGAGATGACTGTGGAAGGCTGCCTGGAAGGAGTGAACAAGAGCCAGGAGACCAGGGAGGGAGTTTGTGGGGCAGGTCTGCAGATGGCAAGGGAGGGATCCTGCTTGGATGAAAGGTCTTCAGGGACTGTCTCAGGTTACACTCAGGTGCCCTCAGAGCTACTGTGTTCAGGGTTCTTGTCTCCAGGATGAAAATAAGGAGGAGTTGTCAGACAAGGACATATACATGGAGGCTGGCATCTTCATGAGTGCCAATCGTGGTCCTGGTGTGGACTACTGTGGGAGCAGGGGTCTCTCCATCCAGGGACATGGTGGATGGACCCTACATCACTCCATTCTGCCCTTCCTTTCCCTCCCATTCTCCTGAGGGACTCAATGCATGGGCACTGTCCAACCTCTGGTGCTGAAGCAGCCAAGAGACCCAAGCCTGCCTTGCTGCCACTTAGGATATGACAGCACAGCCAGTGGCCTCTACTGGATCCTGGTACCCCTCAGAAGACACCCAGACACTGGGAGTGCTGCCACCTCGTGGTGCAAGAGTTCTGAGGGACGGCAATTCTGAAGACATTGAATGGTGGGTGCTGGGCCTCATGGCTGTTCCCCAGCCCCTCTCATTGGCTCTGCTCCAGGTGGAGAAGGGGGATGATGTCTCTGTCAGTTCTGCTGTTTTAGCCTAGAAGGAAAAGAAGCAGAGCCCAGAAGCAGGGCCTGGTACCCAGCCTGCCTAACAAGGGAGAATTTGTAGGCTTTGTGGACAGAAAGATCTGGGACTCCATGTCACCCACTAACTTGCTGAGACATTAGTAAAATCAGTTTTCTTTTCTGAACTATGTTTCTGTCATCTGTACATTGAGAGGAATTTCTTTTACTCCACGAGGCTGCTTGGAGAATTAGTGACAGTGTGTGTAGAGCATGTGCCACCCAGCAGGCATTTGGTGTCGAGACCACACCTCCTCCCCCTTCATTTTCAGCCTAAATTTGCATTTTGTTCTTAAGACTTTCACTCGCCTTAATTTTACTCTTTCCTCTGATTCCCACCTTATCGTCTATCCCATGGAGTCACTAGGATCTAAGTGGGTAACAGTCATGTATGCATGTATGTGTATGTACGTATATACTTTGTTGGTGTTGGAGTGTGGTGTGTGAATGTGTGTGTGTGTGTGTGTGTTGGAGTTACTGGGTGACTGAAACTGTACACATCAGGCTGTGGTTCTGCCCATTGCTGGAAGCGCTGTCAGGGGTCCTGCCCTCAACCCCAGGTCTGACCCTTGCAGCGCAGGCAGGACATTCTGGAGGAATCATGCCCTTGGGAGGATCCCTGAGGAGTGACTGGTGGGTATTGGTGGATAAATACCCCTGGTCCCTTGCTCTGGGTATGATGACTCTGAAGCACATGTTCTGTGCTGTCTCTCAGAGGTACCTGGCAGGGCTGAGTCCTGGCTGCCACAGTGGAAACTTTCTTGATGAAGGTCCCTTTAACTGCTGCATTCCTTTCCTGTCTCAGTTCCCCACTCCTCCACTGATGTTTCCTGGGATTAGCACCCTAAGGAAGAACTGGCAGTCGAATTAATATCCTAGCGTTATCTCCAAACAAAATTTTTGTATTTGAATCTTTGCCTCAGGATCTACTTCCAGGAAATTCAGACTAAGACACACATTTTTCTTTTGGCTCCTTGAATCCCCATAGGCCTGACATTTTGCTGTTTTTATCAAAAAGGAACATGAGGATCAGAGAGGGAAAGTCACTTGCCCAAAGTCACCCAGCTGAACAGTGGTAGAGTTCAACTTTGATCATGAGATGTCTGGCCCCCAGGTGGAGGCTTGCTCCTCTCCCATGAGACTCCTTCCTTATCAGGGTCAAATGAATGAATGGAGGATGTTAAAAGTGGGGTCTCTGATGCCTTTGCCAGATAAACCCCAGGCTCATGGCTGGCGCCTGTTTTCTCATTCTTACCTCATTAAGAGTAGTAATGAAAAACATGCTCAGTGCTGACCGTGTGCCTGGGGGTGTTGTAGGCACTCCACTTACTTTAATTCATTTAATTTTCACAATAACCTTGTTTTTACTTCTAGTTGTTATATGAAAAAACTGAGGCAAAGAGCAATACAGAGAGTTGCAAAAATTCATACCGCTGGTCCAGGTTTGAACCAAACAGTCTGCACCTGGAGTCCTTGTTTGTAACCATGGCACCCTGTCTTCACACATATCTCATCGTGGAGTTCCATCTTGTGTTAGGCATGGCACTGAGCAGCTTCTTTTAAGAACATAATTTGTAGCCAGGCGCAGTGGCTTATGCCTGTAATCCCAGCACTTTGGGAGGCCGAGGCGGGCAGATCACGAGGTCAGGAGATCCAGACCATCCTGGCTAACTTGGTGAAACCCCGTCTCTAATAAAAACACAAAAAATTAGCTGGGCATGATGATTGGCGCCTATAGTCCCAGCTACTTGGGAGGCTGAGGCAGGAGACTGGCATGAACCCGGGAGGTGGAACTTGCAGTGAGCCGAGATGGCGCGACTGCACTCCAGCCTGGGCGAGAGAGCAAGACTCCATCTAAAAAAAAAGAAAAAAACATGATTTGTAATTATGTAAATTACTAATTCTACTTCAAAGTGCCACACAGCCTTCATGTGATAAAATGAAGCAATTGGTAAGTCTAAGCATTGAGAAAAAACATTATTTTTCCCAGCTCCATTGCAACAGTTGGGACAGTGTTTTCTCTGTGCCTATAGAAACCTCAGCTAGTGTGCCGAGGAGTCTGGTCCCTTTGGGGAATGTGGCAGTCAGGTTCTGGCAGGGACCTCGAAGTGGCTGGTAATGTCTTTCATTACCACCACCACGTGACCTGGTCTTACGACCTGTTAGCTTCCTTCATCAGGCATGAGCACCAGGATGGCAGGGGCCTCATCTGTCCTGTTCCTCCTGTGGCCTGGGTCCTAGCACCATGTCTGGTACAGTGTAGGTGCTCAAGGGAAGTTTACTTTATAGAACTGTCTACCTGGGAGATGTTGCTGTTAGTCTAACCTGTACCATTTTGTAAACCTGCAGCCGTTTTGCACACCCTGGTCAGAATGAAACATTCCTTGGGAACTCGGGCCGTGAGAAGCATCCTTCCTGATCACCTGACTGTAGAAACATCCTTATCGCACCCTCCCGGGCAAAGGCCCAACAGCCTGACTGCAGGAACATCCTTGCCATATCCTGCCGGGCAGCAAGCTCTACCGCCCACACCCCTCCTTCCCAGTCCCATGATCACCCCAGCCTGTGAGAGGCAGTTGGTGCTGGCAGTAAGCTGGTTTCCTCCTCTGCAGGGTTTTGCTAGTAATAAAGGTGTTGCTGTTGAAGCCGTCAACTGTCTTTCTCTGTCTTTCTTTAACCCTTGCCTTGCCTTCAAAATCTAACAATAGCTCTACCTCTCCATTTTACCAAGGAGGATATGAGACTCAAGGAGAGCAAGAGACTTACCCAGAATTACAGAGCCAGTGAGTCACAGAACTTGAACTTGAGCTCAGTTCAGCTGAATCCAGAACTCATGTCTTCCTGAGAGTCCAGGGAAGGAAAGGTGGAACTGCAGCCAGTGGGTGCCCACAGGCTTGTCCTAGGAGACCACATGCAGCCTCCTGGGAATTGTGTCCTCTTGGGCACAAAAGAAGAACTGTTCACCTGTGCTGCATCAGCTAAGTGTCCCCATTGTCCCAAATTGTTATATTTTTTCACAGTTTCATTTTAGTAACTAGATTTCTCACAGCTCAGTGTTGAAAACAAAGCACAGAGGCATATAGAAAGCCGTGTTTGGGTTTTTCTCATTTTTTTCCCAGTGACTATACAAATGAATGTACAAAAGAGCACAAATACGCTCATACTTTTTATATAGAGATGAGGCCCCCCCCACTCATATTCCTCTGCCACTACCCTTCCTTTTTTTTTTTTTTTTTCTTTTCATGGGAGGACCTGTCTTTCAATACTAGTCCATGTGATTTGGGAAGGCTGACCCACCCTGGGCAATCAGATCAGCAGGGTAATTGATTCAGGAGTGGTCATGTGATCCAAGCTGGGCTCATGGAAGTCATCCCTGAACTTCTGATGAAACTGCTGGGAATGAGGTGCTTTCTTTTTATTGGCATATCTATTTGTAAGGAAGTAAGTGATGTGAACTTTATGGGGCCATTTTTGCTGCTCTCTCAAAACAGCTTGCCTGAAAAGCAGAGCTGACACAGGAAATGAAGGGACAGAATGAGCCTTGGTTGATATTAGTTGACCCCTGATCCCACTGAGACAGAAGCCCATCTACTCATGTAC
Source organism: Homo sapiens (assembly GCF_000001405.40). NCBI lineage: Eukaryota > Metazoa > Chordata > Mammalia > Primates > Hominidae > Homo > Homo sapiens. The sequence goes on along the minus strand of NC_000009.12, from coordinate 66,046,136 downwards.
ATTTTTAGTAAGTAAAGCCAAATAATTCAATGTTCTGCTGGATCCAGTTAGGTTTCAGTCACTTGCAGTCAAGAGAGTCCTGCATAATAGCACTTTCTGTGATGCTTAGGTCCCACCTGCCAGAGCTTTAGAACTGTAGAAGGGTAAAGTGAACCCAGGCAGTGCTGAGCTAGCCAATCTCCTGGCTAAGTGTGCAAAGGAACCCTGGAGTCACTACCACTTTGGTCTGAAAAATAGCCTTGCCTGCTGCTTACCATACAGCCATAGGGGTATTGCTTCCCTGAGCCTGTAGGCATTATACCTCTTTTTAAAAATGATGTTTATTTAAGAAAATGTTTTGTGTAGATGGTGTCTTGCTATGTTGCCCAGGCTTGTCTTGAATTCCTGGCCTAAAGTGCCGAGATTATAGGCATGAGCCACTTTGGCCAGCAGTATACTTCTATTAGTTGTCAATGCTTTTTTGTTCTGTAGTTTCTAGTGTGTGCTTGAGGATGCGTGTGTATGTGTGAGTTTATGTGTGTGTATGTATGCGTGAGAGTGTGTGTGTGAGTTTGTGTGTGTGTGTGTGTGTGTGAGTTTTTACCTTTATCTTGCAGGGTTATTGCAAGCATCAAGTGGGATCCCGTAGGCGCAGTACTCAGTCCAGTGACTGGCACATACAGTGAGCTCTCTCTGTTCTCTTTTCTCCTCCTGATTCAGAGAATGACTTAAGGATCTGTGACGTGTGCCAGTTTTCAACGCCCTGCATAAATAATGGGGAGTACTGTTGCCATAACTTTGCACTAGTTTTAATTCATTTTATCTGTTTAGCATGAGATACCTCAAAGTCCCTGAATAAATTTATGTCATATATATATATATATATACACACACACACACACATAAGTATGTTTCTTGAGAGCTGACAAGCTTAGTTTTGGTTCCCTGATGCTGCAGTAGAGGCCACTGTGTTCTGATTTTTGAGTGATGGCTGCCAGCTCTCCAAGTGTCAGTCAGTGAGGCATCCATGGGGGCAAGCGCCAAGGATGAGTGTGGCCAGTCAGCATCTGCAAGCCCGTTTTGTCTATCCTCTTTATTTTTATAATATGTTTTATTCATTTTTTAGGTTTATCATTTAATCTGTTGTAAACTTCTCTCCTAAAATGTTTCTTAGTTCTACTAGGGGTTAGTTTCATGAAACAAGTCCAGAAATAGTCCACGGCAGCCAGGGATACACAACATGCCATTGGGGAGGGAGAAATCTTGTAGATTGAAGGTTTTGTTGTAGGGACAATCTTTCCAATGGTCTTCAAGTTGCTAAACCCAACTCAGGGCATTTCATCCTATTTCCAGAGAGCAGCAAGCAGAGAAAGCAAAGGGAAATTGGTCAACAAAAAAGAGGAACAATAACTCTCCCCTTTCCAAACAGATTTTCAGAAATCCAAAGCAGTGAATTCTGCATTTCACATTGGCCAGGACTATAAGATTCGCTCACTACAGTTACGAGAAAAACTGGGAAACTCATTTAAAGACGTTAACCAGGGCCAGGCATGGTGGCTCATGCCTGTAATTCCAGCAATTTGGGAGGCCAAGGTGGGAGAATCACTTGAGCACAGGAATTTGAAACCAGTCCAGGCAACATAACGAGACCCAGTCTCTACAAAAACAAAACAAAACAAAAGCTGGGTGTGGCAGTGCACACCTGTTATGCCTGCAGTCCTACCTACTCAGGAGTCTGAGCTGGGAGATCACATGAGCCCAGGAGTTCAAGACTGCAGTGAGCTCTGATCATGCCACTGTACTCCAGCCTGGGAGACAGAGTGAGACCATTTTTCAAAAAAAAAAGTTATAAAATAATAAAATATGCATAAATAAATAAATAAATAAAGACATTTAAACAGTGCTCCTTGGAAAAAGTGAATCTATGTTCCCTTAGTGAAGAAGATGAGAATAATGGATATAGCAGGGAAATGGACAGCATTGGCCACATTAGACCAAAATGAAAGTCATAACAGGTACCCCAAATCAGTACCATTAAAACCACATAATGTGACCATAATGCAGTCAAATTGTGACCAACAAAAAACAAACTGACAAAAAAGGTATCATGGAGCATACGAATTCTAAATCTAAATTGAATGGAGCTCAGAAGGGCTTCCCACTGAAAATGAAACCATGTGTATGTAAATGAATTGTAACAAAGCTACTACATAGCAACATTAAGGTGGCAGAGCGGAAAGGTTGCTAAGACAGATATCTGTCATCTTGTACCATTTTTTAAGAAAGGAAAAACTACAAAATTATGAATTTGAGTTCTAATTGAGGGATAAGACAATGATAAAGTCAATAATTGTTAACGTTTACTGTGCTTCAGTCCTACCCTGTGCTCATTCATGCCCAATAAGTGAAGAGCTGGAACTGAAAGCTTTCTTATATTTATTCAATTGTAGTCTCCCTCCAGGGTGTGGAATCATGTATAAAGGAGGGATAGTGTTTAAAGAGGTATTTTCTGCATTTTTTACTTCCATAAGCAGTCTCTGCTGTGTGAGTTCTTGTATGAACTATGAGTCTGAGACAACACTGAGGCTTTTTTCATATTCCTTACTTTCATAGCTTCTCTCCAGTGTGAGAACAAATATCTACTCACGATGAATGAAGATGAAAGGCTTTCCATAGACTTTACCTTCAGAGGGTTTCTTTTCACACTTCTGTAAGATAGGAGAGTTCAGGAAAGATGTTCTCATGCATGTTAACTCATTGAGCTCCCTTCCAGTATGTCCTCCTCACATGTTCAGTACGGTGAAAAATTAATGATGATTTCCCTGCCACTCACAGGGCTTCTCACTATTGTGAATCTTAAGATGGCTTTTAATTCTGGTGACTTTGCAAAGTCTTTTTCACATTTATCACATTTATAGGGTTTCTTCCAGTGTGACTCCTTATATGTGCATGTTTTGAGCCTTGCTGAAGGCTTTCCCACATTCCTTACATCCATAGGGCTTCTCCAGAATGTTCTTTCTTAAATATTTATTAAGGTGTAGGGAATATCTAAAGCCTTTCTCACTTTTGTTACATTCATAAGGTTTCTCTCCAGTGTGAAGTTTCATATGTCTCATAAGAAATGACTGATAACGTAAAGGCTTTCCTTCATTTGGGACATGTATGGCTTTTCTCTCCAGTAGTACTACTCCTGTGTGGACCAGAATTTGGAGCAGGACAGAGGTTTTTCCACTTTGATGATTCTTATTCTTCATCTCTACAGAACAGAACTGCATCTGGACAGCATGGACTGAGTTATTTCTGAAGATGTTTTCACATTGAGTAAAATTATACATTTTCTCCCTAACATGAGTTATGTGTGCCCTAAGGCACATGTCTTCACTACAGGCTGATTCAAATGGACTCCACTCATGAATGTTTGTCCTTGTATTAATTTTACTATGTATATGATGGACATTGTTCTGACTGCCTGTCCATGTGTTTGATTTTAGCTGTTTTTCTCCCATATGAAACCCAGTGAATGTTGCACTTCAAGACTATCATGTTGATTGTTTTCATATATATTACTTTATTGCAATAGTTTTTGGGAAACAGGTGGTTTTTGGTTACATGGAAAAGTTATTTAGTGGTGATTTCTGAGATTTTGGTGTACGCATTACTCAAGTAGTGTACATTGTACCCAATGTGTAGTCTTTTATCCCTCACCCCCCTAACCTTCCCTCTGAGTCCCCAAAGTCTATTAAATCATTCTTATGCCTTCACTCTCTCATAGCTTAGCTCCCACTTATAAGTGAGAACATACAATATTTGTTTTTTATTCCTGAGTTACTTCACTTACAATAATCATCTCTAACTCCATCCAGGTTGCTGCAAGTGTCATTATTTGATTCATTTTTAGGGCTGAGTAGTATTCCATGGTGTATCTATAACACATTTTCTTTGTCCACTCATTGGCTGATAGACATTTAACCTTGTTACACATTTTTGCAACTGTGAGTTGTGCTGCTATGAATGTGCATACATGTGTCTTTTTCATATGACTTCTTTTCCTCTAGGTGGATACCCAGGAGTGAGCTGATACTAATTTAAATAGAGATAATTATAAAATAAAGTAATGACCAAGTGAAAATTACCATTTCTAGTAGTAAAACAAGATACCTTTATTGAGTAAAGCTTGAACATATTTCTGCCCACATAAAGGACATATAACTTTTGTATTTTGTATAAATGATATGCTTTATCTCACTAGACTCATCCTATGGTTAATTGGTGGGGGATGGTTGGAGAAAGTAACATATCTTTAAATTTAGCTTCTTGATTCACATTTTTCTTCAAGTTTCAATAGCTCTCTTTTAGTTAAATGCCTCCAGGAAGATGTTCAGATGCTTTGGGCTTTCTGTGGCCTCAAGGCAAAGGGAAAGTGAATCTGAAGTCTCTTATTGTCTTCATGCTGTTCTCTAGACCTCTGCTTTCTCTGTGGCAGAGGGTCTCTCTGGTCTGATCGCTGGGGCCATTGCATTGCTATTCTCTGAGGTGAAGCTTGTACTCTCGCATCAGAGTACAGTGGAATTCTCTTGCTTTATTAGCCTCCTGTTGGCTTGGATAAGATCTTCAGATCTCTGTGAGTTTCAGCATCCTTCTTCCACAGTATGTCTGGAATGGTCACATGGGACTTTTTGGCAGGATCATTTTGCCCCTTGGTGCAGTGGCCCCATGTTATGTATGTTAGTTTTCAACTCAGTTAAGTTGCTTCTTATTTACCTCTATGACACTTCCACATTGCATAGATTCATAGGTCTAGTAGGAGGTTTTTTATATAAACCAAGCTGCCAGGAACAGAAGAATGCTCGCACAGTAAGTCAGACAAACCAAATTTATTACTCACAGAGGAGCAGGAAGAATCAGCAAAACCGTTAAGTTCTATGGCAAGCCTGACCCTTGAGGTCAGAAAAGTTGCCCAGGGTTGGTGGAGTCTCCTCTGCACATGCCCCACTGTGTACTGCGCTGAGGAACCCCTGAGTGCTCCGCCCTAGGTTTCACACCCCACGTGCACCTTGGCTCTCTGAGTTTAAGGGCTGCAGTAATATCCTGTCCTAGGAACAACAAGGACAGAGCCCAGACTGTCCCAGACGGTTTCTACTCATCTCAGGATATTGTCTTCTTGGAACATTCTAAAGTTATTCTGAGAACTAGGAGGTACAGAAAGCTGAGTTGGTCAAGGCCATTCAGGTCTTGTCCTCCTGACCACAGAAACAAAGTAGACTATAAAACAATAAGCATTGGCAGAAGTAATCATATTGCATTATGATAGCCATTCTTCATTATGATAAAAAGAATTTATCCTCCAAAAAGTTATCTGAGTTCTAAATCTGAATGAACCCAGCAAAACATAGATTTGGGACTGTTGTTACAGTTTAATAAAATATATACTAAACCAATAAATTTAATTAAATACATAAACTCTAGAAGTATAAAAATCATAAAGGCTCATTTCAGTAAAGGTTGGCATACAAAGTTATCAGATGTATGACAGAGTAATAGAAAATGTTGACACTGCTTAGGGCAAAGTGAATATGATTGATATTCAGATGAACAAAGAAGATAGTAAACTCAATAGAAAAATGGGCCAAAAAATTCAATACATTGTTAACAATCTGACAAATGCAAATGTACACAAATAAAATGAGATCTGTATTTTCACCACTTGCTTAGAAAATATAAGAATCCTAGATAACATTGAGTGATGAGGATATGAGGAAAACAAGCTTTATGGGCAATGGATGGAAAATTAAATGGTTTTAACCATTTCAGAAAATAACATGACAGGACCCATTTGAAAGTATGCATACTCTACAACCTGTCTCGATGATGGGTACATATCCCTGATATAATTTGGATGTGTGTCCCCTCCAAATCTCATGCTAAAATATGATCCCCAATGTTGGAGGTGGGGCCCAGTGAGAGGTATTGGATCATGGGGTGGATGCCTTATGAATAGCTTAGCACAGGAATGTCCAACCTTTTGGCTTCCCTGGACAGCATTGGAAGAAGAATTTTCTTGAGCCACACATAAAATACACTAAAAATAGCTGATGAGCTAAAATAAATACATAAATAAATAAAAATAAAAAAAACCACACACACACACAAACACACACACACACACACACATACACAAACTCTCTTTTAACAAAGTTGACAAATTTGGGCCACATTCAAAGCTGTCCTGACCTGCATTCAGCCCACAAGCTGTGGGTTAGACAAGCTTGGTTTAGCACAATCCACTTGAGTGAGTTCTTCTCAGTGAGTTCATAGAGATCTGATTGTTAGAAACAGCCTGGGACTGCCCCCTTCTCTCTCTTACTCCCTCTCTGACCATGTGACACACTGGCTCCCCTTCACCTTCTGCCATGATTGTAAGCTTCTTGAGGCCTCACCCAGAGCAGATAGCATTGCTTCCTGTGCAGTCTGCAGAACCCCGAACCAAGATAAACCTCTTTTATTAAAAAATAAATAAATAAATTACCCAGCATTGGGTATGTCTTCATAGCAATATAAAGAGACTAACATAGCCCCTGACAAATTGTAACACATGACCAAAAAGTGTTTTCATAAGGATACCATAAGGAAGTGAATATTTCAGTAGCAGGATATCAGTGTGAATTCTACTGCAAGACTGGATAGGGAAAATGTGGTTGATTCATTTTATTGAAAACTATGCAGCAGCTACAGGGGAATAAACAACCAAAAATAACCTACAGCAATGTGGGAATGTATGAAGGATGTTATGCTCTGTGAAAAAATTAGAAATAAAATTAGATTTATAGCACAATACTCTTTAAGCAAAATGTATACACTCACGTATATACACATACACACACTCAGAAAACAACCTTCTTATCTTGTAAGAATTCTTTAAGAGTAAAGAACCTATATCAAACACATTAGCATGCCTGTCTGTGACAAGGGATAAGGAATAAAAAAATGAAACAAGTAAAACCAGAGAAACTTGTAGGAAACAATAATGATAATGTCTCATGAAGTAAAGAATGTGATTAATTTTTTGCAACTGTGGTATAAAAACAGATTGTCAAAATCAAATGTAATGAGCTTTAGCATAGAGCTTATTGTAGGGAAAAAATCAAATTTAAATACTTAGTTTATATAGTTTGATGCAGGAATGGTCTCCTATGTGAAGTAGTAAGATACACTAAACAATCCATGGGTGTATGGGAAGAAAATACTCAAAATGCTACTTACATTTATTTTTTACTCATTTTTCCAACAGTTTAATATCTAAATGCTAGGGGAGGCCAGATGTGATGACTCCCTGTCATTACACCTGTAATCCCAGTGCTTGGTTGGAGAGGGTGGGGGTCAAGGCAGGAAGAACACTTGAGGCCAAGAGTTCTAGACCAGCCTGGGAAACCTAGTCGGTTTTTGTGTCCACACACAAAAAAATTAAAAATTAGCCAAGCATGATGTCATGCACCTGTAGTTCCATGTACTGGAGAGGCTGAAGCAGGAGGATCACCTGAGGGAGGAGTTTGAGGCTGCAGTGAGCAATGATTATTCCACTGCACCATAGCCTGGGTGACAGAATGAGACCCTGTCTCTTAAGTGGAAATAAGTAAGTGCGAGGAGAACACGTGATCTTTCTAGTTTTCAGTCCCTCTTGCAGTTCCCTGTAGATTATTTTGCTTATTCCCAATGTTCCAGCTGTCTGCACATTGTAGGCTTGTTCTTCTACCTACTCAAGGCCCCAGATCCAGCAAATGTCCTCAGAGATGGGCTCTGCTGCTAATCTGTGATCACCAAGGAAGGGCTTGTTTTTCTCTGAAATTTAGTTCATTGACACTTTAGACCCACAATTTTTTGATGGCTTTAAACAAAAAAAAAATAATTTTTTAAAGTTCATCCGATATTTTCTCATTATGGCAGGAGCAATTGTCTTTGGTAACTTTATTTTAATTGGAAGAAGAATTTCTAACATTGGCATTGTAATGAGGTTTTTGGTCTTTGACCCTAGTGGAGCAATTAAATCCACGTCTATTTCTTCTGTTATGCATGTATTGAAGGATCAAATGAGAAAATATATGTAGAGTGCACAAAGTGTCTAATGTACACTAGTGATATACAGTTGTATTATGACTACACACCGAAAACACATAATCAACCAGATTGCTTCCTGAGAACTAGAGCCAGGCTTTTCCAATGATACTTAACTGTCAAATAATTCTATTCAATTTTTCATGGGACTTAGGGTTTGGTCCATGAAGTGCTGCCACAGTATGCAAATCAATTATATCAATAAATGTGCTAATTTATTCAGCAAACGTATTCTTGTAGCAATAGTTACTCAATGAAAGAAGTAACATATTTAATTTCTAGTAGAAGCTACTTCTCTCATTGTGAACTCGGTACAAAGCTTGAATGCTCTAGCTATTTTGAGGAGCATTAATAAGCATTACCTAAAGAAGATGATATATTCCCTAGACAACAAGAACTCTTATTTCTCTTTATCTTCTTTTTGATAAATGCTACAGTCTCTTGGTAGTGAATCCAGATTCTGTGGTGTGGGGAAAAGAAAGAGAGATCAGACTGTTACTGTGTCTATGTAGAAAGAAGTAGACATAAGAGACTCCATTTTGTTCTGTACTAAGAAAAATTCTTCTGCCTTGAGATGCTGTTAATCTGTAACCCTACCCCCAACCCTGTGCTGGCAGAGACATGCACTGTGTTGACTCAAGGTTTAATGGATTTAGGGCTATGCAGGATGTGCTTTGTTAAACAAGTGCTTGAAGGCAGTTTGCTTGTTAAAAGTCATCACCACTCTCTAATCTCAAGTACCCAGGGACACAATACACTACACACTACGGAAGGCTGCAGGGACCTCTGCCTAGGAAAGCCAGGTATTGTCCAAGGTTTCTCCCCAAGTGATAGTCTGAGATATGGCCTTGTGGGAAGGGAAAGACCTGACCATCCCCCAGCCAGACACCCATAAAGGGTCTGTGCTGAGGAGGATTAGTAAAAGAGGAAGGCCTCTTTGCAGTTGAGATAAGAGGAAGGCATCTGTCTCCTGCTCGTCCCTGGGCAATGGAATGTCTCGGTGTAAAACCGGATTGTATGTTCCATCAACTGAGATAAGGAGAAAACTGCCTTAAGGCTGGAGGTGAGACATGCTGGCTGCAATACTGCCCTTTAATGCACCGAGATGTTTATGTATGTGCACCTCAAAGCACAGCACCTTTTCTAACCTTGTTTATGGCACACAGACATTTGTTCACATGTTTTCCTGCTGACCCTCTCCCCACTATTACCCTATTGCCCTGCCACATCCCCCTCTCTGAGATGGTAGAGATAATGATCAATAAATACTGAGGGAACTCAGAGACTGGTGCCAGCGTGGATCCTCCATATGCTGAGTGCCGGTACCCTGGGCCCATGTTTCTTTCTCTATACTTTGTCTCTGTGTCTCTTTCTTTTCTCAGTCTCTCATCCCACCCAATGAGAAACACCCACAGGTGTGGAGGGGCAGGTCACCCCTTCATGTGGGATGTACAAAACAATCCTCCACAAATTTAAATTTATGCCTATGATCATGTGTAATGAAATTAGCCCTCAAGAGCCAACTTGAGACCATGTTCAGAATGAAAGCTTCAGAAACCCATGGCAAACACATGAATATAAGGCCATTTTAGACACAGTCCCCAGATTACCTCTGAATTCAGTGGGGAAAAAGTGACAAGGAGCAATATTTAGGGCATCTAGGATAGTGCTACCTTCTCATCCCTAACATAAGCCAAATTAAAACTTCATACTAATGCTCTGAAGCCTAATAATAACTAGTAAGGTTTATGTCTGTCAAAAAGCCACTGCAGGCTACTGTTAAAACCAGCTACACAACCATCTGGAAGACATTTGCCTCCTTCTGGTTAAAAACAGTCCCATGTCTACTGATGATGTAGTTAAGGTTGTATCAAGATCTTCTATCTCTCAGCAGGGATGTGGTTTCCCAAATGCTAATATTTGACCAACAAAAGTTTTGCAGCCAGAGTTTGTGCAAGTATTGGTAGATAGAAAATACAAAATCCAACCATTTCTCATGAATGATTAAACAAAAAAAAGAATGCAAGAAGCCTGTGTGCATGTGCGTGGGTATATATGCATGTGTGTGTGTGTATTCAGGTTTGTTAACTTTATTAACTTTGTTTAAAATTTAATTTAAAAATTAGATTGGGGAGTAAATATCATTCTTCCTCTCTCATCATAAAACTTTTGGCTCACGGGATTCTGACATTCCATCATGCTTGGAAAAGTTGGATTTATGAAACCAGTTGCTGGACTGAGCCTGCCTATGCAGCTCTTACATGGGTGCTCCCTATTTTGTGCACAAGCATCCTCAAGAGACCAAAGATAGTGATTGAGAGAGACGGGCTCTGAAGTCTTTTTATTTCAACTTCTTGGAATCACCACCTTGTTAATGAACATCAAAATCTTTTGTGTCATTTATCAGATTAATTACTTTTTCCATAAAAAGAGTGAGTTGAGAGGATAACAAGAAACTCCCTGTCCCTGCTTCATCCTGAAAACAGGAGAATCAATATCTTAACTCTGTTTTTGAGAGATGAATGGGTAGGTCAACATTGCTTGGCTATTTGTCCTTCCATTTGGGACAGATTACCACTGCACTTTCCCCTCAATCTCTAGAATCATGGCTTATAGAAAACAATTTTGTACTGAATTACTAAATGCATCAAAACTTTATTAGACTTATTATCAAAGAGCATGCTCAGATGTATCTATTATAAATAGTAATAAAAATATAAAAACCTAAAAACAATATTATAAATAACAGAGAAAAGCTATGCACTGTTATGAAAGCCTTTCATATTTAGGGATATCAGGTAAGGTTTCCCTTGGTGGGGAAGATGAAGAGCAAACTAAAATAAGAGTAAGAGCTGGCTGGGTGTGGTGGCTTACACCTGTAATCCCAGCACTTTGGGAGGCTGAGGCAGGTGAATCACGAGGTCAGGAGATCGAGACCATCCTGGCTAACACTGTGAAACCCTGTCTCTACTAAAAATACAAAAAAAAAAAAAAAAAATTAGCCAGGTGAGGTGGCAGGCGCCTGTAGTCCCAGCTACTCTGGAGGCTAAGGCAGGAGAATGGCATGAACCTGGGAGGTGGAGCTTGTAGTGAGCTGAGATCACACCACTGCACTCCAGCCTGGGCAACAGAGCAAGACTCCATCTCAAAAAAAACAAACAAAAAAACCCAGTAAGAGCTAATTATATAAATCTGGGATGGTAGTGGGAAAAGCATATGAGTAAGAAGACCAAAGTCCAGGAGACAAGAAGAAATACATCTGAATCATTTAGTTCAACAATGTTCATGCCACAAGAGGGGGGAAAGAGAAAGGAAACAAATTTTGTACTGCTTGAACCCATTTTTGGACTCTTGCTATTTATCCTAGTACTAATGTGAAGTCTTTGGGAGTTTTTAAGCAAAGCAATTTACAATGCAAATTGTATTTACATTTCAAGTAATCATTCCAGATATAGCACAGAACCATTTTTGGAGAGAGAATCAGGGAGAGCACTTTAGAGGTGTGCACCATAGCCCAGGTGAGAGAGTGATGGGCTGGAATCCATGATGGCAATGAAGATAGAAAGAGAAAAATTCATTCAAGAAATAGAGAGAAGGTAAAATCTGACAATACTTGGTGATTTGAAATGGAAATGTGAAGAAGAAAATGTCAAAAATTAATTGAGATGTCAGGTGTAGGTAGAAGTTGACATCATTTGCTGCAAAAAAAAAAAAAAAAAACACACAAGAAGAATACCACTTTTAGTGAAAGAGACATCTAGGTTGCTTAAAGTATGAAACAGGACTTTTCCAATTTCATGCAGGTAAATTAGGAGGGCTCAACCTTGAAGCACAAAAGATGGTGATTATGGTAACACTGGCCTTGAGACCAGGACCTGTATCAGACTCTAGAAAGATCAGTGTGATTTGGAGCTGCTACAGACTGGAATATTTCAGTGAAAAACAAAACAAAACAAAGCATTCACTCTTATTCTTGCAGTCTTGTTTTATTTGAAGGAGTAAATAATTGGGCCTTATTCAGAGCTGCAAGTTTTGGTAAGCCCTAAAATGAACAAAAAATTGTATAAAATGGAAACAATTCACCAATTCTATTCACTTAACATTTTCTGATTTTCTTCCAGGTTTAAGTATTATGATAGGCATTGTACAGTAATTACTTTATTGACCATCTTCTCTGGTGTTTGTATTAATACACAAAGAAATCTAACTTTAAAATTGTAGCATTGCTTTCAGCTGACACCAATCATTACCCGTTATCCCAATTCATTAAATCAGATTGTTTCAGCAATAAGTTACATTTTGAAGTTAACGAAATACTTAAAAGGCTGTGATGTTGTAGCTGCAGATGTAGTATGCAAAACACATTTGATTCATGTCGTTCAGCACAATTTCATCTTAAAATCTTATCTACAAAACATTTTTACACATCTATTATTCTCTTGCTTTATGTAAAGTTTATGTCATTTATCTCTATCAAATTAAGTTACATTTCTAGTTTTTCTCAACCATAAAAGACAGCATTAATTTTTACAAACATTAATGATGAACTATATTCACTCATAACTATTTATGTCTAAGTCATCTTAGATTTACTGAACAATTTCTGAGTAACTAATGGCTAGCCTTTTATTATTCTATGATGATAAACATTTTTACAGTATCCAGGCTTCAGACATATTTTTGAAAACATTTCTATATGGGTCAAAATTTAAATCAGTTGTAATATGTGATCCACTCAAATATATTCTCCAGGATGCGCTATTAAAATGAAATACCGAGGTGGTTCCCCAAGACACCAATTTAAAGTGTATATGTGCAGTGCAGGGTTACTGGACCAAGGCACAGTGTAAACAGTGAAATTTTATTTTTTGTTTTCTTTTTCCTAAGATGTTTCTTATTCCCCATTATATAAAAATATGTATTACAGGCAAAGAAAAATTAACACGAATATAAGTAAATATAAAGTATATTCACATTAATATCAGCTTTGCTTTATCTATTAAAGGATGTAACACACTTGTGGTTTTCAGGACCTTGTAACTCCTGGTTCATTGGAAAGCATAGAAATTCTTCAGAGCCTCAAGAGTTGTGTTTAACACATTATTTAAATAGTGTCCAACCACTAGTTAGATAGCTTAGCACTCAAATAGCCTTTGAAATCTCTGTAGACTCACCTCAATTGAGGAGTCCTGATAATTTACAGAAGTGTGTAGTGCACTAAGAGATCCCTGATGGATAATGTCTTTGCCTGTGGAGTGTTTTATGTGTTGATCCACTGGAGTGTGTGTGTGTGTGTGTGTCTGTGTGTAGGTGGGTGAGTATGGGTGGGTGTGGATTGTGTGTGTGTGTATGTGTTTACACTGTGGTATGTGTCTGTTGGGGTGCCACCATTTGGGATTTGGAAAAGTGAGGACCATAAACTTGTCAACATTCCTACATGCCTGCTTCATAAGAAGTGTACTGAACATGGCCAAAAGTAACTAAACCAAGTAAACAAATTAGACATTAATTAAATTTAATGCTGGGCGGGAAAGAAGTATTCAAGGCCAGGTAAAATGAAGAAATATAACCAAATGAATGAAATTTTTAGATTGATTCATAGAATGAGACAGGAATATTTTTTAAAATTTGTAGTTTCTAATGAATAACAGCATATAAAATAAGAATCATATGGCTGTCAATTGACTAAAAACTGTACATAAGATTTGAGCTAGTGAAACAACCATATATGATCTTCTAATTCCACTTTTCTATCTCAAGAATGACTTGTTAAAATGATTTTTTTTTTGAAATTTTACATTCTCATCTTGAAAGAGCTTCACAAAACTTACATGAGAATCTGGATTGTCATAAGAGGTCTGATTTTTTAATGGTATGTTTGTATTTTTGTTATGTACATCAATGTCAAGCATTCGTTTCCTGAGCTGTTCTCTACAACACAATTTAACTTGTAATGGACACTCAGTAAATGGTCGGTTGGATATTCAAATCAACACCTTAGTTCCATCAATTTTCACTTCATATAAAAATGCCTGATCTTCTATACTCATCAATGAAACAGAGAGAGATGAAGGAGGGAGAGCAGTTGAGACTGAGAGGATGACAAGCAGACCTCATTCTGCAGTGGATTTCCTACACTCTCCACTTCTGAATGCTTGGAAACACTTGCCATGCTCAAAAAATATTGGTATTTCCTAGGCAGCAAATGGGAGTTAAAGAAAGTCCATATTTCTATATTACAATAACTTACACTATAATACACAGATGGCATACATTTCTAAGCTATTTCAGTTCACAGAAAATGTAGATAAATTTAGGTGAGCAAGATGTAAGAGAAGGGTTAGTAATCAAGCTGAGTGTGATTGTGAGATTAAATCTAATATTATCTTATACAATTATTGTATAATTGTATCAGTTGACATATCTGTTGAAACAGAAGGTGGGAGAGTTTTGCATGCGCTTCCGAAATGTACTGGATGATGTTAGGAGAGAGGCGGGTCAACGTGGCTAGGCCATAAGTGTTTACTAATTGAGGCTTAGGAAAGTTAAGCTCCTAACCAGAGACTGGGAGATAGAGGCGCTAAAGTGTATAACATTTATATTTAATATATAATTAATAATACATAATAAAGTCTTAAAATGCCAGTTTTAAGTCTTTTCATTTTCTTCTTAAAAAACAGAGGTTTTATTGCGTTTGGTCCACAGTCGGTATTTCACATTATCTCATAGCGCAGGGCGCCTGGGTGGAGGGCTCTGTGCAGTACTTGGCGTGGCCTGGAGCCGGGAGAGATAGAGCAGTAGACCTGGTCAGGCCCGGAAGGGGAGAAGGAGGGCCGGGGCTCCTTAAGACCTACTGAGGGCCTGGGCGCGGTGGCTCTCGCCTGTCATCCCAACACTTTGGGAGGACGAAACAGGCGGATCACATGAGGGAAAGAGTTCCCGACCAGCCTGGCCAACATGGTGAAATCCCGTCTCTACTAAAAATACAAAAAATTAGGTAGGCGTGGTGGTGGGCGCCTGTAGTCTCAGCTACTCTGGAGGCTGAGGCAGGAGAATCGCTTAAGCTGGGAGGCTGAGGTGCAGTGAGGCGAGATTACTCCACTGTGCTTCAGCCTGGGCGACAGAGTGAGACTGCATCTCAAAAAAAACAAAAACAAAAACAAACAAAAAACCCTACTGAGGGCCACGGGGGTGGGGGAGCTAGGATGGAGAGGGGTCAGACTTAATCCTGGCAACTCAGAATTCCACTAACTTGTACGGGTCTCAGTTTCCTCACCGGGCCCCAGCATAGGTCTGAGGGTCTGAGGTCTGTCGGTCTGAGGGTCCTAGGGAAATCCAGCCACTCAGGAGCCTGAGATATTTTAGCATCATGGCTGGGCCCCCTCTCCCAGGGGACTCATTTCCCAGCACCCTCTCCACTGTCTCCGCCCCATTCCTCGGAGAAGAAAAAAATTTTCTTTCTTTTGTTAATACTTCCTGAAACTTTTGCAGGTACAGAAACCACAAACTGATCGGCTGACAAAAAGGGGAAGAGGAGAGGCAACCAGAAACCTTCGGGGACTGGTTCCCTCCATGCCCAGGTCTCTTCTCCCCAGCACAGCTCAGCCCACAGCCTGGAAGTGCCAGCGGGGACCTTCACCCTACACGCATCAGGATACGGCCTTGATCCCTTCCCCCACAGCCCGGTGTCTCAGTCCTGCCAAGGAACCAAAGCAAGGGGAGGTGGGGAAAAAACCCTGCTGCCTGATCCCACGCTGCCACTCACAGACCCTCGGTTGACTGGCAGCACTGAACAGGTTAAAAAAAAAAAAGATGAAAACACAGAAAAACCCAACACCCAGACGGGGAGACCATGTGTGGAGAGAGCGTGCTGGGAGCCTCAGTAGCCGGTCTCCTCCTGGTAGTAAGGGGCCTCCCCTGGCCCTGGGCAGTTGCCGGCGGAGGGAGCCCCGTGGGCCACTGGGCCACCTGGCTAGTACTTGGGTTCGTATATTTGCCGGCCTAGGCCAAAGACCTGGCCGCTGTGATTGGCAACCTGCGTGTAGCCCATCTTCAGGGACATGGAGGAGTTCTCACACTTGTCGATTCCCAACTTGGTGTCATAGATGTGCCGCTGGGTCCCGGGAGCCGTCATGCCCACCTGGCTGGCGCACTTGTTTGTACCCATCTGGAGGCTGATGGTCGAATTGTCCATGGGGGGCAGGATGCGGTTCTTGGGGTCGTAGAGATGCCTCCTCGTGCCATATGCGGTCATGCCTGACTGGCTGGCACATTTGTTGGTAATCTGCAGCCGGATGACGCACTGGCTGGCCTTCATGGTGGTGTCGTCGAAGTTCTGCTTCTCTGAGTACTTGTCACGGATGTCCACCCCGCTCCGCAGCCCCTTAGTCTTGGCCTTCCCTGCCAGGGCGAGAAGAGACACCCGCACCTGCATATTGTTCCCACTCTCAAACAGGTCGTTGGCCTCAAATAGGTCCACGGGATCATGCCGTAGCTGACCATTGCCTTGAGGAAGTTGGAGAGGTTTTCTAGCTAGTGCCAGTTCTACACGGAAGCCGTTGATCTTGGGGACTGAGCCCGGCTGCAGTTTGTTCACGAGTGTGCATAAAATAATCCCGTCCTTCAGGCCCTTCTGGAAGTCGGGGCGGATGGAGAGGCCAGTGAATCCCTTGATCCAGCTGCGGAGCTCTGCCTCCTTCTGGGAGTCATATTTGGGCAGAAGCCTGTTCTGGACGTCCGCCAAGAGCCTGTAGGAGGGGCCCTTGTTGAACTGCGTGGAGCTTATGGCTGGAGGGCGCCGCCGCGGGGCGGATCCGACAGGACCAGCGGCTAAGTCTTTTTTCTAGTTCGCAATGTTTTGTTTTCACCACACCATTGTTTTACTACATATTTTATTGTATGTGTATTGTGTTAAATATACATTTTGTGTATTTAAAAATGTGTGGAAAATGTTAGACCATCTCCCTTTTTTCCACCTTCCCTTTTACCCTTTACTGCCATTTACATCCACACATCCACACACACATACATCCACACATCCACACACACATACATCCACACACACACATACTGACCAAAATTAATTTCGATATACGAATGGGTTATTTGAAGCGAAAAGTCAATCTATATTAGTAAAAGTGTCATGCCAGTATGAATTATATTTATAATCCTTTCAAGAAGAAAGAACTTGCGGCGGGGCGCTGTGGCTCACGCCTGTAATCCCAGCACTTTGGGAGGCCGAGGCGGGCTGATCATGAGGTCAGGAATTCAAGACCAGTCTGGCCAAGATGGTGAAACTTCGTCTCTACTAAAAATACAAAAAAATTAGCTGGGCGTGGTGGCGGGCGCCTGTAATCCCAGCTACTCGGGAGGCTGAAGAAGAGAATTCCTTAAACCCGGGAGGCGGAGGTTGCAGTGAGCCAAGATTGTGCCACTGCACTCTAGCCTGGGCGACAGAGCAAGACTCCGTCTCAAACCAAAAAAAAAAAAAAAGAAAAAGAAAAAGAAAAAAGAAAGAACTTCCTTAATGTTTTGAAGAGACTATTCTGTATCCATTTTATAATTTTGTGGCCACTGAAAAAGGTATATTAAATCACAGACACAGTGAATGTAGTAAGTGGTAGTTTAAAATGTTAAAATGTTAAATCACGCCTGTACTCCCAGCACTTTGGGAGGCTGAGGGGGGAGGATCGCCTGAGGTTGGCAGTTCAAGACCAGCCTGGCCAACATGGTGAAACCCCTTCTCTACTAAAAATACAAAAATTAGCCAGGTATGGTGGCACAAATCTGTAATCCCAGCTACTCGGGAGGCTGAGGCAGGAGAATGGCTTGAACCCTGGAGGGGGAGGTTGCAGTGAGCTGAGATCAAGCCACTGCACTCCAGCCTGGACAACACAGTGAAACTGTCTCAAAAATAAAATAAAGTGTTGAATTTTTACAAGTCGTTGTTCCTATTCTAATTTTTGAATGCAACCACAGCCTCTAACAAAACAGCCTCGTTACACTAATTCGCTGATAATGAATTCTTAAGTAAAAGGGGAATTCCATAGAAATATATATGGCTCTTTTATGTTTAAGAAAAGTAAGAGCCTGAAAAACAGATGTGTTCTGTAAAACTGAATTACTTTCTATCCAGTTCCACTGGTTCCACTGTTTTATATCTTTATATTAAAACATATATAAATGATTGATTGATGATTTTTTTTCTTTTAGACGCTGCTGCTGAATCCATGGAGAGAAAAAGGATAAATTTCCAGAACTATGGTCCCTGTGCTCCAGTTCGTCAGGCGGGCGCGGCGGAGACGGAGACCGAGGAACGCCGCTGGGGCCATGCGGCGCTACCGCGCGTGGTGGCTCTGTGTCTGGCCTGAGGCTTCTGCTCGCTCCTTTACGCCTTCAGCCAGCTCCCCGTGTCCCCGGAGGAAGGAGCGGGCCGTGGTGGCGGGAAGCCGCAGGCCGCAGTGGCTTCCTGGCTGGCGGGAGGCGGATGCGGTGCGGTGAGAGGCGCGAGCAGCGCTTGTCCCGCTGCTCATCCCCGCAGGTGGGACAGGTGTAGTCTGAAAATACAGCCTGTTGAGAAAATGTATCTAGGTGAAAGACTGGAAGAAACTATGACCATGTTGAAGTCAGCTATTATTTTCAGGATCAAACCTCTTCAATTCCAGATTTTTGCTGAAGATCAACTACATCATAGCTTTAAAGGAAGGCTTGACAGGGGTCATTTCTACAAATATTTAATTATACAATATACTCCATAACCTTTCCAAGTGAGAATGCAGCAGAGTGGAAAAACTCTTTAAACCATGTGGTTTGCAGAGATTGTCCTTGCCGTTATTCCTGAAAGAAGTTGACTCTCACACTGATAGCCTTTTTAAAAGACCAGCTGATAATATTTGGTCTTTACTAAAGAAATTTAATTCCACACAAATTCTGCAATGGCCCCAGAACACAAGGAATGTCAAATAGGATGGTATAGTCGCTGTGCTAGGCATCCATAGTGTGGAAAAGCTGGAGTAAACTCTGGAGTTATGTTGACAAACATGACTTGAATGAGAAGGAAGTATTTCAAGAATAATATGACAACTGTGTGACTACAATGAGGAGATATACTTATGACATGGCTTAAAATATACAAGTTAAACATTACATGGGCGATCAAGATCTGTTGGATATCCTGTTTTTTCATAATCCAGAAAGCCTTTTTGTCTTTCCGTGTCAATGGAAGTGTCGTCCAGATCACTGTCTATATGGAAGCAGTTGCCAAGAAGCAGAAGAAGGAATCTTTATTTTTCACGGGAACAGAGGTGTTTACCATGATGATAAGCAACCAGCATTTAGAGCTGTTTATGAAGCACTGAGAAATTGTTCTTTTAAGATGACAATGTTCATTCATTAATAAAACCTTTAGAATTGGAACTACAAAAAATAGTGCATACATATCGTGGAAAAATTTACTAAATATTTATCAAACAATTAGCAAAAACATAAGAGATCGCTATGTCAGATCACCAAAGGAAAGGTGATTCTTGTTGCCTGCTACATCAAATGGATGAAAAGAACAAAGCATTGGAGGATAAGTATGAAGGAACTGTCTTGGGTGAAGCATTAAGGCAGGAATTATTCATCTACAGAATTTTTTTTTTCCTGAAGAGGTTAAATGAGCAGTATTTTCAGGTAATGAAGAATAAGTTAAAATCTTGGGCTTCAACAAAGAAAAATTTTTGGCCTCTGATGTTGTGTAATGTTACTTACTATCATTCCAGTATTGATGAAAATATTATTGAATGGTTTTAGCCTGCAAACTTCTGTTGACTCATACTCTCAAGAGTGGTGGGGCTGTGAAAATGAAGAAAATGTACCTCAAACACAGTGCAAACACTCAGATGGTGAGTAGAGCGATAATTTTATGTCAGCACTAACCTCACTTTAAATGTGTGAGAGAGAAGTTTGTCTACAGGAGTAGAAACAGTTCTGTTTCTAAAGAAATGTGATGTAACCAATGTAACCATGGATGATCTATATCTGCCTTTACACATTTCATCTCTGTTTTAAAATATTTTTATGATAATCATATTTAAAATTGTTTTTAGATTATAAGGAAGCTGCATGTTAAAAATTGAGCTGTATAAGAAAGAGGAAATATAGTGAAAACTTTGGGGTTTTAATCTGTGCATGTGAGAGAGAGTGAGAAATATAGTGTTTTCATTGTGTATGCATTAAACTGTCTTGCTAAAACTCAGATCTAAGATTGTTAAGTAGATATTTGGGGAACTTTTTTATCACTTTAAATGAAAAATTTCAGCCTTACTGGGCATTCTGGAAGCAAAATATGTTATGCTGATGATAAAGTGAGAACCTTAAGAATACACTCATTTGATGGCGGAAAATGTGATGGACCAAAATGCAGAAGCTATACACGTCCTGTGAGTAGTAATTTTAGTTACAATGCAGTAGGAAAATGTGGCGCATTTAAACATTTCTTCTACCTCATAATGGCTTTGCAAGATACTTGTAAAGAAGCAAATGTCTAGAGCCTTACTTTAAGAAAGTTAAACAACTTTGGTGAATGATTTGGATTAAGATTGTTACATCCAGCTATAGAAATGTGGTTTCAATAGGGTTGATGTGAGTGAGTACCTTCCTTTTTTGAATACCACTTAAAACAGTTAACTTTTTAAGTCTTGAAGATGAGAAAAATATTGCTTATCTAATATAACTATTTTAATAGTTATCTAATTTATAGTTATCTACTATAACTATACATTCTGAATACTTAGCATGTACTGTGCTGGGGCACATATCTTATTTTCCCAGCTGCTAAACGATTATCTTCCTTTTCTCCCTGGTATTTTAATGCCCAAGTAGAAAATGGAAAATCATGAAGGAAAAATATCACTTGTGAAAATCGTGGCAGTTAGCTTTATGAAGACACAGTGGCCTCTGTGGGGACATGGGATATGCAGAAAGAGATGGCTAGTACAGTTGTTCTGTCTTCTGCAGTTCAGTCAGGGACATATTGAGAGAGGAAAGTTTAAGCAGGTACATTAGAAATTGATAACCAGCCCAGCATTCTTAGAACAGATGGGTTTAGAGAACACGAGTTGTAGTTCCTTGGCAGAATGCCATGGTGGATATGAGAAACTGTGAACTGTGTTGAAATTGAGCTTGAGCAGAAAATGAGAATACTAAAAATTTGAAGTTCAGAGGGTATGCATTAGATTATTTCTAATGGTCCCCATATATGATCATTGCCTGCCTGACTATATAAGACTCCTGTTGGGAGCTTGAGAACAGATTGCTGAGCTTAGCCCTTTGGAGACTCTGGTATGCTGTGTCTGGGATGGAGTCTGCAAAAAAAAATTTAAAGAAGAGACTTAAAAATTATACAAAACTAGAATAGTGCTTTGGTACTATCAGATTACTTGGGGGCTATTCCCACTTCGATTCTTCATATAGAGGATGTGAACAGAGAAACATGCAGATAAATCAGTCAATGCCAACTGCTGGGGGAAACGTCCATAGTCTGCAGGTTCCCACAGAAAGGATAGCACTTCCGTCCTCTCCCATGAGGGAAAAACAAAGGAGAAAAGCTTTTGGCCTCTCACCATAAGCTCATTCAGTCCTCCCCTTGGGAAGAGAAATGACTTAACTGAGGAATGTGCTTGAAAGTAGCTGTACTGGTGAAACTCAGCCTCTGTGGGTTTCTCTCTCTTTCAGAGTCAGCTCTCTTCAGGATGCGCATTTATTTCTCCCTTTGGAGGAGGCCTCAGTCCAGCTCAGCCAAGGACTGAAAGGCACATCTGGCTAATTCAAGACTGAGGTATTGGGAGGTCCCCTTGGCCCCAGATCTATGATATGTTCTCGAGTCCTGAGACCTGCTGACTCTCGTATCTCTTTTCTCAGTTGGGTCATATCTTGGGGTTATTTGTGTTCCCAGCTCTAACAGGAAGGTTCCTAAGCACTCATTTCTTCTTAACCAATTTCTGAAGGTAAAATGTTGGTGAAGAGTGCTCTTTTCTTCCTGCTACCATTAATTGGTGTTTATTTTGTGTCAGGCACTGTTGAGTATTTTACATTTCTTATCCAGTTTGATCTTTACAGCAACTTTATATGACAGACATTGTTCCCCCATTTTTCAGGCTAGAAATCTGAGGCCCAGTGTCCCACAATGGCTGTGTGGTGACACTAGGCTTTGAGCACAGATGGTTGACTTCCAAAGCCTATGTTCCTAACCATTATGTCACTCTGTGTTGTGACAGCGCCAAACATACTTTCATTCATATATATCTTTTAACTGATCATGTTCTTGTGTGATTTCTTTCAGAAAGGCTTTTACATCAAATATTGATAATGATAATAATAATGAACACATGTTGAGCACTTACCATGTCTCAAGCACTGCTCTAGAGCTTCCCATGAAAGAACCCCTCTAATCTTCAGAACAACCCTGTGAGGTAGGTGCTGCTATTACTCTGTTTTCACAAGTAAAGAAACTAAGCACAGCAGATCCACAGTCATTCTGTAGGATGCTGTGTAGAATGGCTCCCGGGACACTGGGAAAGCTCTTCTGCACCTCAGTATCTTCTTTACTGGTTCATTAATGTCTGATATTCCTGCATGAGAAAGCACAACATAGACAGAAAGCTTAATATGTATATACACACACTGAGAGATAAGGCATTGACATAACATCTCATTATAGGTATTAGAAATGCAGTCTCAAGAGCAGGTTCTCGTGGGGTGACAGGCAGGGTATTCTAGGGGAAGGAATATCCCAAGAAAGGTGGCATTACAAAGGAAGAGGAGAAAGAAAGATGTAAATGAGGAGACACTGATTTTCTTCCATTGCAAAGTTTTCCAAGGCTGGCCCCTTTTCTATTACATTCTTACCCAGTAACTCATACTTTCCCTAGAGCTCTTGCAAGAAAGAACTATTGAGAAAGTAGCCCATCTGAAAGTACATTTCCTGCTGTTTATCTGCCTCCAGAACTGGCTGAAGTTTACTTTTTGGTTCTCCAGAGACCTAGCTTCTTCCAATGTGGTCTATTTAATCTCCTGTCATGTGGGAAATTATATTCAAAATCTCCATGATCCTCTGTCCATAGTAAGTTATGCATGTAGTGAGAAGTACATGCCACAAGGTCTTGAGATTATATCTGCAATGTGTTGCTGCTGGCTGTTGATCAAGATAGGCTGGGAGAAGATCATTTTCAGGTGTGAAAAACTGTCACCTTTATCAAATAATTCTTCTTGCATATTTCCCAAGACGTTGTAGCCTGTCTAAACTTGGGAGGTTAATTTTGTAGCATTCATTATGACCGAAAATGTAGTTCACACAATCATGATGCTCTCTTTATTAGGTGTTACTGTTAAACAATATTAAAATACACACAATGTGGCTGGTCTTTTGTAAGCTACATGGCATGTTTACTTCTTTGCCAGGTTTCTTAATTGCATCTCTTCATCTTTCCGAATACCAGTGTCACTGTCACCCACAATATTTGCTGTTTTGAGCACATGGTTTACCTTTTATTTTGCCCAATAATAGAATATGATGGGGACATCTTATCTGAGTGTTTCATAGTATGCTGTAGTTTGAATTCTTGGCTGTTGGTTTCCCAGAGTCCCAGCTCCTGCCACTGCATTCTGCCTTTGTAAATGGAGAATAATGGCTCTAAAAAAAATTCACCTAAGAATGTCATGATAGTGGAGAGGGAGGACCATGGAAATGCTAAAGCCACCCACTCGGCTTCTGTAAATCATGCAGAGGATCAGGAAAATGATTGAAAGTAACGTATCCCAAACAAAGCAGTCAGCTGTACAATTCAAGACCTGTGTCTGGCTGTAAAAAAAAAAACAAAAAACAAACAAAAAACACAAACAAACAAAAAAATGGAAAGAATAACCTTGCTACTCATCTTGTTCAAAAAACTGGAGCAGATTGAGTATCTAGACTCAGTTTCAGAAGAAATGTTAAATATTGACAGGGGCATATTCAAGATCTTTAGGATTTTTTGGGGGGAGGAGAGGGGAACATAAAAAAGCAATAATAAAGATAAATTTGAATGCAGGAAAAATACACATAATCCATGAATCTAACACCTGTTTTCGCATGTTTATCATCTTTGTCCCTATGTAGATCTATGTTTTCTTTCACAGTTGCAGTCATAGAATATATTCTATTCTCTAAGCTTTTATCCTTCAACATTATAGGAGAATGTTGTTCCATGTTACCACATAGCCAACTGTTTCAAAACTTGTCTAGTAAATTCTGTGCTGTTGTTTTCACAGGGAGAAACATGCACATGTATATTACTTTTTTTTTTCTGTTGAATCATACTCTTGGAATAAACTTTTTTCAGTGAGGTTTTTGGTTCCAAAAAGTATAAACATTTTGGTGATCTTTAGTAAGTTGTATTGCTTTCCAAAGAAGTGATAGGAATTATACTTGCCACCCCAACAGTGAAAGAATTGCAATTTAATTTCAATGTAAAAGAGGATGCTACTGTTGCTATTATATTTTCTATTATAATGAAAACCGTTAAAGATTTAAATCAAGCTGGATTGTCTTTCAGGAGCTGCTGTTAAATGAACACCTTGATATTTTCGTTCTTGGAGAGAAATGAGCCAAGGAGGAAGACCATCTAAAAAAAACCACTAGACAATTTGTGCTCACTGGAGTGGTCTCTGCTGGGCAAAAGGTCTTTAGAATGACTCGTGGATTTTCTGGCAAGTGGCAAACCATACAAGTGCTATGTCAGGCCAGGGAGACAGGTGCAGCCCTGTCAGTGTCAAAGAAGAACACTGGTAGCAGAAGAGCTAAGAGTGAATGAAAATTGAATTATCTTTATTTCTAGGACTTGTCTATTGAGAAACAACAGTGCTGGCAACCATTTACTACCAACAAGAGGCAGTTCCAAGAGAAGAATATAAAATATGCTCTGCTCAATCCCACGAAACTCAGAGTGTCTCACAATGGCCAATTTCTTATTTTTACCCTGTCCAGAGACAAGGAAGGATGCATCAGGGAGCTGCTAGCCTCTGCGATGAATAACTTGAGTCAGGCTGCAACATGTGAAAGAATTCAGCTGATCAGGATTTATAACACTAGCTGGATTTTTTGCTTTCTTTGGGGTTCATGAAGCATGGTGTTGTGAGATACCACAGGAGTCCCAGAGTAAAGTTACATACCTATTTCTCTTCCTTATTTTTATTTTTTTGGCATGTTCATACTATTTTATTACCAACATCGTTGGCATCCCTGAGTATGAGAGTTCAGAAGAAACTTAGAGGCTATTGTCTGATTCAATCCTTGCAGCTTACAAAAAGAAATGTGGGGAGCAGTCACTGTGTGACTAGCCTGAGGTCACTCAGGAAGTTAGAGGCAGAACTGCAGCCAGGGTCACCTCTCTTTACTGCTACTAGTGTGCTCCTTCTACTGCACCCTGATCATAAAACATCTCCCAACCCAGGAA
Organism: Homo sapiens; assembly: GCF_000001405.40. NCBI lineage: Eukaryota > Metazoa > Chordata > Mammalia > Primates > Hominidae > Homo > Homo sapiens. The sequence goes on along the minus strand of NC_000009.12, from coordinate 66,020,574 downwards.
CAAGGTCTACCGCATAGGTGGGCACAGCAGCGTGATCACTCTCTCAGTCGTCTGTACTCCTCCTTTGCTTTGACCAAAGACACAGGAAGGGACCTTTTGCCCCACATAAAACACCTCTCAGAGGCTTGGCAACAACAACAGATAATAGAGAGCATTGACCTAAGACCAACATTTCAACCATGGTGTCAAAACAATATTTTATTTCAGCAAAGAAAAACTATGTCACAAGTGGATTATTATTACTAATAATCAGACTAGTGGTACTTGCGAATGACTTGGTTTCATACTCACACTTGGACAACTATGCACACTGAGTATAACTGACCTTATGAGAACATCATTCTCACTAAGATTATGATGTGCTTTCTCACGTGGGAACTGTACATAATATTGCGTGTACACTTGGGAGGATGTCCTGCCTGTGATGTTGTCTTTCAGGGGAAGAAGAATGGTTGAGAACTGAGGGTATATTAAACATTTACTCCTCCAGATTTTTCAAGATTTCTGTTAAGCCAGATCAGAAGAAAGCCATCTATTTGGATTGCATCACTCTAACCTGGTAAGTCGAATTGTCTACACAGAATTATAATTTCACGATATGTCCAGATTACTTACCAAGAGCCAATTTGAGACACCAACAGGACTAGTAAAACATCTTTGCACTGTGGGTAGCGTTGCTATCAAAGACCTTATACATTATGCCATTCAAGAACCTTTATATTAAGATCCTTATGGAAAATCCTTCCCAAAGTTTAACCCTATGATAAAGGGTTTTTTTCTCCTGGTAACATAGTGGGCAATTGGGAACTGTTTAACCCAATGCATTGATTTCATTGATTGTTTTGGTTGCCGAGAAGTATGGATGCTCAGAATAGGTTTTCTTGTTTTCAACTGCTAATTCCTTTATTTAAATTGTAATAAATGTTTCCCTTTACTTCTTTCCTTTTTCTTTTTAAGAAATTTAATGTATTTCATAATAAATTATAAATTATCAATAGATCAATTAGCATAGAATAGTTTGGAATAATGCTTAGAGATCTCCCATTGAAAAAGACCCCAGTACCATAGGGTTCACAGCTGAGTGTTAACTGAACTTGAACAAATTCTGATTTTATTTAAAATGTTCAAAGCCTAGAAAAAAAACTCCTGCAGATCACATGGGGCACATAATAACTAAAAAAGAAAGAAACAAAGAGGGGTGGCTTTCTTCAATTAATTTTATAGTGTAATATCAAAGCTTAATAGTTAATATATTTCATCTAATGTAGAATGTCAATGTTTAGAAATCAGACATTATTTCATGTACCATTAGAGATATACTGCCAATTAAACTGTGACTTCCTTAGCAAAAGCAAAACAAGGAATTTTAAAGATATTAAAACATGTAAAGAAGAATATAAGCACTATACTCCCAACCCCTTCAAGTAACATGTTAATATTTTATTGCATTGGTTTTCAGTAATTACTTTTAATAAAATAAATCATTATTAGCTAATGTTCCACCCCTACCACTCCAATCTCATTCTCCTTCTAGGTCCCCCAGGCCCAATTGCTAAAATAAATTTGTTGTACACTTTAAAGTCAATTTTCTATACGTTTGCACATAAATATGTGCATTCGTAGAAACTATTTTTGTGCCGAGAAGGTAGAATAAGCCCTTCAAAGTTGTTGATGTTCAGATTCCAGTTGGCAAAAGTCTTACACATGTGGCATTAAATATTTTCAGTATTAAACATGCACATTCCACAAGTTCAGCAGTTCTGTAATATACATCCAGAGTCTGCCCTGAGGGATGCTTACAACCTTAGTATAAACTCTCACTCACCCCTTTTAGAGAATAAAACTTACACCTATGTAATGACCAGTCCAGGTACAAGGGTGTCCTCTGAGAACATTCAGGAGAAAGAGTGGTGGCATCGGCAGGAAAGTGCAGTGGAAAGGAGGAGCTGACTTTGGCAGGAAAAAGAACGATATTACTTTGAATTTATCAACACTGACGTAACATCCTGATAAAAAGTGCCATATCCAAATCACGTTGAAGATTCTCAAAGGACAGTACCAAAGTTGAATAAAAACACAGTGCCTCAAATGGGAAGTGGTATAGAAAGGCCTGAGGCTGGGGTATGGAGGCACACGGTGTGCCGAGAACGAGGGAAGAGAAGAGTGAACAACTGCTCGGGGTCGGGTTGCATTGATGGCGAGAGATGGGTGTAACATGCATTTATGAGGACAGACATGATCAGGTTTAAAGAAAAAGAATTTTTTCTTTTTCCAGCAGTCCCACT